>NC_000008.11:17738890-18041920 GCF_000001405.40 Homo sapiens | reverse complement strand
TCTTTTAAAGTTAAATACACACACTTAGCATATGATAAAGCCATTCCAATCCTAGGTATTTACTCATGGGAAATGAAAGCATGTCTATTCAAAAAAGTGTACAAAATTTTTCAATAACAGCTTTACTTGTACTAGCCCCAAACCAGAAACAACCTAAATATGCATCAAGAGATTAATGAATAAACAAATGAGTATATCCATGCTATGGAATATTATTCAGCAATACAAGGCAATGAAGTATCAGTACTTGCTACAACATGAGTGAATGTCAAAATATAATGCTGAGTGAAGAAAGCAAGACCAAAAAACATGTATACTGCATGGTTACATTTAGATAAATTTCTAGCAAATGCAAACTAATCTGTGGTGACAGTAAGTCAGGGCTTGTCTGGAGATGGGGTTAGGTGGGGGAAAGGTGAGAGGGAGGGATTACAAAAGGGCATCGGGAAACTTTTGGGGACGATAGGTATGTTTATTATCTTGATTGTAGTGACAGTGTTACATGTGTCAAACAGCAAATTGTACATTTTAAAGTATACTTGATTATATGTCAATTATCCCTCAATAAAGGTGTGAAAAACGTATTGAGAATACATTCAACAATACAGATGGTTGGCTAGGTATTGGAGATACCATGTTGAACAAAAAAGACAAAGCAAGGTCTCTGTCTTCATGGATTTTAAGATATTAAGCAAAGAATCTTCCCTTCCATTTCTTTCATCAGTTTCCACTTCTGCCCACATACTTGTTCTCTCTGGTGATTCTTTATTGTGTGACAGGAGCAAACTGTTATCACCAACAGGATTTCTTAAATCATCGCCTCAGGTAAGGGCTGCTAGAGTTGGTTGATCTAACAGTTTGAAACTAGAGTTTGCAGCTATTTGGAATAGGATGTAATTTTCCTATTTCTGTTTACAGAGAAAGTTATAATCATTTTTGTGCTTAGAAAAAGCCCGTTCATTTTCCTCAGAAGAGCCAGCACTGGGTTAGTAACAAAGGCTCAATTCAAAGACACCTAAGAAGACATTAAGAAGAGTATGTGTTCTCTGGCTACAGGTGAAGAGGCTGGATGTTCTATATCTACATGTGGCTTTCTCTTTTCCCTGTGAACCTTGGGGTTGGGTGTGAGAGGATGTGAGTGGTAACTAATGGCAGGTCTGGGGCAAGAGTAATGAATGCCTATAGGATTGACTCAGGTGCTAAGGCAAATTCCTTAAACATACTGGGGTGCAGAATGGTTTGTATCAGTATGGATATGCACACAATCCACCAAAAAATGGCTGATTACAGGATCGGTGAGGCATTCATAGGCTTTATGTTTTTCTTTTCTTTTCTTTTCTGAGACGGTGTCTCCTTCTCTCGCCCAGGCTGGAGTGCAGTGGCGTCATCTCAGCTCACTACAACCTCCGCCTCCCAGGTTCAAGCGATTCTCCTGCCTCAGCCTCCCCAGTAGCTGGGATTACAGGTGCCTGCTACCACACCCGGCTAATTTTTGAATTTTTGGTAGAGATGGGGTTTCACCATGCTGGCCAGGCTGGTCCTGAACTCCTGGACTTCAGGTGATCCGCCCGCCTCAGCCTCCCAAAGTGCTGGGTTTACAGGCGTGCACCACCATGCCCAGCCCACAGGCTTTAAGTCCTGGCAACAGCTACTCTTGACTGGTTGGCAGCATCACCGTGAGCACTATGAGCAGGTAGGCAACACCCTGACTGGGGTGGAAGAGTTGGCAGACTGTGCCAATACTTATTTTCTTAAAATTTTTGTATAGTATCTGACACATCCAAAAGCATATAAGTAAAGTACAGCTAAACCATGAAGCACCATAATGAAACAACAGTATCAAACCCACTATCAACTCACTCACACTGAAATTACCAAGTTTCTTCTCATGCCTTTCTCATTATTCTCAGAGGGAATCACTGTCTTAAATTTCATCTTTAGCCCTTCCATGCTTAAAAAAAAACAGTGCATATGTATATATTCCTTATCCATGTATTAGTTGTTTTGAGCAATATGAAGATAGAATCATACATATATAATATTCTGTGACTGCTCCTTTCTTCAACATTGTTTTTAAGATCTGTCCATATTCTTACTATAGAAAAATTTATCAATCTTTTATGGATTGTTTTTGTGTCTAAGAAATCTTTTCTTACCTCAAAGTAAAAAATCTTCTCATGTATTTTCTTAATCAAGTTTGCTCTTTCACATTTGTCTTTAATTCACATGGAGTTGGGTTTTTATGTATGATGAGAGACAAGGGAGATAATTATATTCTTTTCTACATGGATAATCACTGAACGGCATGTAGTGATTAGTTCTCCTTTCACTACTACTCTATAACATCCTTTGTCAAGTATAAGACCTTATGTATGCTTGAGTTCCTTCCATTATTCAGTTTGTCCATCCCTGGACCTAGGTATACTATCTTTAAGCAGTATAGGTTTATGATAAGATTTTATATTTGGTAGGGCAACCACTGCCCCTTCGTTGCATTCTTTTGCTTCCAAAGTATCTTGGCTATTTGGGGGCATTTGATACTCCCTATTACTTTTAAAATTAGTTTATCAATTCCTTGAAAAACTATGTTGGAATTTTTATTTTTTTCCCCCAAGTTTTATTTTAGAATTTGAGGGTACGTGTGCAGATTTGTTAAAAAGGTATACTGTGTGGTGCTGAGGTCTGGGGTATGAAGGAATCCATCACCCACATTGGGTGAGCCGAGAACCCAATAGGTAGATTTTTAGCCCTTGATTCCTCCTGCTCTATCCCTTCTAGTAGTCCCCAGTGTCTTTTGCTCCCATCTTTATGTCCATGTGTGCCCAGTGTTTGGCTCCCACTTATAAGTGAGAACATAAAGTATTTGATTTTGTTTCTGCATTAGTTCACTTAGGATAACAGCCTCCAGCTGCATCCATGTTGCTGCACAGGACATGATTTTTGTTCTTTTTTATGGCTGCATAGTATTCCATGGTGTATATATACCATATTTTCTTTGTCCAATCCACTGTTAATGGTCATTTGGGTTGATTTCATGTCTTTGCTATTGTGAATAGTGCTGCAATGAACATACAGGCGCATGGGCCTTTTTGGTAGAATAATTTATTTTCCTTTGGGTATGTATCCCATAATGGGATTGCTGGGTTGAATGGTAGTTCAACTGTCAGTTCTTTGAGAAATCTCCAAAATGTTCTCTACTGTAGCTGGACTAATTTACACGGACTTTTGATTTTGATTGCATTCAATCTTTAGGTCAATTTGGGGAAAACTGAAATCTACACATTATTGAGTAGTATTCTCAAAATGTATTGTACGTCTCTCCATTTATTGAGATCTTCCTTAATGACTCAGAAAACTTTATAATTTGTCCATCTTTTGTGACATTTATTTTTATCTTGTATTTGTAAGTTTCAAACAATTTTAAATAATTTCAAAACATGGCTTATTAATTGCCGATGTATAAAAATGATTTTTAAATTATCACCTTATATAACACAATTTTGCTAAACACACTTTTTCAAATGATTTGTCTGTAGATTTGGATTTTCTTTGTTGACAACAAATCATCTGTGAATAATGGCAGTTTTTTTTCTTTCCAAATTCTTACACATTTTTTCTTGCCTGACAGTGTTGGGTAAAACCTGTAGTTCAGTGTGGAATGTAAGTTATACTTAGGGGCATTCATTTCTTTTTCATGGTTTTAAAAGAGATTGTGTCTAATTTTTTAAACTGCAGTTAAAGAAGTTCTCAAATCAATGAGGGGCATAGAGTCTAGCAACAGAATAGAGTTCCACATATATGCTCTTTCCTTCAACCTTTCTCTTTTAATTAAAGTGCCAGGGAAGAATGATGGTAAGGGTGGGGAAGTAGAATAGTGTGTGAGTTGATATACTATTGACGACTTTCATTGTACTTCTTCTCAATAGTGGCCTGATTACTTTTTTCTCTGTTATCACCCTTTTGAGCTTATCCTTAGTTTACAATTAAACTCGTTGACATGACATTTTCCAGTGGAAGTAGAATGTAGAATTTTTTAAATTCCATTGAAAAGCCACTATCAGAATTATTGCCAGCTATTATAATATTAAAGACCTTCAGTAATTATAATGTAAGTTCAGAAAGATTTCAAATTAACCTTTTCCTCTACCCGAACTTCTTTGTATAGTTTTTCCTTGATAAGTCTGCTGCTTTGCTGATTTGATACTGCATTCCACATAAAAAGAATCTTCTTACTTGGCATAGAGACAGCCTTCAAAGGGCTTGACCAGTCACTGATGTCCTACTTAAACCTTGTTGGAAATACAGTGTCGCTGGAAAGTTGACAAAAATTTATATGCCCTCCACCCCCACCCCAGCCAAAATATATATATACACACAGACACACACACACACACACACACACACACACACACACACGAAGAAACTAACCCTCTAAAAAATAGCAAATAGGAAACAGCACTGTTTTAGGTGGAAATGTAGGCAGACGATGGTGGCTGAACATTTTGATAATATTGTAGGCTATTCCCTGAGCTCCCATTTGATCAGCAAATTGTATACAGTCAAAAATGACAGACACTAATACTGTTCTTTCTCCTCTGCCCTACTCAACCAAACTCTGCAGTTACAGAGAAATACCGAGGGCAAGGTTCCATTCATCTTTGAGGCCAAAGTGTTGATAAGGTTGGCCCTGCCCTATACCCCTCTCACATCTAGGATCCTCAATAACAATAAATATTTTGTGAACACTTGGGATATGTGGCCATTTGGAGAGGTAGACAGAGTAGAAACCATTTGCTTTGAAGAGTTGACATCAAGTTGTTTTTGTTTCCCTTAAGCTAGAGGTTCATTGAAGCACCAGGCAGTAATAATGGTGGTGATTTAATAACAATTACCCCTTTTCTAGAACAACAGTGCATTTGGAAAAATCTACCTAATCCTTTCCCTTTTAACATATCAGTATCTGACACTGAAATAAGCAATGCTAGAATACTGTGGGTAGCTGATGTACAGCAAATATTAGGACGACTGAGTTATTATCCTACTGGTAAATGTTGTAGGCAATAATATACAAAGCTAACAAATACTGACCACCAACTCTGTGTCAGGCCTTGTTTGGTTGCTGGGGATACAGTGTTGAACAAGTTTGACTCCTTAACAAGGAGAGACAGATGTGAATATACTAATCATGATAGTTTCAGATGGTGACAAGTATAGGAAGAAAAAAAAAAAGAAAATGATGGGATAGAGAATAACTGGAGGGTGTGAGGCAAATTTGATGGAAACTACGAACTCACATAGGCTCAGTGAACCCCAAGCATGATACACACATCCACATACACACGGGCATATCATATTCAAATTGCTGAAAAGTACACATTACACACAGAAGAAAAATGACAGCAGACTTCTTTCCAAAAAACTATATAATGTTCATGGATTGGAAAACTCAATATTGTTTCCATTTCCATTTCCTCCAAATTATAAGTTCAATGCAATTCTAATAAAACTCCCAGCAGGTTTTTGGTTTGTGAAAACTGAAATTGAAAATGCAAAACATGAAAATGAAAAGAACATAGCCAAAAATGTCTGCAAAAGAACAAAGTTAGAGGACTTAACGTTTCTTTTTCTTTCTTTTTTTTTTTTTTTTTTTTTTTTTTTGGGGGAGCAAGATGAAGACAAACTTTATTGAGTGTTAGAACAGCTCAGAGGAGATTTTTTTTTCTGTATCCCAAGTCATCAAGCAAGGACTTACGTTTCTTAATTTCAAGACTTACTATAAAGCTATAGTAGTCAAGACAGTGTAATACTGATGTAACAATAGACATATAAATCAACAGAACATAACAGAAATTCCAGACATAGAGCCACACATATATGGTCAATTGATTTCCACAAAGGTAACAAGACAGTAGGAAAAGTCCTTTGAACAAATGAAGGCACTGGATTTCTATATAGGAGAAAAATAGAACCTGATCCTTACCTCATACCATACCAAAAAAAAATTACTTAAAATAGATGATAGAGCTTAAATATGTAGGACAAAGAATGATTATCCATATATTTTATATATATAAAGATTCTTAGAGCTTAAGATATTTATTGTTAGGATTTCTAGCAATTAAATTGCTATGCCAAAGACGGTACCTTGAACTTTTTAGTGCACGTTGCCAAACTACAGGTGGCATCAATTTTTCTGGACCTTTTAGTGGGAAATTAGGGCAGGGGTCTCTTTCCAGAAACCCTTAGGAGATATTCTTCAATTTGACTAACAGCCTAGTTTTTCTGAAGGTTTTCCAATGATTACTTTAAAATCTATTGTTGTATGTTATCATTAGATTCACTGCATTTTAAACTTAAATTTCATGTTAATTTCAAATTATATCAATCAACTAATATGACTTACCTATTAGCAGACTTGGAATAGATAAGCATATATTTCATTTTCCTCAGCTGAAACTTTTCTCTCTGAAAAGTACTATTATAGGAATATTCCACTGTTTTTGTTAAAACTGTTGAAGTGGAGAAGAATCCATTTGCCATAGTTAAATAAGATGTCCAATCCTTCTTAGTAAAACATACTGATGACCTTGAATCTCTCTTCGAAATACTCAAATTTACTTGTTTATGTAACAGATATTGAAAAATTTCTACATTCCAGGATCTGCTTAAAGACAAGAAATATTGCAGTGAACAAAGCAGAGAAAAATTCCTACCCTTAAAGAGCTTACATTCTAACTGAGGGGGTGGAGAAAGACATAAAATAAGTAAAATATTGTTAACTGTGGATAAGTAATATGGAGAAAAATAAGCTGAGGGCAAGAAGATAAAAATAAACTGTGGGGAGGTGCAATTTTAGGTTGGATACATAAAGAAGATTCACTAAACGTCTGCCATAAAAATATCTGAGGAAAGAACATTCTAAGTAGAGGTAACAGTAAATGCAAAAGGCCCTGCATGCAATGATGCCTGGCAGGTCTGAACAGCAAAGAGGTCAGTGTGACTGAAGCACACGGAAAATAAGAAAGGAAGAGGTAGAGAATTGTCCTGTAGGGCCTTCTGAAGTCATTTTTGCTTTTACTTGGAATAAAATAGGAAGCTACTGGTATCATCTGAACAGTATCACTTTGGTTGCTGTGCTGAGACTAGATTATAGAAAGTCTAGGAAGTGACGGGTCTGGCCATTAGGAGGCTACTACAGGAATCGAGGCAAGAGATAAGAGTGACTTGAATAAAGATGGCAGTGGAAGAGGTAGTGAAAACCAGCTGGATTCGACTTACTTTTTAAAGGTGTAGCTGACCATATTTACTGAAGGGTTGGATGAAGGGTTTGGGATACAGAGTTGAGCCACAGACAATGTCAAGGGGTTTGTCCTAAGAAAGTAGAAGGATGGAACTGGCACGTACTAAGATGAGAAGACTAGAACAATCAGATGTGGGGCAACCAACAACTCCGTTTTAACACGTCAATATCTAGTATCTATGTGAACCTTAACATAAACCTTAACATACTTCCATATGAATTTTTTGAATCTTACCATACAGAAAGACTCTAACGCCAAGGGTGGCAAACTAACTTAAAGTATCATTTAGTTGTTTAAGGTTGGAGAATGGACTACAATAACTGACTAGTTTTTCAAAGCCTAGGAGTGGGAAGAAAAACAGTTTATTGTAGTATCCTTCTTCTGTGTTGTCGACTAAGTAACATGCCCCAAAAAGACTTGAGGAACAAGAAGTCCCTGTTTTTTTTTTTTCAGGCAGTGCCACCATGCCAAAGAGAAGTCCAGAAGCCTCCCAAGTCATAGAAAATGGACAAAAGTTGGGGTCACCTGAATCCTTGTAATTTAATCCCATTTTTGTTATAAAATAAAGAGTTACTATGGTTTTTCACTTTCTTATTCGCTGGGACTTCAATAAACACCGATAATTATTTGTATAATTGCTCATTCACTAATTTCCATTTTTAATTCTTTTCGTAAGTCTTCCTTTGAAAATACTAAAAGCATCCTTGGATCTAGGATAATTCTTCCTGCATTTCACAGATAGGAAAATGAAGAACAGCAGGGTTTTTGGGTTTTTTTTTGCATTGTACATTTCCAAATGTCATAGAAACCCTATCTCTTTGTTGCTTTATTATAATACTGTCCAAATATTTCCTGGTAAGGAATTGTAGGTTAAAACCAAAAGCATTCTAACATATATCTAATGTATATATGACTGCTAATATAGATAGAAGAAAAAAATTGAACTACATGATGTTACATAAATTGAACTTTTGAATCCTGATAAGCCCTGGAAGAGTATAGAAGTTTTCTACATAAAAATTGAGACTGACCACTGAAACTACCAGATAATAAGCTTCAGAATTATATGAAATACAAAATACATATACTCATTTGGCTAGAAAACACCACCTGAAATATGCTTTTTTTTTTTTTTTTTAGCTATTATATACTCAAATTCAACAGAATTCGATGGGCCACAAAAATAAGTTATTAGTGATTTCTCTATTGAATATTTGTGTAATATAAATTTGACAACTGGTGGTGGGGGAATACAGAGAAAGGTAGGGAAGGGCAGAAAAAAGAGGCAAAATTACATAATCCAAGGTAAATTTGAAAATCATAATCCAAAAAGCTATTTGAAATACTGATTTTATAACTTAAAATTCATTATCTGTCTTAAATATTTTGGAGGGTAGAGGGAAGAGTGAGGGAATAGAAAGATTGGAAATGGCAAAGCTGATACTGGGGGGAAACTGCACATCTAAGATCCAAGATCCATTATAATGAAGGCCCTTTAGTCTCTGTCACCTAAGAAAAGGAAAATCTACAAAAAAAAGTATATAGGCAGAACATGTTCACAAAGGACACATAGAAGCAACTGTGGGTTCTGGTGGACAATCAGTATTTAAAACTCTGCCCTGGAAATTGATTTAATGATACGTTGGTTAGAACATTGAAAACAAAGCAAAACCACTCCACATTGAGCGTCCCAAACCCAAAGATCTGAAATGGTCCAAAATGCAAAACCTTGTCAGTACTGACCTGATGCTCAAAGGAAATGCTCACTGAAGCATTTTGAACTCTAGATTTGAGATGCTCAACCAGTATAATGTAAATATTCCAAAATCTGAAAGAAAAAAAAAATCCCAAATCCAGAACTTAATCCATACTGAGTTGTCTTTTTTCTCCAACATAGGTAATTTGTATAGCACTTATACTCAAAACATTCTTATGAGCATTATTTCATTGAATAGAATAACCTATACCTATTCCCAGTCTAGGGAAATTCTCAATGTAACTGTGAGACAATAGCTGATGGTCACACTAGTAAGTGAAATTTTTATAAACAGCAATGAAGATGGGATAAGTCTAAATTTGTGTCCATAGTCTCACTAAAAGTGGTTTAACACAAATGTTGACAACTGCTAGTGTGAAATGACATAGCTCTTTGCATCTTTCAAAGTATTTTGTGATCTGATCCACAGAAAAGCTCTAGGCAGGAAGCTATTTATTAAAGGTGAGGATTCCTAGCAAAATAATATTTGCAACTATATGATTTGTTTTAAAATTAATCATGTGATTTGTTAAACCTACATATGGGGGATAGCCAACTAACTACACTTTGGAAAAGTCTTAAGGCAAGAAATACATTTACTATGTAAAAGAGATATAATAGAACTCTGTTGCATAGAAACTTTATACTGTGATTAGTTTTTAAAACAAGGAAATCAAGAGCTCTTTAAATTGCTGCTCCAAAATTTATTTTGTAACAGATTTTTCTAAGCTTATAAAGAAGAAATGAACTGGTAATTAGAAGTGTACATATATATGTATATACACACACATACACATACACAGGCTGAATATTGTTCATCCGAAATGCTTGGAAATAAGTCTTTTGGATTTTGGATTTTTTGAATTTTTGAATATTTATATTTACTGGTTGAGCATCCCAGATATGAAAATCCAAAATCCCAAATGCCCCAATAAACATTTCTTCTGAAGGTCATGTCAGCACTTAAAGTTGTGGATTTTGGAGCATTTCTAACAATGGATACTGAATCTGTTTGTGTATACGTGTGTGGGTGCATGCTTGCGTGCATCAAAGTCATTTGTAGGCACAGAGCTCCCTTCTGTTCCTTAATTTTCAGAAAATGATACCAGTGAATCTGAGGAAGAAACCAGACATGTAAAGACAGGGACTGTAAGAGTAACAATTAGAGTTGTACAACGGGAAATGCTGGCTCTTCCAGTCAAGGTGACTTGGAAACTTTATTTGTGTAGTGAAATAAGGGAAATCTAGAGTCAATCTCTTTTTGACAGATGAGCTGATTAAAGAAAGTTGGACAGGCTTGGTGAGGTGGCTCACACCTGTAATCCCAGCACTTTGGGAGGCCGAGGCGGGTGGCTCATGAGGTCAGGAGTTTTGAGACCAGCCTGGCCAATATGGTGAAACCCAATCTCTACTAAAAATACAAAAAAAAAATTAGCCGGGCACGGTGGCAGATGTCTGTAGTCCCAGCTACTCGGGAGGCTGAGGCAGGAGAATCACTTGAACCTGGAAGGTGGAGGTTACAGTGAGCTGAGATTGCACCACTGCACTCCCGTCTCGGCAACGGAGTGAGACTCTGTCTTCAAAAAAAAAAAAAAAAAAAGTTGGACAAGAAACGAATCAGTCTATTTTTGAGTAAATGTAAGAATGTTCTCTCTAGAGTATATATGTTATTCATGCTTTTTATTTGCTGTATTTTATGATGCTTTGACATCTTTAAATGCTTGCTGATCAAAGAGGAACCACCCCATTCAGGGTCTGTCTCTTAGTGATAGCAAAGGTTCTTTGAGATAGCAAAGGTCTTTCTTAGCGATAGGTCTCTTAGAGATAGCAAAGGGCTCAGCCAGGAGCAGGTCTTTCATACACATACCTATCAATCCCAAGTCTACAGCCCCAACCACACTCATCTAATACTTGCACACTAAGCCACTATTTATCCATCCTAAATCATCCTAGGACAAGGTCCCAGAGAATCAGACACCATCCCTATGGCCCACCAGTATTATTCAAACTAGCCAATCTTAAACCATTTACTCTACCCCGCCTGGCATTTCCTAAGGAAATCTCAAAAAAGGATCTAGCTAGTCTTGCTCCTTGCTCCTGTCTTATGCCACGTGACCAAAATTTGGTGCTTTGCCCATGACCCTATATAGCATGTGGTAACTCAACCTCTTTTTTCCTTTGAGACAGAGCGTCGCTGTATCACTGAGGCTGGAGTGCAGAGGCATGATCTTGGCTCACTGCAACCTCCACCTCCCAGGTTCAAGCGATTCTCCTGCCTCATCCTCCTGAGTAGGTGGCACTACAGGCATGTGCCACTATGCCCGGCTAATTTTTGTATTTTTTCGTAGAGACAGGGGTTTGCCATGTTGGCCACACTGGTCTTGAACTCCTGACCTCAGGTAATCCGCCCGCCTCGGCCTCACAAAGTGCTGGGATTACAGGTGTGAGCCATCGCACTGGCGGTAATCCACTCTGAAGCCTTTGAGTATAATAAACTTACTTCTTTGAAGTTTATTCTTCCTGTGGCCAGTGACTTCTATCATACCATTATTCAACATATACTTTTTTTTGTTTTTGTTTTTGAGATGGAGTCTCGCTCTGTCGCCCAGGCTCGAGTGCAGTAGCACCATCTCGGCCCACTGCAAGCTCCGCCTCCCGGGTTCACGCCATTCTCCTGCCTCAGCCTCCTGAGTAGCTGGGACTACAGGTGCACACCACCACGCCCGGCTAATTTTTTGTATTTTTAGTAGAGACGGGGTTTCACCGTGTTAGCCAGGATGGTCTCGATCTCCTGACCTTGTGATCCGCCTGCCTCGGCCTCCCAAAGTGACATTTAAAGCTGTCAAGTCACCACTGTGGAACAAATTCTAAAACATAAATGAGCATGTGAATTTAAAAGAAAATACAATTCAGGGTTGTATACAGGATATATATTTATTAACAGTGAAAAAGCATTTACCCAAAGTCAATGTTACAAAATACAAAGAGTACCTCCACAGTCTGGCCAGCTCATTATTTTAGGCATTATCTCAACCTGCATAAAGTTCTCTCTCACTCATTTTGAACTTTTCTCCCTCTATCTATCTGTAACCAAAATTTTTAACTTCAAAATTAGGACAAATAGGAATACTGAATGCCTAACCCTTCAGCAATAGTTACTAGAGAAAACAGATTAAATAAATATATCTGCTCTCAAACCCTACGTATTTTAAAACTAAATTATCTACTAAAATAGAAAAACAATAGACTTAGATTAATAGCAGCTGTAACACCAGTCAAATAAGCAATTTTGATAAGGTTCATAGGTACTATGGTAATAACTAAGATATAAATACAATTTTTCCACTTTAATATGCATGCAGACAGAGAGAGAAACACAGTATGTAAGGCTGGGCTTGAGTACCAAAACAGTTTTTACCCTTTCCTGCTTAAAGTGGAGAAAATAAAGAATTTGAGTGTGCATGTAACATAACTTATTGTTCCAATTTCCCTGAAGTTAGTTAGAGCACCTGGATAAGAACTCCGAATTCTGAATTGGTAATTTTCTGAATAGGTTTTATTAAAGTTGAAGATATATTGTCTTCCATAATTTAAGTAGCAATACAGTAAATGTCCTCGCAGGGAAATCCTCATTTAATACTCCTTGAATGGACATTACACTGAGGTATACAGCAAGTTAACTTTTTTTTTTTTTTTTTTTTTTTTTTGAGACAGAGTCTCGCTCTGTTGCCAGGCTGGAGTGCAGTGGCATGATCTCGGCTCACTGCAACCTGCAACCTCCACCTCCCGGGTTCAGGCTATTCTCCTGCCTTAGCCTCCCAAGTAGCTAGGACTACAGGCACGTGCCACCTCTCCCAGCTAATTTTTTTATTTTTAGTAGAGACGGGGTTTCCCCCATGTTGGGCAGGATGGTCTCAATCTCTTGACCTCGTGATCTGCCCGCCTCGGCCTCCCAAGGTGCTGGGATTACAGGAGTGAGCCATGGTGCCTGGGCAGCAAGTAACCATTTTAAAGAAATACTCTCAACAAGTTCTTTTTTTATGGGGTATTTCAGTTGTTAACAAAGTTAAAATACTTATTGGAACTAATTCTTTGTATTTTATTCGAGGAAGAAGAATCTATAAGATTGACTTACTCATTGTTGACTGGTTTTTTGAAGCCTTACTGGGTATATGGACAGTTTGGGATAAAAAGCAAATCAATCACTTTTCAAAAGCTGACTTAAAGTCACATAAACTTTCAATACTTCACCTGCAAATCTGCTTCAACCTCACTACACACAAAAGAAACTGCTATGCTTTGGCTTTAAATTACCATCTCAATAGGCAAGTTTATCTGAAGGCATACAGAATCTTACTATTACAGAAATTTAGTTGTATTATTTATCCCCACTTGAAAAAGTTAAGTTTTTCATTTAAAATTAACCACAATGTTACTTCTCTGTGCAGAAATCTCCCTAATTATATAAAGCTTATTTTTTTTACTTTTAGTCTGAGGCGATGTAGATAAATATTTTCCAGAATTTCAAATCCTAACAAACAGATGATAATGATGTAAGTTCTAGATACTGAGAACCTATGTTCTAAACTTATTATCCAATTTCAATGGATTAATAAATATTCTATAATAACTTCATAGGTATCCTGGATATCTTGATAATCTGCCCTATTCTTGCACAGGAATAGGACCTGCAGGTATCTAAAAGAAGAACATCAGACCCAACAGCAGCAACACTGGCATTAGTTGGAAGACTGGCCTAATGGATGGGCTTTATAACAAATAATATATTTCTCTAACTAACTCTTAACCATTGCTCTTCTCTGAGCAGCCTAAAGTTATATAAAACATTGACTTGCTGTATAGAATTCAATATAATTTCCAAAAAAGATACTTTATAGATAAGTCCAAACTTTATTTAAAACTACATTTTAAATTCGTTACCAAACATCACAATGGGGAAAAAAATGAAGACCCAAAAAAGAAGGGGGAAAAAAAAAAAAACACAGTGTGTCAAGGCTTAAATCTGTCCAGAATTCAGTTTCTGATGTTTTAAACTACCATGGGGAGAAATGACCACACCTATCAAAAAAGCAGTGTCAAACTAATTTACATTTTTATACAGATCAGATGTTTATTTAGTATTGTTTTCATATATGCATTGAGTATGTAAGGACAGAGTTAGATGAGCCTCTGAAGACATCTCATATACTCTGGGCTCCCACCGTTTCTGAAAAACAGAATAAAAATGCTTTATAAATTACTTATCGAATTACTAGAATTTAACATTGTTCTCTGTCATTAAAGCTTTTACTTTTAATATAACGTTATTATAAAAGAAATCCTAAATTAGCTTGCTAATACAATTCCCTAATAGCACACAGTAAAAAAAGAATAGGTGAGGCGTTTCTGATTCAACAAGGCAGACTGAGCAGATACTTCGTGTCTCTCTAAAAACACTCCACTATGAAAAGAAAACAACTATAGAATAGAATAAATCTACACCAACAAAAGACTGGTTGTGAGAAAACAGAAGAGGGGATATCAACAAATTACCAGAATGCTCAATGCAGATGGAAGCATACCCAATGACAGTGGAGGAAGCTGCAGTTCAAACACTTGCAAGAGGCTGCAACTGAGAAGGGTACCATATTCTAACAGGTAGAAGTGGGCTGAAAACAGAAATTAACTGAAGGTCTGATATCTGAAGGGTCTTTCCTTCTCCTCAACTCCATTTCCAGGAAAAACAAAAACAATGAGATATCATGCAATTTTCATCAACTGATGAACTGATGGAGAACAACAAAAAGAAAACCCTTTGATCCTGATGCAAGAAACATTGAGTGGCTCCAGAGCTGTGTTATTAGACTCATACAGAAAATCTGAGACTATCGCTTGGCTCTACAATGAATGATATTTATATAGAAGCAACCTCAGAGAAGGTATAGAACCATTTAATTATATTACGAAAACAAAATGTAAGCGTATATAATAGCCTTAGTAATGTAAGAATATGGGTAAAACTGAACAGAGAACCAGGAAGAAAGCAGAGGAGGAGCAGCAAGGGATAATGACCAAAGTTGATGGAACAAAATGCACATATACTTAACCAAAATTGAAAGTAAAAAATAGAACAAACAAAAATAATATGAACACTGAGAGGAGGAGGAGAGAGAGGTAGGGCTAGATACATACTTGTCATCGGGTAGAAAAGAGGTATTATCTGCATCTTAAAAACTAAGAATCATAATATTTAGAGTTATAGTCTCCTAAAGAACTAAAAATCAATAATAAAAAGTGGGTTTTTGGGCTGGGCATGGTGGTTCACGCCTGTAATCTCAGCACTTTGGGAGGCTGAGGCAGGCGGATCACGAGGTCAGGAGATCGAGACCATCTGAGTAACTTGGTGAAACCCCGTCTCTACTTAAAAAATACAAAAAAATCAGCCAGGCGTGGTGGCGGGCGCCTGTAGTCCCAGCTACTTGGGAGGCTGAGGCAGAAGAATGGCGCGAACCTGGGAGGCGGAGGAGCTTGCAGTGAGCTGAGATCACACCACTGCACTCCAGCCTCGGTGGCAGAGACTCTGTCTCAAAAAAAAAAAAAAAAGTGGGTTTTTGCTATTTATAATATTTTTGTACCTTTCTTAAACCATGGGCATGTCTACATTTTTTTTTTTTTTTTTTTTTTTTTTTTTTTTGTTTCAGAGAGGGAGTCTCGCTCTTTCACCCAGGCCGGAGTGCAGTGGCGCTATCTCAGCTCACCGCAAGCCCCACCTCCTGGGTTCACGCCATTCTCCTGCCTCAGCCTCCCGAGTAGCTGGCACTACAGGCGCCCGCCACCGCGCTTGGCTGATTTTTTGTATTTTTAGTAGAGACGGGGTTTCACCATGTTAGCCAGGATGGTCTCCATCTCCTGACCTCGTGATCCACCCGCCTTGGCCTCCCAAAGTGCTGGGATTACAGGCGTGAGCCACCGCGCCCAGCCAGCATGTCTACATTTTTTAAAACTAAAGATGTGAATAGAAAAAAATTATCTGACACTGTTTTATAAATAGTTGAACTAAAATTCTTACAGAATTACACTTTCTTTCTAGTATTTGGCTTAAATCTCCCAGGTCAGTAGTAGCATATTTAAAAAATAAAACACAATAGTAGTATGAAGATTCAATGATTTTTCAATATGGCAAGATTTAAATTGATAACTCTTACCAGGTTCTTTTAGTGTCTCAGAATTTCCAGCTAATTCTTCGGTCTGCATTTCACATATTTCACCAGATAAATGGTTTTTCTGTTCTTCTTCTACCATTTTCTTTCTTAGATCTGCCTTTGGAATGAAAATTAAAAATACAAATCATTTTTCATTTTAACAGTATTTGTTATGTAAAGACAAGTTTAATTAAAGACAGCTAAATACCTCTGAATATATTGTCAGTTTCAGTGGTAAATCTTCAACTTTTACAAAATCTTCTTCATCAGACTTTTGACTTATATTACCAGATTCTGCTTCCTGTAATGTAATGAAAAAAAAAAATACATACTCTAGATCCAAACCAGTCATCCATGTAAAGAAATAGTGAATTATTTTCTCAGTAATTCTATCACATTTCGTTTTCTTCTACATTCAGCTCTATGAATAATTTAGAAATATGCAGTTCATAGGAAAAGCTACAATCACAGCTGTGAAACATACTGTCAAGCTGTTACCATTTTGTCACAAAAAAAAAAAAAAAAAAAGGCAGGGGGGCAGTTCATACATGCTGAAGAAATAGTTACAACCAGGACTAAAAACAGAAAGACAACTCTTGTTTTTTCATATGTTTACTGAACACGAGAGCTGTACCCAGCAGAATGTAAGTAACCACTTACAAACTTTTCAGTGTATCAACTCTGATGGGGCTGTTAGAAAGCTGAGGTATGAATTTAGTAACTGTCTTTTGTGATCACCTTAAACTGTTTTTCCTAAACTTGAATTCTATTTTTTTCCCTCCTAGTTCTCCCTTCTGATTTTTAATAGTATCATAATTCTACCAATTATCCAAGTAGAAATCTTAGGTTTTTCTTCTTCTTGCACTGTTTCTCACCCTGCTCCTGTTCAGCTTATATTTCATACTTATATAATAGTAGATCCCCCAATCTAGCTTGATAGTATATGCTATAGTCAGCAGATTAATCTTCACAGCCCATAAATTTGACCATTTCACTTCCTTGCACAAAAACATTCAGTAGGATCCCTGACTAAAATTCAAATTCAAGAGCTTTTATAATCTACCTTTGACTTAATTTCAATTAAATGTCTTCTATGGCAACTAGACAATGATCAGATAAGAATAAATCTAACCAGTAATTTTCGAAGTTTTAAATGTATAATTGTACTCGTAGTGAGGCAAACAAAAGAGTTAGAAGAGTTACTCTTTGTACTAACGTTTTTCAAAGATTATAAGCCCCCTTTCTAAGAAATTATGAATCATAACTGTAAATATATATTTAAGAAGAAATTTTAAGACACAGGGCCTCACTCTGTTGCCCAGACTGGAATGCAGCAGGGGCAATCATAGTTCACCATAGTCTAGAACTCCTGGGCTCAAGTGATCCTCCCGCCTCAGCCTCCTGAGTAGCTAGGACCACAGGCCTGCACTCTCACGCCTGGCTAATTTTTAATTTTTTGTAGAGACAGGGTCTTACTATGTTGCCCAGGTTGCTCTCAAACTCCTTTTAGTTCTATCCAACAAAAGCATTGATTGGAAATGACCCAAGTTAAGTTTCACTTATGTTTGCAATTCAAGGAAGATTAAGGCTGTTTTAAAGGCCTTTGTTTTATGGGGGTTTTGGTCAGGTATTTTCAGGCCTGATCTCCATTTTAATTTTGCTTTAACAATTCCCCCCTTTTGGCTGCCCTCTCAGCTTGAGGGTGGCCAAATGGAGTAGCATTATCCTGTAACCACTACTGACACAGAAGTTGGGATGAAAAGTCAGGTAAAGTTGTTATCATCAAAAGTTATGTTGGGATTCAGTCATGCACCCTCCATCAAGTTTACACAGTGTTAGCTTCCCTGATGGCAATCATCTGACGTGTGAGTGGCTGCTGGAAAGCATTTGAACCCCTTGTGGGGATATAAAGCACAAAGGAAGAAAACACAGTAACTGTAGCAAGAACTTAAAGATCCCTCTAAGCAAAGATTCCCAGGGGCCTAAAATTTAACCAACTGAATAAATCAATGGAGGAGGCCTTGCTTATCTGATAAAAAAAATTCTGATTTATTAAGATCTTTTAAATTTGGGGCAACAATATCTAATTAACATAAAAACAATACGTTTCACCCAAAGCTCATCCCTGTGAGCAGCTAAACTTCTACTGGAGTTCCAGTGAGACCAAATGACTCATCTCAGATTGTATTGCTTGAAGAGTATCGAAAGTATCATTAAAACTTTTTTTCAAGGGTTGCTGAAATATCCATAAGCCATTTTTCCAATTCAGAGACTGCCAGCTAAAGAAAAAGCGATCTTACCAAAGAACAAAATCTAGAACCCCTTCATATATTCGAGTTTGGGAGATCACAGGGAGTTCTTTTGTAAGGGATCACTTCATGTACAAACAACCCCAGATTAAGAATTTCACAACCATTTAAAGAGTCATATCTGGTCATTTTAGGTAGGAAATAGCCCAAACCACAGTGTCCAGACCATATAGGTGAAAACATTTATATATTTTGTTGCCATACAAGATGAATAATCCAGTATTACTGAGAGAAAGGGGCAAAGGAGATCCTATTACCCACCAATTGGGAATGATGTGATTGTCATGGTTATTCTCTGTCATATCTGCATCTGCACACTGCCAGGTAGAATGGTTATGATTTAAATAGAAAGAGGAATAAAAAAACACTTCTATGTATTACACATGGGTACCATCGCCAAATAAGGATGACTTGTTTCCTTTTCAAATATGCCCTGAATACTGATCTTAAAAACCCTATTGTATACAGTGAAACTACAGGGGTATTCCATTTGCCTCTAGAGTTTCCTTTGAACCAATGTCAGTTTCAGTCCGTTCTCTACTAATATAGTCAAGGGTATCATGGTGAAGTTCTGATTTTAAATATGTGTCATTATATAGGAGAGCAGTCTCCCTAATTGGTGTTAAATCATAAAGTCTGACTGCATATAGGGAGACTGGAACCCTGGCTAGATTAGGCCCAGTTCCATTAAGGTTTTCTGTCCATAGTGATAAAATTACCAGCAATAAAATCAATAGTAGTTACAGGACATACCTTTGCTTCTGTAACTTCTTCCCAGTGCGAAGTCAGTCAACCATAAATATCAACCAACCTGCTAGGGGAAGGATACCAAACCTTTTCATAAAACCAATTGCTCACCCAAGTGTGTGTGGGAGTAGATTTCGGTATTAGTTGTGATTCCATTCATCTATATGACTACATGGCCAGCAATTGCTTTGGTTGAGTGAGAGTGGCTATTCTTTGAACATCAGACCTTAGAGGATATTCTGTTTGAGTAGGAAAAGTTCCCAACAAAAGTTTGAACATTTTGTGTTAATGCAAAACCAAATCAAAACTTAATGAGAAAAGTTTTAAATGTAGTCGTTTCATTGTGGTGGTAAGTTGTTTACTTCACGATGCCACCTGCTCCTAGGGAAAGGCTTTCCCTTTTATATCTTTAAGTCACCTATAGGTTGTCAAGTCCAAGAGTCTAAGGAAGCTCTCTCTACTTGAGATAGATGGACCCAAGGCTGAAAACCCTGAAGTTTTGCTGCATTGTGAGTAGTAAGAGCTGTCTGCTACAGTCCTTTCCAATGAGGCTCAAGGGCAATTTTTCTCTGCTGTTGTTTCCAAAAGATCCAATCTCCACGTTCTAAGTTATGGAAGCCAGTCATAGATCATCACTGGTAGGCAGTTCACAAAAAGCCTCCTTCAGCTGGTAGAAATAGACTTTTGCATAATCCATTAAGGTCTTAGAGTATTGAGTCATTTCAGAGCTAACAAATACAGGTGATACATGGGGTTCTGGTATTAAAGGCATAGGTCTTCCAGTTATTTCATAAGGGGTCAAATTTGTGTTTTTCTGTAGGGGTTGATGTAATTGCCATTAGGGCTAGTGGTAAAATTTTTGGCCAAGGTAATCCAGCTGACAATTTAGCTAATTTTAGTTTCAAGATACAATTTGTCCATTCAAGCTTTCCAGAAGACCGAGGATGACAAGGCCAATGGTAGTGCCACCGAGTTTGAAAATCCTGTTTATCTGATAACCTGTTCAGGAAAATGAGTTCCCTTATTACTGGAGATCTCTCCAGAAAAGCCCCATAAAGGAAATACATTTCCTAAGAATTTTTTGCTACTGTTGTGGCATCAGCCTTTCTATAAGGGTAAGTCCCAATCTATCTTGCAAACAGGTACACTACCGCAAGAATGTACTGATACCTCAATGAGGGTGGCAACTGAATGAAATCCATCTGCAGACCTACATATGGTCTAGCAGGTGGCAGAAATCTTAAGGGTCTTTCCAGCTTTATGAGTTTGACAAGCCACACTGCTGTAAGCCATTTCTGCTTTCATAATCTTTTTCATAATCTGAAACGTTTTTCTTCACCATGATGGTTTGTAGAGTGCAGGGCCTTTAATAATAATGACAGTTTGAAGGACTCAGGAAGGACCAGCTGGCTGTCTGGGCCTTCACTGAGTCCTTGTTGAGCATGAAATTTGCAACCTTTAAGATTCCATTTTTGTTGTTTCAACTCAAGTGCACAGCATTGTTTACTGAACAAATTATCCTGAGTGATTTGATCTTGGTCAATTCTGTGGAGTTCATTCAAAATGCATATTTTGTCAATTTCAGACTTGGCCATAAAAGTCCACACATGCATTTCCTTGATACTCAGGTTCAGTCCTACGAGCATGAGCATCATTTTTATTAAGAGCTACTTGTGAGGGCAGCAGAATAGCTGAAAGAAGCTCATCTGGCAGAGGTCCAGTACTGATGGGGGTTCCACTACAAGTGAGAAACCCTTTGTTTCCACAACATTCCAAAATCATCACTCACTCCAAAGGCATACCTATTATCTGTATAAATGGAAAATGATTGGCATTTTGCTATATGGTTAAGTCTTAGATCACGTAATTCTTCGGGTTGTCCTGACTTAAACTGAGAAAGAATTCCCTTTTCTATTAGTTCATACTGAGTTGTTACAGCATGTCTTGCTCAGTATTTCTTCTCTACAGTTTTTTCATAGGATCCATCAATAAAATGTATTTATTCAGAATTATTTAATGAAGTTTTCCATAAGTCAATGTGAGGAGTCAATAGTTATGATACCACACACACAGTTTTGGTCTTCCTATTGTTCAGACAGAGGCAGCAAAGTGGTAGGGTTAAGCAGACTGACATCTGAGATAGAGATTAGAAGGTGACAGGAGAAGGATATCATAAAATGTTAGTCTACTTATTAAGACATGTTGGATCTGACTGGAAGGTAATGAGCTTTCAACTGCACGTGTAACTTGTAGGTAACATTTATTCCCTAATACTAGGTCAGATAAAGTTCCTATCAATTTAGCTGCTGCTGTCACTGCTTTTAGATGGTTTGGATATGCTCTGACAACTCGATTTAACTGTAACGTATAATAAGCAATGGGTCAGTAGCTTCCTCCACGTTTCTGAGTAAGGACTCCTAAGGATGGATTATCATATTTGATAATCCCAAAGTGAAAGGTTTTAAATAACTTGGGTATCCTGAACCTGAAGGGGTTATAAGGCCAGGTTTATTTTATTGAAAGCTTGTTCCTAATTATCTTCCCATGGCAAAGCTCTGGGACAGAGATTTTTCTAAATTCAGGCAAGGGGGAAGCCAGCAGAGAAATGTGGGACTCAAGATCTGCAGTATCCCATAAGACCAATGAACTCCCTTAACTGCCTTAGTTGTGGGCCTAGGGAACCCTTGGATTGTTTTTATTATTTCAGTTAAGAGGAAAATTCTCTCTGCAGTCAGATCACATCCTATGTAATGGACCTTTACTCTACAGCAGGGATCTGCAACCCCCAGTACCAGTCCAGGGCCTGTTAAGAACCAGGCCAAATAGCAGGAGGTGAGTGGTGGGGGGAGCCAGCGAGCCAAGCTTCACCTTTATTTAAACCTACTCCCATCACTCACATTCTCACCTGAGCTCTGCCTCCTGTCAGATCACTGGCGGCAACAGATTCTTGTAGGAGCTTGAACCCTATTGTGAACTGCTCATGCCAGAGATCTAGGTTGCGTGCTCCTTATGAGACTCTAATGCCTGATGCTGTGTCATTATCTCTCATCATCCCCAGATATGACCATCTAGTTTCAGGAAGACAAGCTCAGGTCTCCCACTGATTCTGCATTGTGGTGAGTTGTATACCAATTTCATTATATAACGTAATAATAATAGAAATAAAATATACAAAAATGTAATGCATTTCAATCATCCTGAAACCATCCCCCTTACCCCAGTCCATGGAAAAATTG
The DNA here is from genome assembly GCF_000001405.40 of Homo sapiens. NCBI lineage: Eukaryota > Metazoa > Chordata > Mammalia > Primates > Hominidae > Homo > Homo sapiens. The sequence continues at coordinate 18,019,369 of NC_000008.11, read as the reverse complement.
TCTTCCATGAAACCAGTCCCTGGTGCCAAAAAGGCTGAGGACAGCCGCTCTACAGAACTAAAGTTTTGCCATTGAGGCCTTATGTCCATTGTAAGCTAAAAGTATGAAAGATTATCTACATATAGACAGAATACAATTTCTATGGAATTGTAAGGTTGACAGGTCTTGGTATAATGTCTGAGAAAAACAAGATAGAGCTTCAGCGAACCCCTGTGGCACTACAGTCCAAGTATATTGCTGGTTCTTCCAGGTATAAGCAGAGAACTACTGGCTTACTGGAATACTGAAAAAGGCAGAGGAAAGAAAGATTACACTGTGAACCATTTAGAATCTGTAGGCACATTAGATAACAAAGTGTTAGGATTTGGAATAGCAGGAAATCTTGGATTGACAATTTATTGTATGTTTAAGTCTTGAACAAATCTCCAACTTTGTTATATATTATATGTTATATATTTATATATATATATGTGTATGTATATGTGTGTGTATATATATATATATATATATATATATACACACACACACACATATATATATATACATATTTTTTTTTTTTTGAGACGGAATCTGGCTCTGTGGCCAGGCTGGAGTGCAGTGGCACGATCTCAGCTCACTGCAACCTCCACCTCCCGGGTTCAAGCGATTCTCCTGCCTCAGTCTCCTGAGTAGCTAGGACTACAGGTGTACATCAGCACTCCCAGCTAATTTTTATATTTTCAGTAGAGATGGGGTTTCACCATATTGGCCAGGATGGTCTCAATCTCTTGACCTCCTGATCCGCCCGCCTCGGCCTCCCAAAGTGCTGGGATTAAAGGTGTGATGGATTTCTTAACTGTAGGATTATAGTATTATAGAGACAAGTACAAGGAATTGTTTTATTAAATCCTCTATAACTGGGTAAAGCCCTTGGATTGCCTCTGACCCTAGGGGGCATGAGGGCAATTTAGGCAATGGCTTGGAATAATGTATTTGTATTTTTATAGGCTTACCACTTTTAATCTTCCCTTTGTCAGTTGAGAAACAAGCCCACAAACATCTGGGTACTTCAGAAAGGTCTAGGTTGGTATAAGAGTGAGTTTCAATATGATCAATTCCTGCTTGTAGGAAACAGAGCAGTTCAGGTTTAGAAGGGTCAGGAAGCTCTAAAATTAACTTTCCTTCCAGAGAGAACTTTAAGTGCCCTCTCAATTTAGTGTCATATTGTAGGAAGGCATGCTTTTCTGAGATTAGTCCAACTGTCATTTAGACTGGTTCACAGAGGATTCTCTGAACTTGATTGGAAACGTGAAATATTTTCTTTCCTCCAAGGGACTGGCTGATTTATTAGCATGGGGTTGAAAGTGGATAAGGTATCCACCAACACTGTACGTGACTCCCACTGATGCTGATCTTAGTTTCCTCCCCATGTTTGTTTAAGGGCCTTATGGAGAGTAACATACCAGAGAATCCCTTGATGTCCCATTGGTGTTGATTATTGTCTTCAGAGTCAAACCCTTGGGAACTTTTTTTTTTTGAGATGGAGTTTTGCTCTTGTTGCCCAGGCTGGAGTGCAATGGCACCATTTTGGCTCACGACAACCTCCACCCACTGGGTTCAAACGATTCTCCTGCCTCAGCCTCCTGTGTAGCTGGGTTTACAGGCATGTGTCACCACGCCTGGCTAATTTTGTATTTTTAATAGAGACAGGGTTTATTCATGCTGGTCAGGCTGGTCTTGAACTCCCGACCTCAGGTGATCTGCCTGCCTTGGCCTCCCAAAGGGCTGGGATTACAGGCATGAACCACCATGCCTGGCCCAGCCTTGGGAACTTCATCTAATGAGGAAATAGTCTGGCCCAACACAGGTAGGTCCATTAGAGGACTGGTCAAGCGTGGAGACTCTTTTCTTCAATGGCCTCTTTACAGAAACTGATTTTTTTCTAGTTCTAATGTTCTCTCAAAATGTTCAGCTATGGTGACTAATATAGCCATATCAGTGACTTGCCATCCAATCTTGTGTTTTTTAATCAAGTCACCAGACTCTAGTCAGAGACTATTAATGAATAAAACCATAAAAACCATTTCAGTTCCCGCAGGAAATACTCCCTGCTGTATTTTAAGACCAGAATGTTTAACAAATGAGATTTCCAATTTAGCCGTGTAATCAGAAATAGATTCAACTTTTTGGACTAGTCAATCTTTTGTGGAAAGACCATGGGGATAGCTTCTAGATGTTTTCCAGTTGTTTTTGTAGCATCTTTTGGGCTATCCACAGAAGTAGCTCTTAAAGGGTTGGCAATACTCTTCTGAGGCTTATGCCATCCTGCCGTAGTCATCCATTAACATGCTTCCCCAGTGGCTAATATCATGCGTAGAAACTGACAGAAATCAGGAAGCCCAGGGTCATTCTAAATCTACATTCCTCAGCAAACTGTTTTGGATTTTCCTTGGGATTTGGAAAATCTTTTGCTATGGCTCTGAGTTCAGCTTTTGACCCAGAAGTAAAAGTACTTACAGGAGCCAGACCTCGGTGTCCTGGCTGAGGGTCTAACTAAGCAAAGCATTAGCCTAACTTCCTTTCTGTCACATCGTCCAGAGTGAAAGGGTAATTGTGCAAAAGGATTAAGATGACTGAACAAATGGGTTAGTGGACTCAGAATAATTAGAGGAGGATAAGCAGAGTAACAGGTCAGAGTGAAATCACTCCCTACATACAATTCATTTTATTTTGGTTGTCAATTCACTGCTTAAGCTTTTCATCTGTCTTATTTGCCTTTAGCAAGGAATCTTTTAGCAAGGCAATTTTGGAATTATGTCTTTTAGAAGCCTGTATACAACAATCAAAAACTGCTTCCCATTGTTTCTAAGGCATTTAGGATCCCTTCTTTTCTAATGTCCCCATAAACAATTTTATCTAGATTAAAACTTCTCCACTGTAACTTTAACTCTTCTCTTCTCTGGTAAAGTGTAACCATTTCTCCAGAAAGGCATAGTTAAAGGCATAGTTTCATGTTCCTAATTTCTAAACATAAAATTTGCTAGAGTTCTAGAAAGAGGGGTCCCAGAGTCTTTAGGTGTTAATGAACCCATAATACCCTATCTTTCTAAACCTCACCTACCTGAGGCTGCCAACTGGACCCAGTCTAGTTACTGTCAAACATCTAGTTCGACCTCTGGATCCAGTAAAAAATAAAATTACCCAGCTGGGTGCGGTGGCTCACGCCTGTAATCCCAGCACTTTGGGAGGCTGAGGCAGGCGGATTACAATGTCAGGAGATCGAGATCATTCTGGCTAACACGGTGAAACCCTGTCTCTACTAAAAATACAAAAAATTAGCCGGGTGTGGTGACACACGTCTGTAATCCCAGCTACTCGGGAGGCTGAGGCAGGAGAATCACCTGAACCCAGGAGGCAGAGGTTGCAGTGAGCCGAGATCGCGCCACTGCACTCCAGCCTGGATGACAGAGCGAGACTCAGTCTCAAAATAAAATTACTCAGATAAACTCAGAGAGCTCAGGACACAAACTGTGGAGCCTGAAATCCGAGAGGGACTTACCCAGGACCTCCAGATGCAGCGAGAAAGCAGTGAGCACAATGGACACCTTTTGCCTGGTTCCTCGATGCTTCCAGAGGCCACAGGGGGTCTCTTTCAAATCCTACTCTGACACCAAACTGTAAAAGACAAATCTGAGACACAATAAAATTTTACAGTTTATTTGAGTAAGAAGCAATTCAGGAAGTGGGAACACCAGACCAAAAGAGATTTAGTGTTCCACTGACAAAATATCAGAGGCAAGTATTTATTTGGAAAATGTGGAAGTAAAATAAATTATTTGCTTGGTTTGCAATTACAAAATTGTCTTTTATCAAGTACCTTCTCAGAAAGTCCCTAGTCACATATCCATATGTTAGGGGGCTACTTATGACAGGCTGGGGTTAAGCTTTGGTTCTAACAGAAGCATTTATCAGAAATGACCCAAGTGAAGTTTCATTTATGTTTGCAGCTTAAGCAAGATTAATTACTTTAAAGGTTTTTGCTTTCCTCTGCTCAAGTATTTTTCAGACCTGGGCTTCACTTGAATTTTCATTTAGTAAGTACTATCATGAGTACAGATTTCCTAGTTTTTTTTTTTTTTATCATTCACTGTATAAAGATTCTGTTGTCAAACTGTTTTATTTCCTATCCCAAGTGTAAACCTTTAAGTTTATTGAAAATTTGCAATATATTCTAAACAGTTGAGAAGAATAGGTAGTATAAAGGATAAAGGAGGATTCATGCATCATTACCACTTCAGAGCCGAACTTAAGATGAAATCTTTTTATCCCTTTGGTTCTCAAAATTATAAAACAGCATGTGGGTTTTGAGATGGTCATCTTAATTCACTATTACCCTTCTGCTAAAGTTAAAGTGTGAATTAGAAAAATGTTCCAACATGTTCTAAACCTAAACACAAAATGGTTTACATGTGGAGAATGCTAATCTGAAAATGAAGAAATATGCACAGAAATGAAAAGTAAAAATATTTGGAAATGTAAATGATACATACATAGTCATTCACTAACACTGGAGATTCAGTATCAGGACTTCCAGCCAGAGAGCTTTCAGGAGTTTCCTGAGCAGATTTAACTTCTTTGACTCTAGGCACTAAGGGTTCCATTTCAGGTAAACGTAACGGCAAAGGGTTAGGCTGTTGAGTTGAATCAACAGTAGGAGGTGACTCCTTATGGGCAGCACTATTTAAAGGTTGCTCATCTTCCAAGATATTGAGGTAACAGGGTTTCACAGGACAGTTATTTTGGTCATCTGTCATCAAAAGAAAGTCTTAACATTAGTGTAATGCAAAAAATGTTAAATTTTACTATTATACTAATAAAGACAATACGCCTGAATAAGAGCAATCAAGATATTTAAGACCAAAAAGAAAAGGCAACTACAAATTTTCCTTATCAATGGTTCCCAAATTTAGTTGATCAAAATCACCTGGGAGCATTTTAAGACTCAGATTCCTGAAATCCACCTGATTTCTAAAAAATTAGGACTTTCAGTAATAAGGCCTACAAATAGATTTTTTTTTTAAATCTACCATTATTTGTATCTAAAGATGCGATGCTCTTGACAGAATTTTTGTCTGTGCAGGTAAATATTTGTCACCTTTTCTTTATTGTTTATAGAAACAAATTCTTATGTTTTCTACAAAGGATTTATAGGGAGAAGAAAAACATACATCAGGTCCAAAGTACTTTCAAACTAAGAATTTTAGTGTTTTCTGTGTGTGTTTTTTTTTTTTTTTTAGCTTTAAAGCAAATAAAGGAAATTATCTTAAAATCAAAGACTTATTTAGATTTCTTACTTTTACTAGTGGCTTCTCGTTCCAATGGGACATTTTTGCTTTCTGCTGTCTTTTTAAAGTCACGTTGTAGGACCTAGAAGGGAAAAATGTTTTAATAGCAGGGCCTGAAATATATGGTCACTATAAAAGAGATGATTACTAGTGTGTAGTTTTTGTCCAACCCAAGACCTTCATACAAAGAAATTTAAAAGTATCTTCTAAAACTATTTCAAGGAGGCGGCTTTGGTTGTGATTTCAAGATGGCTAAGTTAAAGGGTTTCCTTGTTGCCTTAAAAACACACACACACAGTATAATACAACTGGAACGAACAGACTGCACTGTTCATTTTTTTTCAGACTCTAAAAGACACTTAATGCAGACAAGAAGGGAATGAAGGAGGAAGTGACGAGAGGAAGATGAACAAAGCTAAATGCCTTCAGCAGGGAGAGGAAACAAAAACTGAGATTCACCTCATAACTGTAAGTAACAGATCTAGAAAGGAAGACATGATGATGTTGGGGCAGGAGCTGGAGATGAAACGGTGGTGGTAGTTGTTTAAAACTGTTTAAGGAAAATGTGCCTACGTAGGTTCTCTCCTCCCACCTCAACAGAAAATGGCAGATTATATTTTAGAGAAATTAAACTAGTGAGCCCCAAACCTGGGGCCACTGGGAGTAGAGGTGGAGACACAAATGACACAGTAAAGTATCAGACTGGTGTAGAAGTAATTGTGGGTTTTGCTATTGAAAATGACCAAAACCACAATTACTTTTGCACCAACCTAAATAGAATACTGAAAACAGAATAATCTAGTGCATGCCTGTATAACGGTGGGACCTCAGCCCCATTCCCAATCTAGCTTCAGAATATCAGCAGCCAAGCTCATACACTCCAGGCAGGACGACAGTGAAGGACCCTAATTTGAAGAATCTAAACCATCTCAAAGAAAAGACCAATAGATACTAACATTTAGAAGTTTGTAGGAATATGCTGGCTGTCTCCCCAAATGCCCTACCTGCAGTGAAGCCCAAAAGAACCTTAACTTGCTTTTTGATATATCACTGTTCAATATAAAGAACCAAGGTTCAGCAGACATTTGAAAACGGAAGGTAATGCTTCTGTGAAATAACAGGGCACTATTAAAAAGTAACAATCAGAAAAAAAGAAAGTGTTCAGAAGTTAAAAATATGACAGCTGAAATAAAAATAATTTCATACAAGTGTTAAAGTCAAAGAAAATCTCTCAAAGTAAAACCAAAAGATAAGGAAAAGAGGAGAAAATCAGAAGATCAATCCATGAGTACTAATAATATCTGATAATTACAGAAGGAGAGAAAAGAGAAAATGGTGTGGCAGTAATAAAGAGAATTTAAAAATTTACCAACTTGAAAACAATCACTGAGTATCCACTGCAAATAATGAAAAAAGACCCCAACAAGGCACATCACAGTAAAATATCCAACTCCAGAAGAAAAGATCTAGACCAGGGAGGAAAATAACATATAAAAAAGCACCGCCTCATCCATAGAGTGTATGTTCCAAAACTGTGGATAGCACCAAACCCCATTTATACTGTTTTTCCCCTACACACTTATCTATGATAAAGTTTAATTTATAAATGGAGCACAGTGAGAGATTAACAATAACTAATAATAGAATAATTAATTCTCTTGTGCTTTGGGGCCATTAAGTCAAATAAGGGTTGTTTGAACACTGTTATACTGCAAGTCTATCTGCTACCCTAGATGGCTATTAAGTGATTAACAAGCAGGTAGTGTATACAGTGTAGACATGCCGGACAATGGAATGATTCACAACCCAAATAGGAAGGAGAGGGCCGGTGTGAAATTTAATCACACCACTAAAAACAGTGTATAATTTAAAACGTATAAATTATTGGATGGGTGTGGTGGCTCATGTCTGTAATCCCAGAACTTTGGGAGGCTGAGGTGGGAGGATCGCTTGAGCTCAGGAGTTTGAGGCTATGAGCAATGAGCTACAATTACACCACTGCACTCCAGCCCAGAAGACTGAGCAAGACCCTGTCTCTAAAAAACAATCATAAAAAATAAACTGGTTTTTCAGATTTTAATAAGCATATTAATGAGGCTTGCATTCATGAAACCTGAATATTTAGAAGGATCTACTTTGATTAGTTAAAATAAGGCTGATGGAAGTTTGATTAGTTAAAATAAGGCTGATGGAAGTGTGTCAGTCAATACGGGAATACCTGTTCATCATGTTCATTTTCTTCAGTAGCTTCAGTGTTAGCCTGGAGGGAAGTCTGGACATCCACAGGGCCTTCTTCAAATTCTTCCATTTCTTCATCCTCATTTTCATCTTCTCCACTTCCATAATTAGTTAAAGCCTGAGTTTCAGCTTTAGACAAATCTAAGTTGATTAATACACAATTTTTAGTAAATTTCAGCACATAATCTTAACAATAGCTACCACTTACTGCATTCCTGCATGGCACAGATGCTTTATATACAGTATCTGAAATCCTCAAACAGAATGTATTAAAAACTTACAGTGCAGAAAGTCTAGATAATTTAGTCAGGGTCACAGTGAAATTCAAAATCAGAGTTCTTTGACACTTAATTTTATACTTGTTACACTCCACCAAACTGTTCCAATAAATGACCTACAAAAAACTAAAGTATAAAGATAGTACAGAGCCTTTAAACTTACTAATAGACACTGGACATCCTTCACTTTCTTCATCTTCCTCTTGATCAGAAATATCAGATCTTACATTTTTGGGACCATCATACACCTCAGATGTTTGAGTCTGCTTAACTGTTTCAGTTTCATCCTTGTCCTAGACACAAAAATATTTGAGTAATTAATTCCTTAAAGTACATGTGTAAAAGGTATATAGTAAGTCTATCGTATTAATAATGATCATTATCTAATAAAAAATACAAAGAACCATTTTTGATAGTCTAGTTTTATTTTTAAAATAAAAAAGTGTCAGGAAAAAGGTCATTTGATGATACAGTCTGCTTTCAAACATTAAGGTGAAAGCTGTTAAAATAATTTTATATTGTTTCAAAAGCATTATTTGTAGGCTTTTTATTTTTTTGAGGCACAGTCTAGCTCTGTTGCCCAGGCTGGAATGCAGTGGCATGATCTCGGCTCAATACCACCTCTGCCTCCCAGGTTCTAGCAATTCTCCTGTCTCAGCCTCCTGAATAGCTGGGACTATAGGCACACGCCTGGCTAATTTTTGTATTTTTAGTATGGACGGGGTTTCACCATGTTGGCCAGGCTGGTCTGGAAATCTTGACCTCGTGATCCACCCGCCTTGGCCTCCCAAAGGGCTGCGATTACGGGGGTGAGCCACCGCGCCCAGCCATATTTTTAGGCAAAAATTAATTAGCACATACTTTGTCTTCATCATCAATCTCTCCAGCAGGTGAGCCATGATCTTCAAGAATCCTTTTAGCCTTTAAAACAAATCAATTACACAGAATTTAGCAACATACTTAGATACATAATTTAGCATTTCTCATGTCTCAGCCTCCCAAAGTACTGGGATTATAGACCTAAGCCTGGCCTGTATTACTTTCTAATCATTTATTATAGTATCATGCTGTTTTATTTTCATCAAGCTCTTAGCAACGTCTGAAATTTATTTATATCCAGAAAATAAATATCATGAAAAGTGTGAAATGGACAGCCTGACTTCGTCTACTTTAGATTCTAAGAAAGAAGAGCCATCTCTGTTTGGGTCTTGGCTTGTTTCCTTCTCATAAAAGAGGGTCAGGAAAAGGGTACACATCTAGGGAAAAGGCTTCCTGGTATGCCTCAACTTGAGGCAGAACAGTCATCCAATCTCACCTGTGATCAAAATTAATTTGACAAGGCAGAACAAACTACAGGGAGGTAAAACCAAAGCCCTAACTAATAAGCATTTGTGTTGACTGGGAGTGACCTCTGGGTAATGCATATTCTCGAAGAATCTACAGGGATCAATAACAGACATGGCAGGCACCTGGCACTGGCCCAGGATCAGATCCCAGTCCTTCTCTCATCTTTCAAGACCTGAATACAGGACAATAATGTGAACTGGTTATCTGACAATGTACATTTAACATCAATTCCTGCCCGCATTCCTGATCTTTAGCAACTGCTGTTAGTCCTCAAATTCCACAAGTGACTAGCATATGTAATGACTTATAATGTGATTAACTGGTATTACTAAAAACAACTACTTTTGCTGAGGTAAAATGTGATTTCAGTTAATAATAATGATCAAGAACTGTATTTATGTGTCAATTATCCTAAAAATCAAAATGAACGTTATTTACCTCTTTGGCACAAGATTGTATCACTCCAGTTGCTTCTATTTTCCTTTTGCATCTCTGTTTAACAGTTATACTATTATTATCCAAATCTTGCATAAGCTTAAAGAAAGCCAATTCATTGAACAACACTTCAGATATCTCTACAAGAAGATCTTCTCCACAGTCTTTCAGTTTTCTGCCAGCAAATTTTGCCAGTGAATCCTATTCAAAGATAAACCAAATAATTTTTAAAGACAGTAAACTTCAATTATAAAATACTATTACTTTTAAGTACTGAAAAACTTAAAACTAATGTTTATGATTACTAAGGAAAGATAGGTTGTTAGTATTACTAAAGAATACTGCTATATTACTAAGTGGGAATGTTGCTAGTCCTGCTTAAAGAGTATACACAAGGGAAGAACATATATGGTCATCTATATTTAGTCCCTATTTGATGTAACTGCTGGGCACAAATGAATTCAGACAGGGATTTCTAATACCAGAAAGTTCCCTGACAGTACAGGAGATACAATATATACTACAGTAATAAATACTAAGTGCTATGAAAGGAAAAGACAAAATCTTCCACCTCTAAATGTACCATTAGAATACTTTTAAAGCTTCCACCTTTACTTAAGACAACCATTCTAATTTAAATTTTTCTTCAAAAGTAAACATTAGTTCTATTCAAGTTGATATATAGGATCATGTTTAAAGCTTCCTCCTTTACTTAAGACAACCATTCTAATTTAAATTTTTCTTCAAAAGTAAACATTAGTTCTATTCAAGTTGATATATAGGATCATGTAAAAGAAAATAGGATTTCAAGACCCTCTACATTTATTATGTCAAGGAGGAAGTTAAGCCCTGGCAACTTGAACGTTGGTGATTTCTTCTTCTTAGACAACACATTAACTCTTTTCCTCACTGTTCTTGTTCTGTAAATGACTAGGAAAGATCAAGAGACCAGACCTCCTGCCTCCCAACCACTGATGTTTGTTACAGATTAACTGCCTCCTTTACTGTCCTGTACCTAAGTCAGATCAGGGGGCAGAAAAGACTCATCTTCCACCTTTTCTGAAACAAAAACATCACCTCAACTAATTAGACTGTTGTAACTATGCATTAAAGCCTTATATAGAAAGATGCTGAAACTCTGTTAAGCTTCTCTAAACTCTGTCCACATAAATTAGCAGTCCCCAACCTTTCTGGCACCAGGACCTGGTTTCACAGAAGACAACTTTTCCCCCAACCATAGCTTGGGGGAAGGTTTCGGAATGATTCAAGCACATTACATTGACTGACTGTGCCCTTTATTACACTGTAACATATAGTGAAATAATTATACAACTCACCATAATGTAGAATCAGTGGGAGCCCTGAGCTTATTTTCCTGCAACTAGATGGTCTCATATGGGGGTGATGGGAGACAGTGACAGGTCAGGAATTAGATTCTCATAAGGAGCATGTAACCTAGATCCCTCACACGTGCAGTTCACAGTAGGGTTCACACTCCTATGAGAATCTAATGCTGCTGCTGATCTGACAGGAGGTGGAGCTCAGGCGGTAATGAGAGCCGTGGGGAGGGACTGTAAATACAGATGAAGCTTTGCTCACTCGCCTGCTGCTCACCAGCCTGGGGGTTGGGGACCCCTGATATAAATGATCCCAAACTTCTGATGTCTATTCTTTGGAATCTGTGCTTCCCAGGCAGCTATCCCTCCAACACTGTGCTTGAATAAACTCTCTTTAAAGTAGATTCTGACCCTTTTGATTATTTTAGGTTGAGAATCTTCAAATAAGGAAGTATACTGTATACATTTTTAGTAAAACCACTCCTCTTTTTCCTTCTAAAATATGGACTACCCTATTTAGCAAACAGGCAAACAACTATGATGTTCAATGCCTGCTCCTCTCCCCCACCAAAAGACTATCTTATCTAGTACAGTTATGGTAAAAACGTACATATGCTGGGTGCTTTGTGGAAAAAACAATTCTTGAACGGGTTTCAGAAGGAAAAATGTAGAAGATGGTAATTTAAGCTCTAGCTCATAAAAATTTTTCAATACTCTGGGCAATATTTAACGTAAATTAACTTGTATTCTTCATGTATGTCCTCTTGTGAAAAAATCAAGAACGGGATGAAAGAAAAGCAGTCAAACCTTAGACTGAGAAAAAAGTCTTTAGAAATTAATGCTTTGGGATCTGTCCACAATTATCATAGAAGGCAAAACTGAGGAAGGGCTACATGGATCTTGATAAAAAATATTTAAATTATAATTTCTCTTTCAGCCTTATTCTAAAATGGAGTTTCCTACAATGCACAACACCATCAATGTTTTGTAGTCCTTAGAAATTATCTGTTAGTACTAATAACTGCTAACGGGGCCAGGACAATTTGTCCTTTAGTCCTAATACTAACAAAATGGAAAATTACAGTGATACAAATTTGCATCAAGCCCAAGGTTTAAAAAAAGTTAATAGTGATTATCTAAAACCAGTTTAAACACAGAAATAAGAAGCAAAGCCAAGTTTCATAAGAAAATTCTGTAATAAAGATGAGAAGAAAAATGTATCACCTAATGTGGAGTAAAAATACACATCACTGAACTATCTCAATGGAAAAACATTCAGGTAAATATAAAGGTAAAGATGTTTGTCATATGGAATAAACAAGGTAATTTTATTAACACTAACATGGGATTTCTCAACCTTGGCACTGTTGACATTTAGGGCCAGATAATACTTTGCTATGGGGTACTGTCCTGTGTATTGTCAAATGTTTATCAAGATTCTTCCTGGTCTCTACCCATTAGTTGCCAGTACCTGTCCTCCTCTCAGCCCTCCTACCTTCTCCACACTACTTGCTGTGATAAACAAAATGGCTGCAGACACTGCTAAATGTCTCCTAGAAGGCAAATTCTCTCCCAGTTACTGACTTACTATAATTTAAGCGTACTGGTACACCCTAAAAAGTCTCTACAACCAGCTGGTCTCTGGCTTCCAAAATTTCCCTGATTAGTCAAATTACTTTAGCCAATTATTTTAGAAACAGCCACAGAATACTTTGTAAACATTTCAAACTCAAAATGTTTTCAGTGAGAAGATAAACCAAACCAGTAAAAGCTTATAAGAGACATGCCTTAGAGATGACCAAATTAAATGAAGATACAAACAGGACCTAATAATACAATATTATTTTAACCAAGTGACAACTAAAAAGTATTACAACATCATCCCAAATGGACGCTAGATTGGATGTCCACCAGAATAAATTGTGTAATGCAAGAAAATGCCTCACCCACCCCCCGAAAAAAAACCTTACCACACAGTACATATTGGTAAATCATACAAGTATAAACTCTTACCTGTAATATACTTCCAAGTTGTTTATGAAAGAACTTTACAAACTCTTTGCTCTCATCATTTTGCTGGGTAAGGGTCAAAACCATGCGCCTTACTGAAGTTAGAAGCTGCGAGGAGCATACTTCATCCATGTGCTCCTGAGAAAAATCCTAGTTGGTTAGAATATAAACTTACCTATTGTTTAAAAAAAGAAAATCAATCCATATAATACAAAATGTTAATTTTTAATTTTCTTGCCGTAGATGCTCCTCAATTTTCAGATGTCTGTTTAGAAATATCCATTCATAAGAAAAGCCAAACTCCTACTTTATTCATACGTATTGAGAGGTTTGGCAATTTTGACCCACGAAAGCAGATGATGGCCAGTAAAAGAACTGGCTGATCCAGTACTTTTCAGCACTTTCTTTCTGTACTTTTCTGTACCTTAAGGAGAACTATTCATGCTAGTTTCCATTTTGCCAATCTTTCTGTTTTCATTCAGTTAATTTCAAATACTCTTACAAGCATACTCACCTTGTACCCAATTCCCTATTATTTTCTAACTCAGGGTTTCTCAACCTTCACATTATTGACATCCTGTGCATTGTAGGATATTTGGCATCATCCTGGCCTCTACCCACTAGATGCCAGTAACACCTCCTCCCTACACCACCTCGACAACTAAAAATACCTTTAGACATTCTGAAATGTCTTGAGGGTTAACATCACCCCCTAACTTTCTTAACAAATCACTTCAGTCAAGTGTCTCTTCTTAAACTTCCTTGAGAAGCATGTGTGAGCTACAAAATAATATGAATCATGGTTAACTTTCTGAGGTTGAGTCCATAAATCATCGATATCAAGTAATCTCAAGGTTCTAATCCTTCTTATTCTACTAAATCCATTTAAGCAAATCCTAAACCTTTTCTCAGTTCAGTCCCCCCCACCAATACATATCTATAAAATGAGGGTGCCAAACTAGATGTTCAAGGTCCCCTCTCAGACTTAAGCTCATTTAAAATAATGTATGTGTCAAGACAGGCGATTTAAAAAAAAAAAAAAACAACAACAACAACACAACTGTCCCTGTCTTCAGAGAGTCAAATACTATGCAGGAGTCAGATACGTATATAAATAATCACTATAAGCTCCGTGCTGTCTGGTAGATAACACTTTTTTAACTGCAGGTATTCTTATTTATCACAAAATACAGTGGCTCACAGGAGACATTACTTACTGAATAAATAAATATTTTTAAAAAGCACCCACTAGGTGCTCTAAGGAGCTGTAGGAGCATACTGGAGGCAACAACAAATATTTCTGAAGAAATATTTCAGCCAGGCAGAAAAGAGTGAAAGTATTTTACCTCTTGGATAGACAAGACAACTTGTACAAACAGCTAATACGTGAAAAAGTAACAGTAGATATGGAAAATGTTGAATAATGTGAAGTGAATGTACCTAGATGGAGAGTAGCTAGAGGGGGAAAGCACACCAGATCCAGCAGTGAAGCCACTTGAAGACTAAGGAGTTTGGGTAGGACACGGCTTAGTAAAAATGCACTTCATGCCTATTACGACAGGTAGTCTAAGCAAAAGGTAAGAATATGAATTAAGGTCATGCTACTAGAAAGAAGAAAGTGAAGTCAAATTGATGACTCTAAGGAGGAGAATACATTTTTGACTCACTAGTGATGACATAAAGAGAGTCAAGAAGTCTAACTCAGGTGACTGGGTGTAATGCTGCCTGGGCATAATTAACAAAGAAGTTCTACAGTCCTACAAAAAAAGTCAAGATCTGAAGTGAAATGAGACATCATAAATAATTAAAATCAGATTATTAGTTCTACTCTTTACTGGCCTCAGACACTTTTTGAAATGCTAAATTAGTATTTATTATTTCATTTCCTCATGAAATGAAATCACTTAAATCAGGGCTACACAGGTAAAGTGAGAAGGAACAATTTAGATTTTACACAAGGTGACAAGATAAGTGTTGTGATTTAGGTAACTCTAGATATGCTAGTAGCGCTTAAAAGGTCAAATGGAAAACCTATTAAATGAGTGTCACTAGCCACTTTAGCCAACTAAAATACCATTGATATTTCCTAATATCTTAGACATTTAAGAAAAATCACTTTAAAAAATGTAATTCTTTTAAATTCAAGACTTTTTAAACATTTCACAGACTCAAGGTGACTTCTATTTCGCTCAAGTATTAAATATTTTATTGTATAACAGTTTCTGAGCAGATAGCATGTAACTTACATAATTCTTCCATCAAATCAGACACAAAAAAGTAAAAACAATCAATTTCCTAACTGAAGGCTGCACTCCCTAAGCATAAGGATAGATCATTTAGGCTTTTTTTTTAACCCTTATAAAGTAACTGTACATATCAAATAAATATTACTACAAGCATACCTATTAGTTTTTAAAAGACATGTTGACAAATATTTATTGTACTATTAATGCTAAAATAAAAGTATAAAAGCAAAAAGGCAATACTTTAGGCCTAAGATGAAAGCAAGCATTAACTAAGAAAATTTAAACCAATTCACTTGAGGCAATGGTTTCAAGCTCTGAGATAAATATCTATATAAAAAATCTATATTCTTAAAATTTATAAGTATATTCTTTTATGGAAGGTAAATATATACATATATTTATAAGTAACAGGAAATAAATTCACAAAACACTTGGTAAAACTGATGTATTTATGCCTTATCCCTCAAATTCTTTTTATCCAGTATCTTAAGTGCTTCTTGGCTGTAGGTACTATGAGATACTATTCTAGGGGGGAGATACAAATAATTATGATCCTTTGTCATAAGTGCTATAATGAAGGCATGAATCCAGTATCTCAGGAACAGTGAAGAGAGGAAGGAATTCTGCCTGTAAACACATGCAATAACATTTGGGCTGGCTCCTGAAAAACAGGAGAAACTGACAGAGAAAGAGGAGAAGGTCATTCTAGGTAAAGGACATAATGTGGGCAATGTGCCTTTTTCAATAATGTCAAGTAGGACACAAGGCTTAAGAGGCCAGACCAAGCTGTAAAAGGTTTTATGAGTGACAATGAACCTGGTCTTTATCCTATGGGCCAGTTGTTTTCACACTTAGAGCGTCTAAAGAGCTCAACTACAGTTGAGGGTTGAAGATTCCAGTCATTTATTAATTCATTAATGTTTACTGAGTGTCTACAATGTGCATGTACTATTTTTGGACAGTGACCAAAAGAGATTAACATCTCAGATGTCATGGATCTTGTATTTTAGCATGGAGAGGCAGACAAATATTACATAGGTTAAAGGTGGCGTGCAAGCACTAAGCAGGTAAAGGATAAGGCAGAGGTTTACTCAGCAAAAGTTAACATTTGACCAAACAGTTGAGTTCAAGAAAACAAGCCATGCAGGTAGGTATGTGAAGGAAGAGCATTCCAGGCAGAAGTATTAGCAAGTGCCAAGGCCTCAGAAGTGCTAACAACTCTAGTAGGAGAGTTGAAAGGTCAAAAAGTGGGCGAAGGACATGAACAGACACTTCTCAAAAGAAGACATTTATGCAGCCAAAAAACACATGAAGAAATGCTCATCATCACTGACCATCAGAGAAATGCAAATCAAAACCACTATGAGATATCATCTCACACCAGTTAGAATGGCAATCATTAAAAAGTCAGGAAACAACAGGTGCTGGAGAGGATGCGGAGAAATAGGAACACTTTTACACTGTTGGTGGGACTGTCAACTAGTTCAACCATTGTGGAAGTCAGTGTGGCGATTCCTCAGGGATCTAGAACTAGAAATACCATTTGACCCAGCCATCCCATTACTGGGTATATACCCAAATGAGTATAAATCATGCTGCTATAAAGACACATGCACACGTATGTTTATTGCGGCACTATTCACAATAGCAAAGACTTGGAACCAACCCAAATGTCCAACAATGATAGACTGGATTAAGAAAATGTGGCACATATACACCATGGAATACTATGCAGCCATAAAAAATGATGAGTTCATATCCTTTGTAGGGACATGGATGAAATTGGAAACCATCATTCTCAGTAAACTATCGCAAGAACAAAAAACCAAACACCGCATATTCTCACTCATAGGTGGGAATTGAACAATGAGATCACATGGACACAGGAAGGGGAATATCACACTCTGGGGACTGTGGTGGGGTCGGGGGAGGGGGGAGGGATAGCATTGGGAGATATACCTAATGCTAGATGACACATTAGTGGGTGCAGCGCACCAGCATGGCACATGTATACATATGTAACTAACCTGCACAATGTGCACATGTACCCTATAACTTAGAGTATAATAAAAAAAAGAAAAAAAAAAAAAGAAAAAAAAAATTTAACAGATCTCTCCACAAAAAAAAAAAAAAAAAAAAAAAAAAAAAAAAAAAAAAAAGAAAGGTTAGAAGCAGCGGCAAAAGGATAGTAAGGCCATTTAGGAACTGTTGCAATTGCCCAGAACAAGGCTACGTGTTTCTGTTTTTACATGGAATAATCTGGACACGATCAGCTGACTTTTTCCTCTCAGCTGTAAAGTCAGATACAGAGAAAGCAGTTTCTACAGGTGCTTTCTCAAAGATCTCTCTTCTCTCAAAACATTCCAAAAAAAAGCAATTACTTCTGCTGAGGGAAGAAATATGAGCACAATGGAAGCAATTCTCTGTGGTACATGTCTTACAAAGAAAAGTATGAGTACAATATAAGAAACTAGCCCAGTGACAATGTATTTTGTAGTTTACCATATCTAGATGAAAAGAAAACAATTACTTTTCACTTCTAATTGTTAAAACTTCCATTTTAAATTAGAATGTAATGAATGCCATCTCAGAAAGAAGTCCTGTCTTCCTATTCCATTTGTTGCACATGTCTCCATCTGCCCTGATCAATGTTGTTAAATGAAATTAATAGTACTGCTTACCAGTCTGATACTATCAATGTTGATGGGAATATAAACTGGTTAGTTTCTCTGAAGGACAATCAGCTTGTCTAAAAAGCTTTAAAAATGTTTATGACCTTTGAACTAAAAATTTTATGTCTAAAAATTGTTTCTAGAGAAACAAAAGTAAACAGATTACCTTCAATCATTCAATAAGTGTTTGTAATAGTGGAAAAGAAACCAGAATAAACACAAATATTTAACAACAGGGACTGAAAAAATAATTAATAGAAAATTGTATTTTATGACTACTTGACCTCATAGCAGCCATCAACATAACTAACTCCTTGCAGTCCTTCTTGGTCAACCCTGGCTCCGCTTTTGTACAACTTACAAATGCTGAATCACCTGGTCCCACATCACAGTTGCAAGGCCCCTTTCTATTCTCAAATCAAATGCCCTGGCTTTAGGCAGCAGCTATATGCTATAATCTACCTTATGTCTATCTCCAGCTGTGCCTGGAATTAGCTGAGTAACCAAATGACTACTTGACCTCTCTACGATTGTCTAAAAGACAGTTCAATTTTAAAGTACAAAATAAAACTCTTGGCTGGCACAGTGGCTCGAGCCTATAATCCCAGCACTTTGGGAGGCCCAGGCGGGTGCATCACTTGAGGTCAGCGTGGTCAACATAGGGAAACACCATCTCTACTAAAAATACAAAAAGCAAGCCAGGCATGGTGACAGGCACCTGTAGTCCCAGATACTTGGGAGGCTGAGGTGGGAGAATCGCTTGAACCCAGAAGGCAAGGGTTGCAGTGAGCCGAGATCGCGCCACTGCATTCCCGCCTGGGTGATAAGAGTGAGCCTCTGTCTCAAACCCCACCCCCCTCAAAAAAAACAGAGCTCTTCATCTCCCCCTTCTCCCAAGCCTTCTTCATTTTGGTAAATCGTATTTCCTCCTAGCCAGTTTTCTCTCTCTCTCGACACTCTACCCATTAGTAGGACCTACTGATTTCCTAACTATATCCCAATTACGTATTTCTTTATCACCACCCTTATCTAAGCCACTATCATTTCTCTTCTGATCTCACTGCACTCCTGACCCCCTTATAATCAATTTTCTAAAAACAAGCCAGACTTTTTTTCTCTGCTTAAAATCTTCTAGGAGTTTCCCTTCAAACTTTGAGCAAAGTCCAAACTTCTAACCATGGCCTGTAATATTTTATACAATTAGCCCTTGCCTCCCTTTCAACTTAGTCTCATACAAATATCCTCCAACCATATAGACTTTCCCTCTAGTTCCTTCAACACGCGAAGCTAATTCTCACCTTAAGGCCAGTGCACTGTCTAGAACAATCCTGGTTTACACTGGCTCCTTAGTCACATCTCTACTTAAATGTTCCCTCATTAGAAGCTTTCCCTGATCATCCAATATAAAACAGACACCATCATATCACCAAATTTTAATTCTGAGCATGGCCTGTATCATTAACTGATAAACAGTTACTTATATGTCTTTTATTTACTTATGTTATTTCAGAGTGTATTCCCACTCTAGCATGCAAGCTCCATGAGAACAAAGGCCTTGTTCACTGCTAGGTCTGCCAAACCTGGCATTAAGTAGGCATTTTATAAATATTTTGGAATGAATGTTGTGGATCCATTAAAAAAAAAGGCAGGGGTGGAGCAAGATGGCAGAACAGAAGCCTCCACCAATCATCTTCCCCTTCTGGAACACCAAATTTTAACAACTACACACAAAAAAAGCACCATTATAAGAATAAAAACCAGGTGAGCAATCATGGTACCTGCTTTTAACTTTGTATTGCTGAAAGGGACACTGAGGGTAGGAAAGACCATCTTGAATTGCTGACGCCACCCCTCCCCCAACCCCAGGCAGCACTGACTGCAGCAATGCAAGTGACTCCTTCTGCTTGAGGAGACGAGAGCAAGGAGTAAAAAGGACTTTGTGTTGTATCTTGGATACCAGCTCAGCCACAGCTACAACAGGGCACCGGCAGAGTCGTGAGGTCGCCATTCCAGGCCCCAGCTCCAAGATGACATTTTTAGATACACTCTGGCCCAGAAGGAAACCCACTGCCTTAAAGGGAAAGACCCAGTCCTGGAAGGATTAATCTTGGCTTAATCTTAACCTGCTGACTAAAGAGCCCTTGAACCTTGAATAACTGACAGTGATACCCATGTAGTATGCCATGGGCCTTGGGTGAGACTCAGAGATGTTCTGGCTTCAGGTGAGATCCAACGTATACTGAGCTGTGATGGCTATGGTGAAAGATTCCTTCTGCTTGAGAAAAGTAGAGGAAAAAGGGGACTTTGTCTTGCACCTTAAGTACCAGAGCGATCACAGTGGGGTAGAGCACCAAGCAGGCTCCTGGGATCCGCAATTCGAGAACCTGGCTCCTGGACAGCATTTCTGGACCTGCCCTGGGCCAGAGGAGAGCCCACTGCCCTGAAGGGTGAGTCCCAGGCCTGGCAGCATTCACCACAAGCTGACTAAAAAGCCCTTGGGCTTTAAATGAATATTAGCAGAACTCATGGGCCGGTGGTCACAGTGGTAGCCACCAGGAGAGACTCCTTTGCTTATGGAAAGCAGAGGTAAAAGTGGGAAGGACTTTGTCTTGTGGTTTAAAGGCCAGCTTAGCCACAGTAGGACAGAATACCAGGTAGATTTCTAAGCTCAAGGACAGTATCTGTGGACCCATTAGGGACCTGGGGGAACTCACTGCCCTGAAGGGAAAGACACAAACCTGGCTGGCTTCCCCACCTGCTAATAGTAGGAACCCTAGGGCCTTGAGCGAATTTAGGCAAATTTAGGCGGTAGTCAGGTAGTGGTTACAGAGGGTCTTGGGCAAGCCCCAGTGCTGTGCTGTGCTGGCTTTAGGTATGACCCAGCACAGTCACAGTGGTAAGTCACCAAAGGGGTGCCTCCATCACCCCATCTCCATCCAGCTCCAGGCATTTCAACACAGAGATTCCATTTATTTGAAAGAAAGTAAAGGAAGAGAACAGAAGTCTCCACCTGGTAATTCAGAGAATTCTTCTGGATCTTATCCAAAATCACCAAAGTGGTATACCGCTATGAGTCTGCAAAAAGCACAGTGTTTTTGGGCTTGGGACCCAAGTCCCTTTGAATACCTGGAAAGCTTTCCCAAGAAGAATGGGCACAAACAAGCCCAGACTGTGAGGCCTACAAGATACAAGGCCTATATATAACTCTTCAATGCCCAGACACCAACAAACATCCACAAACATCAAGACCATACAGAAAATCACGACCTCAACAAAGGGACCAAAAATCATGACCTCAACAAAGGGACCAAATAAGGCACCAGTGGCCAATCCTGGAGAGAGATATGTGACCTTTCAGACAGAGAATTCAAAATAGCTGTCTTGAGGAAACTCAAACAAATTCAAGATAACACAGGAAGGGAATTCAGAATTTTTTTTTTTTTTTTTCAGACGGAGCCTTGCTCTGTCACCCAGGCTAGAGTGTGGTGGCACAATCTCGGCTCACTGCAACCTCCGCCTCCCGGGTTCAAGCGATTCTCCTGCCTCGGCCTCCCAAGTAGCTGTCATTATAGGTGCGCACCACCATGTCCAGCTACTTTTTTTTTTTTTTTGTATGTTGTAGTAGAGGCGGGGTTTCACCGTGTTGGCCAGGCTGGTCTCAAACTCCTGACCTCAAGTGATCACCCGCCCCAGCCTCCCAAAGTGCTGGGATCACAGGTGTGAGCCATAGCACCTGGCCGGGAATTCAGAATTCTATATTCATAGATAAATTTAATAAACAGATTGAGATAATTTAAAAGAATCAAGCAGAAATTCTAGAGTTGAAAAACGCAACTGACATACTAAAGAATGCATCAATCTCTCAATAGAATTGATCAAGCTAAAGAATTAGCTTGAAGACAGGCTCTTTGAAAACACACAACTTGAGGAGACAAAAGAAAAAAAAAGTAAAACACAATAAAGCACACCTACAGGATCTGCAAAATAACCTCAACAGGACAAATCTAAGTTATTGGCCTTAAAGAGGGGGTAGAGAGAGACAGAGGTAGTAAGCTTAACAACATTCAAGTACAAGAAGGTTACAGAAAACCAGGATAGTTTAATCCAAATAAGACTATCTCAAGGCATTTAATAATCAAACTGCCAAACATCAAGGATAAAGAAAGGACCCTAAAAGCAGCAAGAGAAAAGAAACAAATAACATATAATGGGGTTCCAATATATCTGGCAGTAGACTTGTCACTAGAATCCTTACAGGTCAGGAGAGAGTGTCATGACATGTTTCAAGTGCTGAAGGAAGAAAACTTTTACCCTAGAATAGTACATCCAGCAAAAATATCCTTCAAACACGAAGGAGAAATACTTTCCCAGACAAAAGCTGAGGGATTTCATCAACACCAGACCTGTCTGACAAGAAATACTAAATACTTTATTTCCATCTAAAAGAAGACATTAATGAGCAGTAAGATATCGTCTGAAGGTACAAAATTCACCAGTAATAGAAAGTACACAGAATATTATAACACTGTAATTGTGGTGTGTAAACTACTCTTAAGTGGAAAGACAAAATGATGAACCAACCAAAAATAGTAGCTACAACAACTTTTCAAGACATGGTACAGTAAGATATAAAGAGAAACAACAAAGAGTTAAAAAGCAGGGAAACAAAGTTAACATTTGCATAAGTTTTCATTTTGTTTGCTTGTTTGTTTATGCAATCAGTGTTATCGGTTTAAAATACTGAGTTATAAGACAGTATTTGCAATCCTCATGGTAACCTGAAATCCAAAAACATACATATAACAGATACGAAAACAATGGATGTTAAAAAACAAGAAAAGCATGAGCAAACCAAACCCAAAATAGAAGAAATAATAAAGATCAAAGCAGAAATAAATGAAATTGAAATAAAATACAAAAGAGCAACGAAACAAAAAGTTGGTATTTTAAAAGATACATAAAATTGGCAAACCATTAACCAGACTAAGAAAAAAAGACAAAAAACCCAAATAATATCAGAGATGAAAAAGGAGACATTACAACCGATACCTCGGAATTCAACAACACATTAAAAAGATGATCCATCGTGACCAAGTGGGATTTATCCCAGGGATGCAAGGATGGTTCAACATAGGTAAATCAATCAATGTAATACATCATATCAACAGAATGAAGGACAAAACCCATATGATCATTTTAACTGATGCTGAAAAACCATTTGATAAAATTCAACATCCTTTCATGATAAAAGCCCTCAAAAAACTGGGTATAGAAGAAACATACCTCAACATACTAGAAGCCATATACAACAGACCCACAGCTAGTATCATACTAAATGGGGAAACACTGAAAGCCATTCCTTTGTGATCTGGAACACAACAAGGATGTCCACTTTCACCACTGTTATTCAACATAGTACTGGAAGTCCTAGCTAGAGTAATCAGACAAGAGAAAGAAATAGAGGGGATCCAAACTGGAAAGGAAGAATCAAATTATCCTTGTTTGTATATGATATATATATAATCTTATACTTGGAAAAGCCTAAAGACTCCACAAGAATACTATTAGAACTGATCAACAAATTCAGTAAAGTTGCAGGATACAAAGTCAACACACAAAAATCAGTAGCATTTCTATATGCCACCAGTAATCTCATTTACAACAGACACAAATAAAATTAAATACCTAAGAATTAACCAAATAAGTGAAAGATCTCTACAATGAAAACTATAAAACACTGATGAAAGAAATTTAAAAAGACACAAAAAGGGAAAGATATTCCATGTTCATGGATTGGAAAAATCAATATTGTTAAAATGTCTGTACTCCCCGAAGCAATCTACAGATTCAATACAATTGTGATCAAAATACCAATGACATTCTTCACAGAGAAAAAAGAATCCTAAAATTTATAGGAACCACAAAAAAAGCTCAGAACAGCCAAAGCTATCTTGAGCAAAAAGAACAAAACTGGAAGAATCACATTAACCTGCCTTCAAATTATACCACAGAGCTATAGTAACCAAAACAGCGTGGTACTGGCATACAAACAACAGAAACACAGACCGACAGAACAGAACAGAGAACCCAGAAACACAGACCGATAGAACAGAACAGAGAACCCAGAAACAAATCCACATACCTACAATAAACTCATTTTCAACAAAGGTGCCAAGAACATACAGTGGGGAAAAGACAGTCTCTTCACAATAAATGGTGCTGGGGTAACTGGATATCCATATGCAGAGGAATGAAACTAGACCTCTATCTCTCACCATATACAAAAGTCAAATCAAAATGGATTAAAGACATAAATCTAAGACCTCATACTATGAAACTATTATATGAAAACAGTGGGGAAACTCTGCAGGACATTGGTCTGGGCAAAAATTTCTTGAGTGATACCCCACAAGCACTGGCAACCAAAGCAAAAGCAGACAAATGGGATCACATCAAGTTAAAAAGCTTCTGCACAAGAAAAGAAACAAACAACAAAGTGAAGAGACAACCCACAGAATGAGAGAAAATATGTGCAAACCATCCGACAAGGGATTAATAACCAGCATATATAAAGAGTTCAAACTCTATAGGAAAAAATCTAATAATCTAATTTTAAAATGTGCAGAAGATCTGAAGACACACTTCTCAAAAGACGACATACAAATGGCAAACAGGCACATAAAAGGTGCTCAACATGATCACGGAAATGACAATCAAAACTACAACGAGAAATCATCTCACCTCTGTTAAAATGGCACTTATCCCAAAGACAGGCAATAATAAATGCTGGCGAGGATGTGGAGAAAAGGGAACTTTCATACACTGCTGGTGGGAATGTAAATTAGTACAACCCCTCTGGAGAACAGTTTGGAAGTTGCTCAAAAAACTGAAAATACAGCAAGAGCTACCATATGATCCAGCAATCCCACTGCTGGGTATATACAGAAAAGAAAAGACATCAGTGTATTAAAGGGCTATCTGCACACTCATGTTTGTTGCAGTACTGTTCACAACAACCAAGATTTGGAAGCAACCTAAGTGTCCATCAACAGATGAACAGATAAAGAAAATGTGGTACAGACACACAATGGAGTACTATTCAGCCATAAAAAATAATGAGACCTTGTCATCTGCAACAACATGGATGGAACTGGAGGTCATTATGTTAAGTGAAGTTAGCCAGGCACAGAAAGACAAACTTCATATGTTCTCACTTACTTGTGGGAGCTAAAAATTAAAACAATTTAACTCATGGAGATAAACTGTATAAGGATGGTTACCAGAGGCTATGAAAGGTAGTAGGGAATAGGGAAGATGGTTAATGGGTACAAAAAGTAGTCAGAATGAATGAATAAGATCTATTATTTAACAGCACAACAGGGTGACTACAGTCAATAATTTAATTATACATTTTAAAATAACTAAAAGAGTATAACTGGATTGTTTGTAACACAAAGGTTAAATGCTTGAGGGGATGGATACCCCATTTACCATGATGTGATTATTACATATTGCATGCCTGTATCAAACTATTTCATGTACCCCATAAATATACACACCTACTATACACTCACAAAAACTAAAACTAAAAATAAAGGTGATAAATCCTGAAAAAATGCAGCAGAAAAATAATGATCTAGAAAGAAGTTTATGATATAGTAAATGAAAAAGGCAGAATATGCACATGTGTATAAAATATTACTGAAAGGTTCAGAGAATGTTGGTAGGGTGAAAAAATTATGGGTGATAGTTTTTTTGTTGTTGTTTACCTATACCGTTGAACTTTATCACAATAAGGTCTTCTGTATGAATTAAAAAACAAAACATAGAAGGTTTCGTTTATTTTTTAAAATAATTGCTTACCTTCAAAAAAGGAATGACTTCTTTCATAATTGCTTTAATTTGCCGGTCCAGCTGCTGAGTATCAATTCTAGGACATGGGATGGTAGAAACTTCACTTACAGGTTGTTGTGAACTACGATTTTCAATAACGGGAGTTTCTAATTTTTAAAAAGAAAATACATTAGCCTAACAAAGCCTATTATATATACATATATGCCTTTATGTTGAAATTTGAAAAATATTAAATTTGATGATTTTATGCTAACATAATACAAAGAAACATGTTTGTAGTTTAAGCACCCCTATCAATTAAAATAAAGTAGTAATAAAACCACCATTAGATATCACATATTTAAATTTTTTACATAGAATTATTATTACTTGTAATCAATAAAAAATATACCTTCAAAATCTAATACCTGAAACCACAAAAATTCTAGAAGATAACATTGGAGACACCCTTATAGACACTGGCTTAGGCAAAGACTTCATGACCAAGAACCCAAAAGCAAATGCAACAAAAACAAAGATAAACAGATGGAACTTAAACTAAAAAGTTTCTGCACGGCAAAAGAAATAATCATCTGAGTAAACAGACAACCCACAGAGTGTGAGAAAGTCTTTGTAAACTACGCATCTGACAAAGGACTAATAC
Source organism: Homo sapiens (assembly GCF_000001405.40). Classification (NCBI taxonomy): domain Eukaryota; kingdom Metazoa; phylum Chordata; class Mammalia; order Primates; family Hominidae; genus Homo; species Homo sapiens. Next base: position 17,992,985 of record NC_000008.11, on the reverse strand, counting down.
CCAGAATCTACAAAGAACTCAAACAAATCAGGAAAAAAAAAAAAAAAAAACCATCAAAAAGTGGGCTAAGGCCAAGTGTGGTGTCTCACAGTTGTAATCCCAGCACATTGGGAGGCTGAGGTGGGCAGATCACTTGAGACCAGGAGTTCAAGGCCAGCCTGGACAATATGCTGAAATCCCATCTCTACTAAAAATACAAAACTTAGCTGGACATGGTGGCACATGCCTACAATGCCTGCTACTCGGGAGGCTGAGGCATGAGAATCACTTGAGCCTGGCAGGCAGAGGATGCAGTGAGCTGAGATTGTGCCACTGCATTGCAGCCTGGGCAACAGAGCAAGACTGTGCTCAAATTAAAAAAAAAAAAAAAAAAAAGTAGTAGTAGTAGGCTAAGGATATAGACAACTCCTCTCAAAAGAAGACACACAAATGGCCAAAAAACTTTTTGGTGATGTTGAGTGAAAAAATGCTCTAACATCACTAATTATCAGGAAAATGCAAATCAAAGCACAAACTACAATGTGATACCATCCTACTCCTGCAAGAATGGCCGTAATTTAAAAATCAAAAAATAATAGATGTTAGTGTGGATGTGGTAAAAAGGGAACAATTTTACACTGCTGGTGGGCATGTAAACTAACTAGTACAACCACTATGGAAAACAGTATGAAGATTCCTTAAACAACTGAAAGTAGATCCACCATTTGATCCAACAATCTCACTACTAGGTATCTGCCCAGAAGAAAAGAAGTCATTATATGAAAAAGATACTTGCACGTGCATGTTTATAGCAGCACAATCTGCAGTTGCAAAATATGGAACCAGTCCAAATGTCCATCAATCAACGAGCGGATAAAGAAAATGTGGTATATGTATATATGTGTAGATAGACAGATATATTTGTTTATTTATTTATACACCACAGCATACTACTTAGCCATAAAAAGGAACAAAGTAATGGCATTTGCAGCCATCTGGGTAGAGTTGGAGACCGTTAATCTAAGTGATGTAACTTAGGAATGGAAAACCAAACGTTGCATGTTCTCACTCATAAGTGGTAGCTAAGCTATGAGTATGCAAAGACATAAGCAGGATACAGTGGACTTTGGGGTTTCAGGGGAAAGGGTGGGAAGGGGGTGAGGGATCAAACAATACACACTGGGTACAGTGTATACTGCTCAGGCGATGGGTGCACCAAAATCTCAGAAATCACCACTAAAGAACTTATTCATGTAACCAAACACCACCTGTTCTCCAAAAACCTACCGAAAACAAAAATATATACCTTCTAAATTATTAACTGTAGTACCTGCACCAGCACCATCTCCATCCTCAATAATCCTGCAGGTGCATCTCATATTTGAGTTACTTTCAGCCTCAGTCTTCATACGCTCATATTCTCTCATTCTGGCTAATGCTTGATCTAAGTGAATCACGGTGTTACCTACATTTGGAACAAAAATATTTTTTGAGTATGTAAAAGTGAACTTTTTCATATATTCCTCAAAATGCATTAATAAAAAAATGTCCAAACAAAAGGGAGGAAAATTAGCTTTAACAAGTTCTACACACTATACTACTTGAGCACTTCATATACATTGTCACACTTATTTAATCCTTAAAATAATCCTATATAGTAGATGACATTACTTTCATTTGCAGAAAATTTAAGTAACTTGCTCAAGCTTTCACAGACAGTTCAATGTAGGAACAAGGATTTAAACTTAGTTATCAAACTCTGAAGCCCATATTTATTTCATTTTGTTGTTTCATTTAAACAATACAAGTGAATTCCAAAATGTCATGCAAATTCTGATGAAAACAACGCAACCTAAAACAAGCAAATTAGGTAAGAAAAAGGCCTATCAATGAAATTTCCCAATTCTATGTCTACTTCAGACACAGCTACTGGTGCAGGTTTGTAAGAAAAAAAAAAAAATACCAGTAAATGAAAGAAAATACGTAGGAGTCGAAGTATTCTGGCAACTCAGAAAGAGAGGGACAACCTAAGGGGTGAGGGTTGGCAGGCCACACAGTAATTTTTCTCTGTAATGGGATGAACTCAATGCAGACCCAAATAAGCATTTACTTAGAGGTCAGCTAAGGCTGAGTCCTCAATAATTACAATAAGCAAAAGGAAGACTTTTGTTTTGGCGAACAGTAGGAATGTAATGATAGGGCAAGGCTAAGTCCTTTTCTTTATAGTGGAAAAATACCTTTGAAATAATCTAAGTCTTCTCTTCATCACGTGAACAAACACTAGAGTAACAGGACATTACATTATTTTATCAACTAAGCACCCTGGATGGCAAATGACTGAATTCTCAGGTTCTCTTTTGATTGGCCACAGTCTAGAAACGTATCAAGTATCTACATATTTTTCTTTTCCTTAAATTTCCTTTCCAAGTCTAGGACTCGAATTTTTTCTCCACTGCAGCCAGGCAACCCTCTAAACCTCTTTTGTTTTACAGCTGATGGGAGAGGGGGAAAAAAAAAAAAACCCAAACAAACAAAAAAAAACAACCAAAACCATTTGCTATGCCTGAGAATTACTTGAGGTTTTCACTACAGGTTATTTAAGAAAACTGACTGCTTAACTCAAATTACAAAGTTAATATTTTTATTAAAAATATGATTAGATGAGGCCTGAATTGTTCCCATGAATTAACTAGATGACCTTAAACGATGACCTTTCCTTTAAGGAAAAGGAAATTAACATTTTCTGAACTCAAGCAAGTAAGTTACATTATATTTTCACAAGAACATAGCAAGGTAGGTTAAAATTCCCATTTCCTTAGTATATGCAGAGTCAAAAATGTTGGATGATTTGCTCACAGGGTTAAGAGTCAGAAGATTCTTGATTTTAGACTGATAGATAATTAAGTCCACATTCTTTCAACCACACACACTTCGCCTTTCTAGACTTGTTTCCTTATCAACGCCAATTCAAAGACTGGACCAGATCAACTTAAAGTTGTTTCTAAGATTATAAACAATTCTGCTTACCTAGATCATCTGTTGCAAAAGGCTCAAAATTTGATGATACAGACAGGACACTAGCATTATCAGCATCATTTTGCTCACTTATTTTATGGGTTTCTCTTTCAAAGTTCTTCTCAAAAGTTTCCTAAGTTACAGTAAAACAAACAAAAATCACTAATACTTCTAAGAATTTCATATTAATAATCTAACAGAGATAACTAAGTATTTACATAAAATTGTACACTTAAAAGATATTCATAAGTTTCCTCAGTATTCTGTCCAAACAAGATGATAATATAACCAAAGTTATTAAACGCTGAATACAGAGTCACAGAGAACAGTGATATAAGTAGCCTTGCAGAATATTTATTATGTAGATAAACACACACAAAGACAGCTACTGATTAAATTCTAATTTGGCAAAGTTAACATTTTACATTATTTCTATACTCTCAGGGACATTCTCCTATCTCCAAATGCTAACAATGTCTAGTAGCTTACTCTACCTGGTTGTCTCACATCAGAAAAGAAAACATCACAACATCATTTGCATTTTTAAAAAATAAACTTTATTGAAATATAATTAATATACAATGCACTCACTTTAAATGTACAGTTTGATGAGTTTTGACAAATGTATACACTCATGTAACCAGATTCCCTAAAGATAAAGACCATTTCCACTGGCCCAGGACGTTTCTTCACAACCCTCTACAGTCAATCTCCACCACACCCTACTCATGATTTCTATCACTGTAGATCAGTTCTGCTGGTTGTAGAACTTCATACAAATGGAACCAGCCAATATACACTCTTCATTGTCTGACTTTTCACTTAGTATGTTTCTGAAATGAATCCATGTTTTGTGTTTCAGAAGTTCAGAAATTATTTTTTAATGGCTGCACAGTATTCCACTGTATAGATATACCACAGTTTGTTTATCCATTTATCTCTTGATGCTTCAGTTTGAGGCTATCATGACTAAAGATGCTATGAACATTAATGTGCAAGTGTTTTTGTGATGCATATTTTCATTTCTCTTGGATGAATACCTAGAAGAGAAATTGCTGGGTCACATGCCACGTTTATGTTTATAAGCAACTGCCAAACTGCTTTCCAAGTGGTTGTGCAATTTTACATTCTCATAAGGACTGTGAGAGTTCCAACTGTTCCACATTCTCACCAACACTTCTTATTGTCAATCTTTTCATTTTAGCCATTCTTGATGTGAAGTGGTATTTTCTGTGGCTTTAATTTGCATATTAGCCATTCATATATCTTCTTTCATTAAGTGCCTGTTCAAATCTCTTGCCCAGTTTTTACTGAGTTGTCTTACAACTGAGTTGTAAGCTTTATACAGTCTATATATCAGACAGTTGTCAGATATATATACTGGGATTATTTTCCCATAACAGTATCTTTTGAAAAGCAGAAAATTCCTATTTTTGTTAAGTCTAATTTCTTAATTTTTTCTTTTATAGTTAGTGCTTTCTCTGTCCTAAGAAAACTTAGCCTATGTCAAGGTCATAATTTTTTCCCATTTTCTTTTAAAAGTTTTAATAGTGTTGGCTTTTACACGACTTTAGGTCATTTCAAATTAATTTTGTGTATAGTGTGATGGTGGTAGGGTGTCTCACTTACACTTTGATTATGACATTTTACAGTTGTGTTCTTTCCCTTAACTAATGATCTTTTTAAAGTTTCCTATCTTCAATTATGAAATCAAACATTTGTCCCTGATTAAAGGAAATTTAGACATTAAGGAACGTATTTTAGGAATAGGGAAACCATTTTTTTTACTGTTTCAAGTAAGACTTGATGTGCTTCAAGTCTTCAAGACAGATGTGCTTTTACCATTTTATTATCATCGGGAGCAGGAGACACAAAGTGTGTTTTCTTCTTCCTAAACCTCAGTGTCTCCACTCCATCCTCCTTGACTTACAGCTCCCAGATTCCCAGTTTCACTTTCATTTCTCTCTTCCCTAGGCAAGAGAGGTATCTCTTACACATCTTAATATACGTTTGTAAAAGCTCCAAAAATGAAGCTCAAGAAGCATAGAAGCATCTAGAGAATGAGGCTCTGAATCTGTCCAATACAAAAAACACCATATGGCTATTTAAATAAAATTTAAAATTTAGTTCCTCAGTTACAATAGCTATACTTCAAGTACTTGCTAGCCACATGTAGCTAATGGCTACAGCATTAGACAATGCAGACATAAAACAATTCCATCACTATAGAAAGTTCTACTGGACACTGCTGCTTCAGATCTGTGAGTATCAACACTGGATATTGTGGTGCTGCTGATTAAATGGCATTAGTAAAGGGAAGATGTTGACCTTAATGCTGAATTTAAGTTTTGGAAGAAATATCAAAGAACTGATTTAGTTACTTAATTAAAAGTAATACTAAATACAATTACTATCCCAAGTCCTTACGTATCAAGTAGTACAGCATCTTTAAATTTCATTTAACTTTAAAACCTTCTTAGGTTAACTTTATCCTAAACTGTAGCTCAACTTTCAAAATGTGCTATCGATGGTGCAAACCAATGTGCTCCAATCTCTTAAAATAAATGGAAGTAATGCTGCCTGTATGAAACTTGGATAAAAGTGAAAGCACTGGAATTAAGGATATAAAATTATTGAAAAATACGTCTAGGAATGGAGACTGTTCATTCTCTCTCAAGTTGTTTCAGTGCCCAATAAACCTTAATATAATTTAACATCTATTTTTAATGTATTCAAGCAGGTCGCATTTCATTTCCCACAAAAAGGAATACACAATTTTCAATTAGTTATAACAATCCAAAGGAGCAAACACTGACTGACACTAATTTACATTTCACATTGCAAAGTTAATTAAAACCATGTAGTTTTTAGACACAGGTTTATGTTATAGTACTAAAGGAGTCAGAGTCCAGTGGGAAAACATTTTAAACAGAAAAGATGAGCTGGGGAAGTTATTATTTTAAACACGAGTAGAAGTTAAAGAGCAAAAATTCAGAAAAACTCAGAAATTACTGTATCTGAAAAGGAAAGACAATCCTTTGAGAAAACACTGGCTTCAGAAAAAACTTAGTATTAACACTTCAACAAAAGGCAGAAACAGTAAATTCCAACTCTCTACCTATAGCTGATATTTGCTAATCAACTACGAAACTCTTACCCATGTATCTCTAGGTGCTAGAGTTGTCATAAAAAAAGGAATGTATTTGCTATCCCACGACCACATGAAATATTTTACAATAAAATCAAGGCCTGAACCTTGAAATAGGTGATTCCCAAACACCTAGCACATTATCTCCTCAATATACTAGCAGTTCTGTCACTGTTATTCAATCAACGATGTGCTAAGTGCTATTTGGAGGACACAGCTTACTGAATTTATACCATTCTCCTTAGCACTCTTCTCCATTTCCAGGTCCTTTTTACTCTATTCAAAATTTTCTCCATGAATTAGAATACATTAAATTACAATTTTTTTCCTGGAAGACTTTTGTCTAGGCTTTTTTTTTTTTTTTTAACCCAAAGACCTGATTTATCCTGTATTTATTCATTCAAGTGTTTTTACTGTAATCTGATACCTGTTTTACTGAATGTCTTAAATAAATACAACATACATTTGTAAATGTCTTTTAAGAGTCAGCCCCTATACTGGGTAATAACAACATAAATATGGCTATCTCAGACCTCATAATCTATCATACATACATAATTTTTGGTGTTTGCTACCATATTTTGATTGCATATTATATCTCGCCCTCAAAATAAAATAACACATTATACCCAAGTTTTAAAAAAAGCTGAAAATCAAATATATTAGGTCTACCTACAATTTGACAATAATCTATTTAACTTTTATTTACTGCATACTAAAATTATATCTACAATTCACTAATCATTATCAGCTTACATCATCAGTAGTAGCAAGGCTCTCACTAGGAGTAAGTTCTGAGTTTGATGCTATCCAAGTACCAGAGTTTACTGACTTTACATTTTCTCCTTTTTCATGGCTCTCAGAAATATGTCTGGATACTATGTCCTAAATAAGAAAATAAGATCATCATTTATATAAAACATACATGCTTAATCATTCATTTATATTACAGATTCAAAAATAAAAGCAGATGGAAGGAAAAATGTACTGTTTCTACCCTCACAGGTTAAGTGTGAGGAAGTAGACAAAACACTGAAAAAGTACTCAAAAAAAATACTTTAATGCTACTTAAGCTATACAAAAATTTTAAATAAAATGTCAAGAAAGCACATAGAGAACAGATGAAAATTCATATGGCACATGCTTCAGTCTAAGACAGCAACCAGAGATAATCATGAAGAAGGTGATAATAGGGTAGGAAAAATTATGTTAGGTACCAGATACCTGCAATGCATATAAAGCCCTCTGTCTCAAGTAGTCTGTGTTTAGTAGCTGCAGCTCATGGAAGAGTTCAATAAGAAAATGTGGACGAGATTCATTTTGAGAAATTAATGTAGCTACTTCAGAATAAATAGTATCTCGCAAAGCTTCAAACATGGAAAAATCACTCCCAGTTTCTGGAATACATAAAAGACCAGAAAGTTAATATTGATGAAGTACCTTCATGACAACTTTTATTAGCTAGTATCATTACTCTCAGCTTTAAATTATCTAAAAATTCTATTTTAGACAATTCTATTTCAGAGCTTTTAAAGTAGAAAAGAAGCTTAATATTACCAAGATAAATAAAATCTTAAAATATCAAGATATGCATTTTATACTAAAAATGAAACTTTAATGAATAACATTACCTAGCATTACTAAGAACCATGTTTATTTCTGATCATATAAAATATACAGAAAATATTATACATTTTATAGGAAAAATCAGTGAAAATCTTTCAACACTTAGAAATAAGCTAAGTGCTAATTTCTTTTTTGCTTTTGCTAATATGGACTTCATTACAGAAAAGGAAGTTTGTATATTTTGTTAATGTTAAAAAGAATAAACTGAATGCTGCCAATGAAAGCTACTAGATTAAGGTCTATCCAGTATAGTCTACTAATTATCAAATCTCATACATCACACAGAAAAGTGCTGTGATGATGAGTAACCAAATCTGTAACCTAACATAATAGGTCAATTTCACCATTGTGTCTTATTTACATACTCAGTGTATATTGGAGCAGGCAAGTGATCCAACTGAAGTTTTCAGTTTCACAGAATCTAGGCATCACTCTATTATTTAGCTACAATTCGGCTAAATTTACTTGTTGATAACACAAAATTATTACACTCAAAGGTATCCATTTAAAATGTTGAGTATCTTAATACATTGCGCTTTCAAAGAAGTATACAAGATCATAAAAACTCATTTTTGTGAGAGGAATAAGAAAATGGAAAAAGAATGTGCTCTAATAGAAAAATTTTCCACTACTTGGCTAATAATTTAATATCTTCAGGTCTCAATTTCCACAAGCATGAAATAATAACATTACTAATATAAGATATCAATAGAAAAATATATTAATTATATGTAACAATAAATATGCAACTTCCCTATTTTGCCTCAGTTACAGGTATAAAATCAAGTGATACACTAAAGTTCTCGTAGTTTTAAGGTATGAACTATCACAAAAATGACACTTATTATAATAAGCAGGAACCAAAATTATCTCTGTAAGCAATCTCTTCTAATGGGAAAAATCCAGGTAAAAAGAATTTTGATATGCAAACTTTTATCTTATATACTATATTGCAGTTTAATCATACTTAATTTAAAAAATTCATTTCAAAGCTATAACTGTTTAATGACATATTTAATACCTCTGTATGTGATAAAATTATCAATCTAAATTGCGTATCATTAAAAATTAAATTATTCTCAAATAATGAATATGCCATTTAAACACAAGCTTCATTCCCCCACCACTTCTGCAGTCAAGAGGTGGAAAGTTTATGCCAGTTTCTCCTCCTGAACTGAAATTTATTAGCTTTGGCTGGAAAAATCCCTAATCTTAATCAGGTTTCTCTAATTCCATCTTGTTTTTATATCCTATTTTCAGAGTTCCTTATTTTCAAAGTGCCACTGATATATTCAGCTTTGTCAGTTCTGGATCCTTGTTTTGTATCTTTAGATTCCCCTAAAGGTTCCATTCAAACTGGCTTTTACTTTTCATTCATGTAAAGCTGCAAGAGGAGTTAAAAAAATATTTACAACTCTAAATCACAAAGAACCACATTTAATGAGAATACTTATATTAGAGACTAAAATAGTATTTGGGAATCTTTGTAATTTCCATGATCTTTATTTATCACGTCTTTGCATGTAATCATTGTTTTGTTTGATGACTTTTCTAAGATGCTGACTGAAATGGAAAGATAAACTATAAAAGTAACTATATTTCTAGGTCTAAGAAATACTAATGCTTTGAAGAAGTACAAAATAACCTCAAATCAAGTACTAAACCGTAAAAAAGGTTTCTGTTACCCTTATGAATGTGTTAGGTTACATACACTAACAGAATATGAAAACAAAAGCAGCAAATTTTACCAAGAATTATAAATGAATGGGTTCAGAATTTTATGAATATAAATTATCTTTTACAATAGTCACATAACATATATACTCTCAGCTAAATTTAAAAAAGAAAAAAATCAGGACAATAAAACCTTTAGGACCAATGGGAAAAAATTAACAAAAAGTGGACACCAAAACTACGCAGATTGTTACCTGGCGCTTCATTGCATGCATTTCTGTTAGACTGCTGTAGTATTCTCCTAGCATGTGCTGTAGGAAAGGGCAGACATAAGGATGAACATAAAATGTGTATGAGTAGTAAAGACAGGGTCTATAACATGAATAAGTGAATGAAAAAAAGAAATAAGCGAATTTCTTTAAAATTGTTTGCCTGAACTAAGGCTTACGCTCTACTTAAAAATAATCTCAAGAAAAAAAATCTCAAAAGGTTTGCTATAAACGTATATTAAGGCGACCGATGATGACTATCATAATAAACTTCTATCATTCATTTTTAGAAGCATACACATCAAGGTGAACCTCCCACAACACCCACGGGAGAAGAAGACTGCGTAATTTAATACTAGCAGTCCTATTATGCTATACTCTAATAATCATATGTTATGAGTACAGTTACAAAAAGTAACATGCCTTACATGCTATAAGGAATTTTAGGGTAATGATTAAAACTAAAAATAAATCTTTTCAGGGCTGGGCATGGTGGCTCATGCCTGCAATCCCAGCACTTTGGGAGGCCGAGGCGGGCGGATCACGAGGTCAGGAGATTGAGACCATCCTGGCTAACACAGTGAAACCCTGTCTCTACTAAAAATACAAAAAATTAGCCGGGCGTGGTGGCACGCACCTGTAGTCCCAGCTACTCAGTGGGCTGAGGCAGGAGAATCGCTCGAACCCGGGAGGCAGAGGTTGCAGTGAGCCGAGGTCGCACCACTGCACTCCAGCCTGGATGACAGAGCGAGACTCGGTCTCAAAAAAAAATTTTTTTTTTAATCTTTTCAGAATGTAAATATGTAAACTTGTGTATATTTATATATTCAAACATTTTTTAATTCACCAAAATTCAATCATTATATTTCACTAAGTAACAGTAATAGGGCCTGAAGTACTATGTCCAATTATTATTTAAGTAATTGATACTCAGTTTATTAAGACTTTCAGTTTAGTGTCCTTCTTCGACCTCTACCGGACTGTTTATTTTTTGAAGATATCACTATTTGGTAGAGAGTAAAAGGAGATGAAAATTATAAAATTTTAGTAAAATTCTGGGTTCAGAAGAATAGGATTGATATTTTTGCAGAAAGGAACACAGACTTAACAGAAGCCCAGCTTCTAAGTTCAGCTTTACCATTTCCTAGCAATGTAAGCTTGAGAAATTCATTTCAAAATGCAAACAAATGTGATGTTTCTTTTCTGATTACAAAATGATAAATGCTCATTATGAGTTTAAAGATGATAAAACCACTATTAACATTTTGATGCATTTTCTTCCGGCCTTTTTGCTTTCAAATTTTTGTTTATACATAGTTGAAACCATACTGTTGAGACAACACTAAATCTTAATGTCTTTTTTTTTTTTCCCCTTTTGTCTTCTTAGGATGGATTACTACAAGTACAATTACTGGATTAAGGGCATGACTTCTGAAGCTTTCCAGGAAAGTTGTACCAGTTTACATTACTGAGCCTTTATGAGTACTGAAAAACAAAACAAAAAAAAGTTCCCTCTTTGACCATGTTTCCTCCGAAAAATGGAAATAAAACCAACTCAGCATTATGAGGCTCAAATGAGATTTGTTGGTAATTTGAAAATAATGGAGCATGGTACAAAAGATAGCTGCTGTTATCATTTTTAAACAAAAAACGCATGCATTTTATACTAATGTCAATGAAAGCTACTAGATTAAGGTCTATCCACTATAGTCTAATGTCATGTTATTGCCTCTCTCTCTCCATATTTCTTTGAGATGCTCTTTACAAATTAGGAAACTACTGGTGCTTTTATCTGCTGCCAAGGGACTCAAAAAAGTGACAAACAGGGAAATACTATAATAATGTGATTAAGGCAACAAAATAGGTTTACACAAGCTACAAGGAAAACAGGAGAAAGGGGAAACTATCCTAGCTTGGATTAGAATGGAGTTTCAGAATTAAAATTGTATTAAGAGTCCAGCAGAGAAACGAACTTACAAAAAAGGCAGAAAGGACTTGAGATAGAAAAACAGCTACCAAGGTAAGAAAGAATGTGATAGCTATACAAAAACTCCAGTTCAGTGCCACAGAAAGAAAAAAGTTCAAGGCAGAGTGTGTTGAGAAATGAGTCTGGAGAGGCAGGAAGGAACCAAATCCCTGATGGCCATGTACGTTCCATGAAGGCATTCAGACTTTATCCTGTAGGCACAGTAAGCCAAAGGATTGAAGCAGGAGATGACATGATTTCATATCTAATTCTTAATCAGATAAGATTTTCAGAATTTGAAGAGTTCCACAATTGTAACTATCCTTTGTTTAGAATTTTATTAAAATGTGTCCAAAACTATTAAATAGTATAACACAAAATATTTTCAGTTTTTATTTTTCAGTATCAAGGAATGTGTACTATAATTTCCACTATAAAACCTTCCACATGATAGATACGTGTGAAACACCAATTTTAACACCTGCTTTATTATAGCTTTTCAAATCTAAGCTGAAAACCTCCTTATATTAATGCAAACCAAAAAAGAACATACCTGAAGATATTTCTGTAGACCTATTACATTTTATTATTTTTTCCAGTTGCTCATGATTCTTTCTGCTGAATACTTTTGCTTGAACAGGCTCTTCAGTCTGGGCTGAATGTCTGTTCCTACTTTTGCAAGGTTCACATGTGCTAGACATACTGGCACTTTCATACCCTTGAGTAAAAAAAGTGACAACTGTTATCAGTTGCAACTAACTCAAACTAAAAGGGAAATCGGTTTCCATTGTGTAACAGTACAGGTAACTCAATTTACAATGCTAGGAAGGCCTGGTATAAATAGAATACAAAACAGTAAATATGTCTTGGAGGTATCTTTGCAATACCCTTTGGAAGCATGAGCTAACAGTAATAAATCTAACCTTCACTGTTCTTTGATACTCATCTTAATGAGTATATTCCAATTCGAAGTATATGGCAGACCTTACATGACCCCAAATCTCTACTAGAATTCCAAGTTAGCAATTTTTAATATTAGGAGACATAAGAATCACATCCGATATATACAAATATCCATTATAGAGGGAGAGTAGTCAAATACATTTGCCTTTCTTATTGTTATCTTTTATGTGACATGACTTGGTTTAAAAGGTCTTACCCACTGATAGGTTATACATATATTCTATAAAATTTTCAAGTTTTTAAAATATTTTGGTATATATACAAGGTAGAAATTCCTTTTTTTTTTTTGTTCCACATGGATAGGTGGCTATACCTACCCTCTTTCCACTGAATTAAAATACACATCGGTCAATATATTAAATTCCAATATTTGGGGTTTTACTTTTGGACATTTATGTGTTCAACTTAGCTATTCCAATGCCATTTTTATTCATTTAGAAACACAAGTTATACAGGATGATCAAATATCTGCTAAGGCAAGTCCCACTAGCTTCACTTTTTTCTTGACTATTCTTGGGCATCTGTCCTTCCACATAAGCTTTGTTGTTTTTTGTTTTTAATTTTAAAAACAATCTCTGGGGACTCAAAATGGAATCAAATTAAAAGTATGTATTAATCTCAGGAGAAATGGTATTTAATAATCTTATGCATTTCCATCTTTTCCATCTTAAGAACATGGTTATGTTTTTATATTTGTTCAATCTTTCTGATGTTCTTCAAAAATACTTTATAGCTTTTTATAGACCTAGTACTTTCCTTGTTAAATTTGTTCCTTACATTTCATACCCCCCACTCAAACACTTAGAGTACTACTATGAGAAGAGCGTTCCTCTCCACTTTCATGCTACTGGATATTACAACAGAGAAAAATATTCACACACTTATTCCATAACCAGCCACTTTAACAGTTTACCTTGTAACTCTAGGAGCTACTTTCCAGTATCTCTTGGGCTTTCTTAGTATACAAAAATGCCACTAGAAAAGAACACATAAAACTTGCTTCCTTCCTTTTCCAATATTTACTACCATTATAATTCCAATTATTTGACCTAATGCTTCCCAAATAATGGTAAATAATGATGGTGGGACAGAAGGAATCCCTGTTTAGTTCCTAACTGAGATAGAAATATCTCTGGAGTACTTTCATTTACAATGATGTACACTGGCTAACAGTCTTTATTACACTCAAATAACTGCTTTTTTTTTTTTTTTCTTTTCTTTTGAGACTGAGTCTCATTCTGTTGCCCAGGCTCAAGTACAGTGACACAGTCTTGGCTCATTGCAAACTCCACCTACCAGGCTCAAGCAATCCAACTGCCTCGCCCTCCCAAAGTGCTGGGATTACAGGCATAACTGCCTTCTTATACCCATTTTACTTCAAATTCTCATGAGAATAGCTTCTATGATTATTTGTCCCTTTGATAGAATAAATTATGTTGACAGATTTCCTGGTAACAAATCATCATTACATGTCTGAAATAAACTCTAGTGTTGATAGTCTAGAATTCTTTTGATACAATGGCAGATTCAATTTGCTAATATTTTATTTTTACTTTTGAATTTATATTAGTGAGACTGATCTACTGTTTTCTTTATTAAACTGTTCTCTGTCTTCTTTATCTTCCCCTGTATAAAGGTCTCTATTTTGATTCACAGGTTGTTTCTTTAGTTTTCCTCAGATAGGATAAACTAGTATCTCCTTTTCATTCTGACATGTGGAGGGTCCTTTGGCTGAGTACAAGGTTCCTGAGTTGCAGTTCTTTGTCAACTGTGTAGCGTCATTCCACTTTTTTCTACTTCTGCTTGTGTGGTAAGGAAGATTGCCTGGTGTCGGTTTGGTTCTTTTTCTTTGTATGCAACTTGGTCTTTCATATGGAAGCTTAGAGGATTTTTACTTTTTCCTTGGAATTCAGGGATTTTGCCAGACTCTGCATAGGTGTTTGTGTGTTTCCCTCACTTCTCTCCTGGCTAGACAACAGCCAGCTGTTCTGATCTGCAGTCTCAAGTCTTTCTTCATCCCATCTATTATTTAGTTATTGCTTGTCCACCTGGTTTTTTATTTTCCCCTTCAGAACTTCTTGTAAGTCTCTAATCGTCTTCTCTTGATTTTATCTGTTAGTACTTTCATTCCATTTAATGACATAATTCTTCCCCCTGATTTTCTAGGCCTGTAATTTGGAACTTAATAGCACGTGTCCTCTTTTTTAAATAATCTAAACATTAAAACTTAATGTCATTTTTTTCTAGCTCTAAAGAATTTGTTATAATTCAATCTGCTTATGTGCCCTTATTATTTTGTTCAAGTGTATTTGTTCAATATTTTGTTCAATAATTCTATTTTCACTAGGTTTTGCCTCTTTCAGTGGTCTACTTCTGTTTTCTCCCTGGTAACTAGGTCCCTTTTATATGCACTGTTATATTCACTGGCCTAGTCATGACTCTCACCTTCTCTTAAGGCTGGACCCAAATGCTGGATAGCTTTAATAATGGCAAGATGAGGGTGCATGGAAGTCTCATTCCTGTGGTCAAGCAACATTTTCGCTAGCAAGCTGTCAGTCCCTCATCAAGACAATGAGAGGAATCTTCTCTACTGCTTAGTCTCTTCAGCTGCAAAGACTAATGCTCTCCCATGTACAGGGTTAAGGAAGACTGCCACCTACTTACTCAATAACCTTTCTGCCAACTAGTAGCTTGCAGTAGCAAAACACTGCTACTCTTGGGGGTAAGGGGAAGGGTTAATAACAGGAGGAATTGCAAGGATCTCCTCCAACATAGCTTTCTCCAAGAATCATGGAGATCTGACCATGCTCCTGACACTCTAGGAAAAAGCCAGCAGACCCTAAAGCCTTGCTTGCATCTTCCAGATCACCGCACAGGTCTACTAACAACAAATAATTTTCCCAAATATTGTCAATTTATTATCTGTGATATCCCATCTAGATTCAGCCCTCCCTCTCTATTTCCAAGGCCATTATGTAAGACTTCATCATCTCAACTTTAGGTTCCAGGTTTTTTCACTGGTCTCTCAAACTAAAGTTTAGCCTCTGCCACCGAGTCTGCATGAAATTTACTGAAAAGAGAGACCTCTTGATTATTATTGATCTTAATATAAAACCAGCAATAAAGAGTATGAGTGCCAAAAGCAATATGTAAAATGACATGACTGGTAGTACTATTGCTCATTTAATAACATACAATGATCTAAAGAAAAAGATTTTAAGTATGTTATTCTAACATGAACATTTATATAAGTGAAATTAAACATTTAAATGCTGTTACTGTATCACATGAAAAGTGATGAATAAATTTTAATCAAAATTAAAATGCACTTAATGTGGCATATACGAAATTCTCAGTGGGGAGTCCCAATAGGTACTTTAAAAAGGAATACATACAGTCATCCTCCAAAATAGCTGAAACTGTGAAGAGAAGTAGGCTATAATTATTAAGATGCTACGAAAAGAGAAAAAAAAAAAACTGGTTTTATATATGAGTCCCAAATTAAAAACATCAAAGGCTAGATTTCCAAAGTTAAGGTACTAATGTGTGACTGATGAGAGATAAGGATGTTATCGCCTATGCCACTTCACCACTCTTTCCCTTTCTCATTCTGTTTTTCTCAGCATGAGGGGGTGACATTAGTAGAAGAAACAGTACTTCTACTTGAGCCTCCACTGAAGGGAAAGAGATCAGCCATGGCACTCTGGAGACCTTGCACATGTCCAAAGAGCGCAGAGAGGTTAAGGTCTGAATCACAGTGCAAGCTGTCTTGGCAGAAGGCCATGGAATCATCCTGGAACATGGACAAGAGAGGCTTGTGAGAAGTTGCTATATGGATGGACGTTTTCCACTCACCTCTCTCTTGCCCCAGGATGCTTCTGTCAGGAGAGTTTCCCATCTCCTCTCAGGTTCTAATGAAACATGAGACCTTTCTTCCTCAACCTTGTAGGGTACATTTGCAGACTAAACAGGCTTAGCTGCAGTATAACAATGATTCCTCAGCAACAGGGTGTCCCACCATTCAAGGGACAATCGTTAGCTAGCCCCTTTTATTTCGGTGTCACTCTTTTCAAGTGTGAGACAAGGGGCACAGAGAAATGGCACCTTGGACTACTTTTTTCTCTGCCTAAGTAATTAATAACTGTCTAAATTCAAAAAGTTGACTAGTTGTTTACCAGCCAAATCTGTCAGGCCTTGCCTTGCCTAATGTTTCACGTCCATTTCATGTCCATCTTCATTAGTGTGCAACAGGAAAGGGAGGAAGGAAGAAATGAAAAGATTCAAGGACAGTAAGAACCCAGAAGGCTGTACCTTAACAGTTCTATCCAATTTTCCAAGAAAAGAGTGAAGAAAATCTTGGCTACTACTAATAATATCAGAAGAGTATAGTGTAAACAAATTATAGGTCTGATAACAGAAAAACTCAGTAAGGCAGGAAATCACCTTCAACTCATAAGGTCTAAGTCTGAACTCAAGTTTAAAATACGATTATTACATAATTTATATATTCTTACCTCATATGCAATATCTATTTTCATATATAAAGACCTTCTAAGGATTAAAACACATTACCATCATGGGAAACAAAGTTATATGAGATTTATCAAGCTACTTCTGAAAGAATGTCAACATGCACAAAAAACACATATATATTTGGATCAGTCTAGTAAGTATGGGACAGTATAACTGGCTGTACCATATCTCTCAAGACAGCAGTGTAATTCCCACTATGCTGAAATATCTGTCATATCCGTTCCCAATTCCTCTCATCCTGCTTGTTCCCCACTCTATACTTTTCTTACTGTAGTAACAATTTGAAAGGCTTTCTAAACTTTTCCCCACCCACCTCTATTTACCACTTCCTTTAAGATATAATAAAAATTGGTCGGGCGCTGTGGCTCACACCTGTAATCCCACCACTTCCGGAGGCCAATGGGGGTGGATCACCTGAGATCGGGAGTTCAAGACTAGCCTGACCAACGTGGAGAAACCCCGTCTCTACTAAAAATACAAAATTAGCCGGGTGTGGTGGCACATGCCTGTAATCCCAGCTACTCGGGAGGATGAGACAGGAGAATTGTTTGAACCCGGGAGGTGGAGGTTAAAGATACAGTAAAAATCCTTTTTTCTAACAAATCTTGACCATTCCTATAGCACAAAAGGAACAAAAACCACATAAACCAGTGTTCTAGTTCAGTACTTTTCAGACTTTCACGTACATATCTTCATACCAAAAATCTTGCCAAAATGCATACTGAAGAAAAATACATACTGATTTAGTTGGCATAAGGTGAGGCCCAAAAGCACGCATTTCTAATAATATCCCAGATGATGTAATGCTGCTTGTCCACAGTTCAGAGTTTGAATAGCAAGGATTGAGCTAATTTGATTTTACCCCATATTACTTCGGCTCTGCTATGTATAGTTTGATTCTGCTATCAAGCCTTTTATTTGTGTGTGTGTGTGTGTGTGTGTGTGTGTGTGTGTGCCTTAAAGTGGGGCACTCACTGACAGATGGTCTTGAATGCTTGTTGAGCAAATGTGACTGTACATTTCAAACAGCAGGTATTTTTATACTTCAATATGAAGGACAAGAGCACAAAGATCAGAATGTCAATCTTTGTCTTGAAGTTAAAAGGCTGAATTATATATTTGGAAAAGTAATTCCCGAGAATAAAGGGGTTTCAGAAAAATTAAAACATACCAATATTTCTAGGGTTAGGTGGTCATAGCCATAAATTAGCTAAGGTTCCTGTAAAATCTGCTACTTGAAGTGTAGTCCACAGACCAATACTGGCAACACAAGAGAGTCTGTTAGGAAGGCAGACTCTCAAGTCCCTTCCAAGTCAAATGAATCAGAATCTGCACTTAAAACTGTATTCCTAAGGAGATTCATGTGAAACTCAAGTTTATGAAGTATTGCCCTATCAGATTCAAATTAACTATCTGAATGAGACAATGCTGAAATTTAAAATGTCAGCTTTTCTTCATTTATTTATATGACAAAGAGCATCTCTGTGAGGGCAAAGCACTAGGAAATAGAAAGTTCTGAGTTGCCTAACGGCCCTGTCTCTAAATGGCCATTATCTACTTAAATCTTCTCTGGTAGCACCAACAGTAATCTTGGAAAAGCGCAGTAACTTTCTGAATAGCTTCAGATTACCAATTAATTTACTAAATAAACCAGCTTCTCCTAAACCTTTATAACCAGAAAATTACTTCAAGGCTGATAATGTGTATGCTAAGAAAAATGTCACCTCTTTCACTCCTGTTCAAACTTGCTTTTTAAACCATCCGTCAGATTCTTCACATGGGGTTCAAGGTAGGAGCCAAGGACTTCAAGGATAGATGAATTACTGAAATTTTTAAAAATGTGCCAATATTCTCTTGTATCTGTGGTTTTCATTAGATTTTTCTAAGGTTTCATTATCCAAAAGTGATTAAGATGAAGGTTGCCAAAGTTTACAAGTGTATTTTCTTACTACAGGATTTCTCAGGGCATTTACTATACTTGTATGTGTTGTGAACTTCCAAGAAAGGGAGTTAGCAGTGTGCAATGCATTTCAAACTTTCCTGATTATAAGCCTAGAATACTTTGTTCTTAAACACCAATTTTTTTTTTTTTTTTCTGACAGAGACTTGCTCTGTCACGCAGGCTGGGAGTACAGTGGCATGATGTTGGCTCACTGCAACCTCTGCCTCCCAGGTTCAAGCGATTCTTGTGTCTCAGCCTCCTTAGTAGCTGGATTACAGGCACGCCCACCATGCCCGGCTAATTTTTGTACTTTTAGTAGAGATGGGGTTTCACCATGTTGGTCAGGCTGGTCTCAAACTCCTGCTCTCAGGTGATCCACCTGCCTCAGCCTCCCAAAGTGCTGGGATTACAGGCATGAGCCACCGCAACTAGCCTTAGGCACCAAATACTATCTCCTTAAACTCAGAACAACCTTTCAAGGCCATAGCCCATCCTTTGCAAACATAAAAAGAATATCCTTCAGCTGTAACACTGCAGATTTTAGCTAATGAAACTATTTTTAACCTAGTACTACACTTCAGTAAATAATTCAAAAATCACAGAAAACCTATTTTTGTAAGAGGTATGACTAACACCATAAAGAAAATTTTAAAAAAATTTTTTAAACAACTTTAATATGACATTCAATGGCAAGACTGAGTAAAATATGAGTTTACTTCCAGAAGGACTTAAGCCAGCCTGTTTTAAAACTGGTTTTATCATATGATATTCAAAAACTGCAATGTATTTAGAAGCCCACTATTCTTTAAACTAATCAATCAAGAATCCATCTAAAAGTCATGACCAAAGAGTTGGATGCAGGATCTGATACAATAGCAAAAGAAAAAAAATAGTAAACGTGGGCATTTGGCAATTTTTCAATAATCTACAAAACTGAAGCTTTAAGAAGTACAAAAAATAAATGCCATGTTTTACAACATTAATCCAGAAAATTAAACCCTATTTCGAATATTATTTTGTAAAAAAAAATTATATATATAAAGGTAACTAAAAATGACTGTTCAACTAAGTCTAGAACAGCACCTGCACATCTAGCCTTACTGAAACTATATCTATGTCAACATGTCAAAGTAAGATTACCAAAATTTACACTGATCAACATTCAACAAATTTCAACACTTACTGATGTTTTTAACTCTGCTTTTCAGCTGAGTAGAATTCCTCTTCTTACTTTTTGACTTGGGAGTTTTATCTTTAGATGCCAGGCTGGCCTGTGCAGACGCTTTTCTTGTCTTGAATGTTTTAGTCACTGTTGTTGGATCTACTGGATCAGGCATACTGCTAAAGCTTTCCAGTGATTCTTCATCAAACTGGCGTCTTCTTCCGTTTGTATCTAATTGATTTTTGCGGTTACTACTTGTAGATTTTTCTACAGACACTGAAAATCCAGTCTTGATAAATGGTTTCTCTACTTCACCTTCTTGTTCATATAACCATGGTGTCCTACTGCTTTCCACCTCCTCTTCAGGCAGTTTTTTATTCCTTACCAATGAAAACAAGTTTTTATAAGTTAACAACTATAGTTTACAAAAACTCCAAATACACTGAATTTATAGTCTACTCGAGTAGATTTAGGTGAATAAAATTGTCAACAGGCTATAAAAATGTTTTCACAAAAATACACATTAAATATGCAAATATCACATAAGCTAAGGTAGTAAATTAGTTTTAATTCTGGACCCATCTCACTAAACCACTTTTACTGGCAAAAGTTCCTTATCAAAGATCTAGCATTAGCAATGGAAAACAGTGGGAAAGAAAAATCAGGCTAGCTGCAGTGGCTCATGCCTGTAACTCCAGCACTTTGGAAGGCGGAGGCAGGAGGAATGCTTGAGCCCAGGAGTTCAAGACCAGCCCAGACAAGTTGGTGAGACCCCGTCTCTAAAAAAAATTTTAAAAATGAGCCAGGCACAGTGGCATGTGCCTCCAGTCCTAGACACTCAGGGGGCTGAGGCAGGAGGATCCCTTGAGCCCAGGAATTCAAGGAGGCAGTGAGCTATGATCGTTATCAACTGTACTCCTGCCTGGGTAACAAAGTGAGACCCTGCCTCTAGAAAAAACAACAAAAAGAAAAATCAAGGGAGGATGGGATATACAAGACCCAAAAGTTGGAAGAATGGCTCAAAAAGAGCTATAGCAGAGGGCTTGGGAACATACATGGATTTGTGTTCACCTAAAGCAGTTCAAGTAGAACAAGAATTTGGTGAATACAATTGGTCATTCAATTAGCAATTTATTTCTCCACTCCTTAAGTCCGTAGTTCTATTAGTCTACTGTCATTTCTCAAATTTTATCTGCTGAACACTAGCATCCCTTAATATTTAATAGGTACTCATCGGTCGTCTAGGTTGGGGAGAAAACACATAAAACAAAGTTAAACAGGTCTGTAAAATATCTCACAACTTTTAATATGCCAATGTGCTTTATAAATCTCTTAAAAGTGGTAGTGGGCAACAAGTCCAAAACTTTATCACAGAACCTAGCGTGAACAACAACACTGCTCCTAATAGTCTGGGAGACAGTGACCTACAGGATTTAACTCAAGACAAGGGTTAGAAACCTGTAACTTACAGACCAAATTCAGCCTGCTGCCTGTTTCCATATGACCTGAGAGCTAAGAATGGCTTTTATATTCTTAAATAGTTGGAAGAAAAAAAGTTAAAAGTTTGTGACAAATGAAAATTATATGAAAATAAAATTTCTGTGCCCATAAATAAAGTGTTATTGCAGAACACAGCCATACTCATGTTTACATATTGCCTATGGTTGCTCTTGTGCAAAACTGTCACAGATGAATGGCTATGATAAACACTATATGGCCAGCAAGGCCTAAAATACTATCTAGTCTTTTATAGGAAAAGTTTTCTGACCCCTGAATAAGACTACAGGATTTTATCTGACTTTTTATCTCTAGTCATTTAATTCCATGAAATTACAATAGTTGAGATTTTGGGAAATGAGGTCTAATCTGAAGTAGGCCAAATATCTAAAATAATATTAGACATTCAGATCCATCCTAAAAATGATATAAATAATTTAAAACCAGAGTAATTTTTTACTATCAATTATATGAAAATAATGAAGTAGGGACATTCTAATAGGAAAGTCTATTCACCGAAGCTTTGAATAAATGTTTACTGCTCGTGATGGATATTCATTCAACAATCATTTCTGAATGGCAACTGTGAACTAACACTGTGTTAGGCTTCTGACAACAGAATACCTTTATAGAGCAACATGAGATTTAACAGGAAAAAGATAGAACAACCAAAAAAAAGGAGTCAACAAAGTAACGGATGTTAATCATAGCACTCCTAGTGGTGAATACAAAGTTGGAATTCTCAGAGTTATTGGTTAATCGAGTAAAAAAAAAAAAAAATCCCAGTTAATGACTCAGTAATTAAACAGTGTCAAAATGCTAATATAAGAGCCTGAGACCTTCCTAATCACATAGCTAAAGAGAAATATAATGTGAATTATATATATTTTTATGGAGTAGGAAAGACAATCAGAGAGATACATCTGACAGACTAGGTTCAACGGAGCCAACCTTTCACACTGAGTCAAAAACTCTGTTTCAGAAGAAATCCTAAATATCATTAATACCATGCATCCTCAAAACTTATGAGACAAAAGTTGTTTTTATAATCTAATAGTACTCAACATTATATTTGAATAGGCTTTAGGAAGTGATTCTAATCAAGAGCTAGGAATCAAAAAAAGGGATCATCACTTAACAACTATCTTCTAGCAGTTAATATTAGTTTCCAGCCCTAAGTCATTGAACAGCAAACTGCTTTAACCGTAAAGACAGGTATCAAATTAGAGACAAAACAAATCCTATGAGTTACGCCACATCCTTCCAAACAACTTTTAATGTACCAGGGTTACCAGGAAGTATCTGGCATCTCATCTACTGATACGTCAAAGTTTCATATTTCCAACATCATCAAGCCAAATCATCACAAACGTCCTCCCTAGTTGTGTTTTCAAATTACACATAATTAGATGTAATCACAAAAGTGAATGTTTAAGCAATAAAAGACTGTTTACAATCAGTACCTTGGTTTCTCTGCTCCAATAGAGGAACTGCTTTCAAAAGGTTTTGGAAAAGCCATATATTCTGTTTTTCCTGAAGAATTCTGGGCTAAGGGTTGCTGCTGTTCACTGGGTGTAGAGATATTCTGAGAAAAATCTCCAAAATTAGAAGGAAATAAAGGGCTGAAATTCATACCTAATCAGTAAAAGCAATGGGTAAGAGAAAAATAAATAAATGTCTTTAGCTTTAAAATGAAATTAAAAGACAGTTTTAATTAAACATGTCATTCAAATCCACCAAAACAAAAAACTGTTAATTAAAAAAAAAAGCTAATATTTATCCAATCACTGTTCACAGCTTAGGCCACTATGTTTTAGGCATTGGTCAAAGACAATTAATAATCCCCACTCCCTTAAGAGCTAAAAGTTAGAAATAATGGTACCTGACATTTATCAATTACTGGGTGACACACTCTACTGCAGGCACTTTACATGTTACTTGGTTTAATACTTAAAACCAAGTAACTTATAAAATAGATACTGCATTCATTTTACCAGTGAGCAAATACGGTTAGAAATCAAACGTCTAATAAATGAAAAAGATGATTAGATCTCAGGTCTGTATGACTCCTACGCTTATGTTGTTTCTACTCTATTTTTATTGGGAAAGTAGAATATAATTAAATACTTACCAAATACTGTTATGTATCAGAGCTATTTGCAAGAGGCTACTAACAACGTGTGGGGAAAGAGACTGGGAAGGTTTCACAAAAATTGTACTGTTAAGAAGAATGAAGAGCCTTTATATAGAGTTGGTGTGGGTATGAAGTATATTTTAGTAAAAAGGAAGAGCATTTGCAATTTCTTATTACTTAAAAGTCTACTCATGTGATGTTTGCTGCCAATATTAATTGACACCCAAGAACTAAAAAGTCTCTTAAATTTTTTATGCCACTGTCTTGAAAATCCTATAAAGAAAAAACACTGTGGTGTGTATATATATATATATACACACACACACACACACACACACACACACACATATATACATCCATATATATACACATTGCTGGGCATAACACTGTAATATATGTATGTAAGAAGTATTGAGTACATATATATTGTGATTATATATATATATATTCACAAAGCCCTCTCAACCTTTTTTCTCCTCCTATATTCCCTGCCAACACCTTTAACTCCTCCTCATGATTCACCTCATATAATCGGTCACTTAACTTATTCACTCTATCACTATAATGTCTTTCAGTTACTCCTTTTTCTTGATCCCTACTGACAAGGCCTAAGGCCAAGCTATCATTCTTTCCATATTATTATGACAGCCTTCTGTTCACCAGCTAAATCTTCACTCCTTTCCTCCAACTTCTCCCGAACACTTTCACCAGTGTAATCTTTCTAAAATATAAATTTCATGTTATCCCTTGCTCAAAGTCCTTCAATGGCACCCTCGTCTGCAATATAAAACCTAAGCTTGTTTGCACATCATAAAATCTCTCTGCCACTCTTCAACCACATCAATTACTCTTCCCCTAAATACTAGCCACACTTAAATACCTCTAAATTCCCTGAGTGATGTACTATTTCATTGCTTTATAACTCTAAGTGGTTCTATTAGAAAGCCCTTTCATTTCTAATCTCTCTGGAAATAAATTCTATTCATTCTTTAGCTTAAATATCAACTCTTTTTTTTTTTTTTGGCGGCGGAACTGATTTGCTGACACTTCCCAGCATTTGCACTACTGTTATGGCACCCGTGGCACTGTACTATAAGCATTCATTAACAGCATCCTCACTAGACCCTGAATTCCTTAAAGGATCAGTGTCACTCATCTTTAGATCCCAGTAACTTACATAGTGTCTGGTACATAATGAGTGCAGAAAAAACCATCCAAAGAAAAGCTTAAGCTAAATGTGCTCTCCTTTAGTCTATTAGCATCCCCCTAACAAGACATGGTACTCCTTTAGGAGAGCACTGTCTTATTCATCTTTACTCTCCCAGCGTTTTACACAGTGCCTAGTATACAGCAGCCATTGAACAGGTTCTCTTTCCTCTTAATAAATAGTTGAAGCAATCATTCCTAAGTAGTTTACTTAATTTCATTAGCAACCGTATTATTAAAGTTTGGTTTAAAAGGAACAACGTAGGCTGGGCACGGTGGCTCATGCCTGTAATCCCAGCACCATGGGAGGCCAAGGCAGGTGGATCACCTGAGGTCGGGAGTTGGAGACCAGCCTGACCAACATGGAGAAACCCCATCTCTACTAAAAATACAAAATTAGCTGGGCACGGTGGCACATGCCTGTAATCCCAGCTACTTAGGAAGCTGAGGCAGGAGAATCCCTTGAACCTGGGAGGTGGAGGCTGCCGTGAGCCAAGATCATGTCACTGCATTCCAGCCTGGACAAGAAGAGTAAAACTCCGCCTCAAAAAGAAAAAAAAAAAAAAGAGTTTGTAACTTTCTTTGCAAACATTTCCTACCCCACTCCAAAAGAAAATGTTAAAACATCTAGGCAATAGACAAATTACGTTGTTCCAAACACTTTGCTTTTATTTATTTTCTCTTTAGGTTAAGTCACCTACCTGGTGCAAATGATGAAAAGTTAGTAAATCCAGGTATATTGAAGAGATTTACAGGCTGTGTTGGAAAGCTGAAAGGACAAAATAAACTGGGAGAAGGAGGGTGCGATGCACTACTGCCTCTTTCCTTGCCTCCAGGTTTTTCTGGATGCTGATTTTGCTGGCGCATAAGTTCATTTAGCATTTGTTTCAACCTACAAAGATTTAAGTCAGTAATCTAAGAATCAGTTATATTGCCATATATATAAAGTACATTCAGGAAGAATACATGTAAAAAAATGATTCAAAAGCATGCAGACAAACTGCTCTGATACTGTAACAAATACGTGCTTGCTCTATAAGGCTTAATTCAATAACTTTCCCTCTGGAACAAGAAATGAACTTAGTACTTCTGTCCGACAGTCGGTAAAACTGTAAGAAAATCACTTTTTTGTTTGTTTATAGCTTCACTGTGGTACAATTTACACACCATAAAATCTGCCAAAATATAAGTAAAATTCAATAACATAAATTTATAAAAACAGAAATCCATGGTATTAAAAGGAAACATTAGGTAAATCACCACTTATAAAATTCTCAAGGGAAAGAGAATGTCCAAATATGCAATTTGGTCTTGCTCTTTTCTCCCAGAAGCTAACTGTAAAACCTCTGCTCAATGTTAGCTCTTATACAGTCTCAATACTTCTAAGAAACAGATTACCTCTGAACATTATTCTGTTGCCATGTTAGCTGAGTATAGCACTGGTTCAACTGGTGCATTATGAAGTGTACTTGAGGAGATGCAACATTGCTGGGCATAACACTGTAAGGACCCGTGAGAAGAGTTTGTAGCAGACAAGATAGAGTCTATTGAAAGAAAATGTTTGTTAATAGTTACTGATGACTTGAGAAAAATTTGTATTGCTTCAGAAGTTATAAAAATAGACGAAAAATATACTTTCATAGCAAATTTTACCTGCTGGTCTTGCATCAAAGTCTGACAAATACTGACACTAAAATCAAGCTGTTTCTTTAGCTGATTGATTTGTTCTTGCCATTGTTCTTTCTCTTCTACGTAAGAGAGCTCTGACACCCAACGAAGGTTTTCTTGCCGTTGCATGCTGATATTCTGTTGCCTTGTCTTGGCTAAAGGACGATAATTTTCATCTGCCGAAAAAGGGCAATTGTTCTTCCACCTAACACAAGATTGAAAGCATTAAGTCATCATACATAATAATTTGGTTTTTAAAATACAGCAATAAACTCTGATACTCAGGCCTATGGGCCAATATTCTGTTTTAAATTAAAAGAACATACAAAGTATTAAAAAATATAGAGGGGGGAGAAGTCCAGATCTTTAGCTTTGTACAATTATTAGTTTTCATTAGTCTCCAGTCTTTTTCATGTATGTTTTTACACAGCAGTGTCCATATAATTAAGTATTCTGCAAAATAAAAATATTTATTATGTCACAAGTAGTTTTCCATTCTTCACGCTTTAAGTTCAACCACATAGTATTTCATCAAGTGGAGCTACTGTATCTACTTCACCATCTGTTATTCATGAAGAAATTTTCAGTTATAATTATTAGTAACAATGTAATAACATCTTTGTTGGCAGACTCTTTTCACTATCTACAATTTGTTATTTTTGCTTAATTCTCAACAGCAGGAGTGAAGACTGATCCAGTTTACCTGGATCTACTGGAACAACATTCTTGTGGTATAATAAAATATCTATCTGTTCTTTGTGCCTGGTTCCTAGCACAGAGCTCCTAAAACCCTTGGAATCTCCCAAGTGATAATGTCTTTTGTTATCCGTAACAAGCCCCTTTCAACCAGATGTGAATTTTTGCTAATGAGAACAATCACCAACAGTCAACAATTTTATCAATTGCGCTTAAGCAATGAAATCTCCTAAAAAACCGTAAACAGAATTCAGGCAGCTTCTGGGTCACTGAACACATCAAAGTGCTGGGGAGGGTGGGACACACAGAGGAAACCATGGAAGCTCTGCACACCTCCCCAACCCACACACTGTCCTAACACACCTCTTCCATTTGGCAGTTCAGAATCCTTTATAAGAAATGAGGAAACGTAAGTAAGTCTTTTCCTGTATTTCGTGAGTTGTTCTAGCAAATAAACCTGAAGGGGATTGTAAGAACTCCCAAATTTCTAGCCATGTTGCACAGAAGTGTGGGTAACGTGGGGACCAAGCAGTTGAAATTGAAGTCTGAGGTGAGGGCAGTCTTACTGAACTGAGCCCCTTAACTTGAGGGGTCTGCACTAACTCTGAGTAGTTAGTGTAAAAATTGAATTGAGTTGTAGGACATTCAGTTGGCTTGGAGAACTGCAGAAGTGCTTGCTGTCAGTCAAAAAGACCTGAGCCTCTTAAATTAAGCACAAAATTAAAATACTGAAACTAACCTATTTTTAGTTTCCTTTCCATTGTAGGAGTTATGATTCACACTGTTAGAAGGACACACAGAAAAGTTATCATTGGAACTGGCATCTTGCTCTTCTTCCTCCTCTTCATCTGTCCGAACAATTCCTTCAGAAAGGTAACCGTCTTCATCTCCTTCTTCATCTAGTGCACACTGGGTAGACCCTCCCCAAGTTGCCATCGTTCTAGTGATTAAGAGACATAAAACAGATGTCATTCTGGAGATAAGTTAAATACTCTGCCACCTACTATGTGCCAGACATTGTTTCAAACATACATATACATGTCTGTATATAAAATTTCATTTAATCACAATAACTATGCTACGGGTGGCACTCTCCCTATTGCTGTTATATACAGAATATGTTTAGTTTGCCTTCCTCAAAACAATTCTTCAAATACATTTAAATAATCATCATATCCCCTGGGACTACTTCCCAAAGCTAAACTACCCTTAACATTTGCTTGAGGGAGTTTTCAAGATCAGTGCAGTTCAGCAGAACTTTCTATAATTACGGCAATCATCTGTATCTGTGCTATCCAATACAGTAGACACTAGGTACACATGGCTACTGAGCACTTAAAATGCAGCTAATATGACTGAGAAAATAAATTTTTAATTTCATTTGATTGAAATTTAAATAACCACCTATATCTAGTGGCTGCCATACTGGACAGCAAAAATCCAGACCAATGATTCTGAAACCAGATGCTCATCAAAACTATCTGAAGAACTCTGTAGAAGAACAGACGTGTAGTACCCAGAACAGAATAAAATATTGTAGATATAGTCTGATCAGTAAAATGCATATTGGGACCCCAAGAATAGAAGTTCATCTGAGAAGAGAGTAGGGCTTGGTGCAAAACTCCAGAAATTCCAGAAATGCCATCTGAGGATATCAAAAGGGAAGGTCATAAACAAATCTATATTTCAAAATTTTTGATATGGTTACTACTATATAGCTAAATAATTCACTGATCTTATAGATGACCAACTCTTTTAGAAATATTCTAAATATGGACATTTTAAACTGAAATCCTAAAAACTAAATGATTATAATAAAATGTTTTAAGATCCTTAAGAACCTTACAAACAGCAGATACTCAATTTAAGCAAAAAAGGGCCTATTTCTGGCCTGACAGAAAAGCACTACAAAATATCAAGCATTTTCTTTTTATAAACTTAACTAATAAGGCTTATACACATAAGAAAATCTGTATCACCATTTGATCAAGTGCCATAGTAATTTAAGACAAAAGAGAAAGCTGATGCTACGAGAAGTCAGAACAGAAAGTGGCTGGATTCAATTAAACTGGGTCACAAAGGTGGTAGTTAAACAGTAGCCTCACTGAAATAGCAGATTTGTGCTGTGATGTAGAGGAGAAATGTGGCTGCCTAGCCTACAGGTCAATCTTCGGCAGGTGACATTTTTAGAAAAGTGATTTATGCAGCTCTCTTACTTTTCTGTTCTACTTTGCTGAGGAGTACATAGGTTCTCAGATCCATCACTTCTCAATGACACAGCCACTGGAGATGCAGTTTCAGCTAGACCTTGCCTCCTCTGATGTTCAGCCATCAGAGCTTCAAGCTGCTTTCTTCTCTGTCGCAGCTCCTCCCTCAACATTTCATGTCTTCTCATTTCTGACCACAACTATTTTTTTTAAGAAACCAGAGTTAAATAAATATTTGGATTTGCTGTAGCCTAAAAGAGTAAAAGACTACTAGTATTGTCAGTATCAACAAAGGTTTCTATTCTCATTCTCTCCTTTTCACACTAACATGTCCATGAAGGTTAAAATAATAATATAGTTATGATTACAAAAAAATCAGCCAATTTTTTTTTTTTTTTGAGACAGAGTCTCACTCTGTCATCTGGGCTGGAGTGCAGTGGTGTGATCTCGGCTCACTGCAACCTCTGCCTCCCAGGTTCAAGTGATTATCCTGCCTCAGCCTCCTGAGTAGCTGGGATTACAGGCGCCCACCACTACACCTAGCTAATTTTTTTTGTATTTTTTAGTAGAGATAGGGTTTCACCACGTTGACCAGGCTGGTCTTGAATACCTGACCTCATGATCTGCCCACCTCAGCCTCCCAAAGTGCTGGGATTATAGGTGTGAGTCACCGCACATGGCCTATTAATAGAAACAAGTAGAACTCAAATATACTTCAGAAATTATTTAGGAAAAATTATATTTTCTACAAACCACATATAAATAAAATGTCAAAGGATAGGTCTTTCTAACTGAAATGATTACTATTTGCTGCAACTACCCCCCTATATATTTCTGCCAAATATTTACTAACAAAGAACATGGATATTTTTAAAAGATAATTACTTTTTAGAAAAAATTATTTAAAACTTTTCAATTAAAGTTTAAAAATTAAAATGTTTTATCTTTCTTATATTATTATAATCTATTACATTTTTGTGTCTACTAAAAAAGGCACAAAGCAGACTACTATTTACAAACATGTTTCAAGGATATTCAGTTTCCTTTCTTGAGATGTGCCTTATTGAAGAAAAAAAAAGGAAAACAAAAGACTAACTCAGGAACAAGAGAGTACAATTTACAATACCTCATTATCTACTATTGAAGAATCTTCAGGCTCAAAAACAGATTTGCTTGTACTGGTCTCGTGTTGATTAACAGTTGGGGTTGAAGTAACAGCTGGCATATATTTTTTGGTGGGACAGTTACCCACACTAGCAGCTGACAGCTAAAAAGGAATTCACAAAAAACGTTATGAGGAATTAAAGCAATTATATTAATTTCATAAAAGCAGTTACTTTAAATATGGCACTAAGGCTCTAGTGCCATATTTAATCTGCTATCAGACCCTGACTTCCATCATCATCCGAAGATAACATGAAATAAGAAAACAAAGATGAAAACACAAGCTGAGGTTAACAAACACAAGCCCTCAGAAACAACAGAAACAACAGGGATAAAACATAATGGAAAATTTTGTATACTTAACCCACCTTTGCAACATATTTCTCTAGACATTATTTAGATTGGAGATAAGGAGAGAAAAAGGATTAGATACAGTAGGAAAGGCAAGGGTTTAGAAAATGAACACAGTTGCCCTGTTTTCCTTTCTTTGAAAACACAACCTAACTGAAGATAAAGCTAGCCAATAGGCCGGGAGCGGTGGCTCACGCCTGTAATCCCAACACTTCAGGAGGCCGAGGCGGGCGGATCACGACGGCAGGAGACTGAGACCATCTTGGCTAACACGGTGAAACCCCGTCTCTACTAAAAATACAAAAAAATTAGCCGGGCGTGGTGGCGGGCACCTGTAGTCCCAGCTACTCGGGAGGCTGAGGCAGGAGAATGGCGTGAACCCAGGAGGTGGAGCTTGCAGTGAGCCGAGATTGCACCACTGCACTCCCACCTGGGCCACAGAGCGAGACTCCGTCTCAAAAAAAAAAAAAAAAAAAAAAAAGCTAGCCAATAAACTCTGGGAAAATATCAGAAGGAATTATTATCCCCTTCCCATATTATTAACTGATTATTTGATATCACCAAAGATATCTTATTTTCTGTTCAATCTCAAGACCCATGTATAAGATCCTAGTTAATAAGCAAAAGTATATACAACTTACTCTTTAAACCACATACAGTTATTTTCCTTAGATATCTTATGGTGGCTTAAAGATTTTATTATATTATTTCAGGCCAGTAAAAGATGGAAATGCTGGTCCATAACTGCAAAAGTCAAATCAGAATATTTTAACATAATAAACAGTTATGAGTACACATGTTCTGAATCTATGGCCAGCCAGCCCAGTAAGAATGAAAATAATGAGTCAATTCCTATGTGCTGTCTTTTACACTGTAAACGTATAACCCCAACTCTTCATTAGTTCATCCACTTCATTAATCACAAAATTACTAGATATAATTCTGTCACCTTAATACTAGAAAAAAAAGAGTAGTTTCTCGCGCCTGTAATCCCAGCACTTTGGGAGGCTGAGACGGGCGAATCACGAGGTCAGGAGATCGAAACCATCCTGGCTAACACTGTGAAACCCTGTCTCTACCAAAAATACAAAAAATTAGCCAGGCATGGTGGCGGGTGCCTGAAGTCCCAGCTACTCAGGAGGCTGAGGCAGAAGAATGGCGTGAACCTAAGAGGCAGAGCTTGCAGTGAGCCAAGATCACGCCACTGCACTTCAGCCTGGGCAACAGAGTGAGACTCTGCCTCAAAAAAAAAGAAAAACAAAAACAAAAAAGAGTACTTTCAGTTGACCTAAGGTTTTAAACATCTTTTTTCAGACAATTAGAAATAAATTTCATAATTACCTGTAAGTCAGGGCATGCCGTTTGCAATGCTTGAATTTTCTCCTGAATGTCAATCAGTTTCTTTCTTTCTTCCTGCAATTGTTTTAGCTCTCTCTGTTGCTGCTGTAGTTTAGCCTCATAAAATTTCTCTCTACAATTAAATTGACATTATATTTATGGACTCCAATAAAATGTGATGAAGCATTAGGCACAACATAACACAGTACCTAGCTGAGCACCTTCTCCAAAACAGGCACTAAATTTTTATTATATTAAATGAAGGCCAAAAGCTTAACATACCTTGCCTTTTCATTTACTCCAGTATCTTTCTGTGTTTTATTGGCATTTCCTCTAGTGTTATTTGAATTTTGCTTGGTGTCTTCTTCTGCTGGGTAGAAATCATCCAAATTTGATGCACTGGCAGAGATAACTCCTTGAGCTGCATCATCATCCTGAAAGAGCATCATTACATTAAAACAATCTTGATACCTCAAGACATTATCCAATTCATACCTTAGTAAATACCACTAGTCTGTAAAATTTACATAAAAAGATTAAAGCAGTAAAGAAAGCACGTTTGTATACATGTGTACACGTGTTCAATATATATTTGTTTACACACGTTTGTATTTGCATACATGTTTATCTCACCTCAATAACTCTTCTTATAATTGGGAAATTTGGAAAAGGCCAATTCCAGTAATGGTTAAACAAGCTACGGTATATCAATAAAATAAAACACAATCAAGGGTGTGGAGAAACGAACTCTCACATACCACTGCTTAAAATATAAAAAATACATATAGAAAAATATGAATACATATCAAAAATTCTATACATATAGAAATATAAATACATACGGAAATACATATAGAAAATTGCTCTCTAGAGACCAATTAAGTTGTGTCCTTTAAAATGTACACCAACTGACATAGTAGTTCCACTTCTCCAAATCCTTCTTAAAAAACACAAATGCACAAAAGCTTGTGCAAGTATATTCTTTGGTGCATTGTTTCTAAATAGCGAAAGATTGAAAACAAGTATATAGTAACTGGATGCTATTATACATTAACTAAAGTCCATCGATATACTGAAAACTGTACTGCAGCTACAAATAACTATGTACTGTGTGTATATATATATATGCAGTATTATTTATATTTTATAATTATCATATTTGTGTTTCTTAATTACTTATAATTATATAGAACTATACTGACATGAAAGTTCTCTGAGACAATGTGGAGTGGGGAAAAAAGGAAAGCTATAAAATAATACTTAGTGTATTATATATACAGTTTGTAAAAACAAAGAAACATACCACAAAACGTCATGTATTTTTTTAAAAATAGGTGCATAGTGATGTACCTAACTGCAGAGAAAAGGCCTAGCAACTTCAGTGAAGAAGAATAGGATTATTAATGGAGGTAAAGACAGAGTTTATTAGTAATATGTACTTTTTGTGCCTGCAATCTGAGCACTTTGGGAAGCCAAGGTGGGTGAACTGCCTGAGGCCAGGAGTTCAAGACCAGCCTGGCCAATATGGTGAAACCCCATCTGTACTAAAAATACAAACATTAGCCAGGTGTGGTGGTACACATCTGTAATTCCAGCTACTCGGGAGGCTGAGGCAGAAGAATCGCTTGAACCCGGGAGATGGAGCTTGCAGTGAGCCAAAATCATGCCACTGCACTCCAACCTGGGTGACAGAGCAAGACCTTGTCCCCAAAAAATAAATAAATACAAATACGTACTTTTTTTGAACCGAGAGAGCACGCTCACCTTTTACTTGAGTAATTCAAAGTACATAGCATTTCAAAAGAAACTGTTAATAAAACTTGAGGTTTTTCACTCACAAAAACCATTTTATATGATTTTTATATATATATACACAACACCTTTATAAATGTGTTAATAGTTACACGGTAATACAATTATAGTTAATTACATATTTATACAATTATAAGTGTAGGCATATTTTGTGTTAATAGTTATGTAACTATAATTGTATATTTTTACATTTGTATAAATATACAATTGTACATTATAGTTAATTGTGTAACTATAATACAAAATATGTATAAACTGCTTTTTAAAATTTATGATTAATAGTTCTAACTTTAACCTTACTGAATAAGATAACATATGGTTTTTCTTTTATATACAGTAGGTTAAGATCGCAGGCTCTGGTATCAGGAAGTCTGAATTCTGGATTGGACAGTCATATAAACTTCGGCAATTAAGATCTCTTTAACCTATTTAATGTCTACCTCATTGAGATGCTGCAAGTTGTACATAATATAAGGCCAGAGTTGTCAGCAAAACAACAAAAACAACAAAACCTCTTCTGTTTTTGTAAATAAAAACAGCTATATTGTTTATAATAAAATAAAGCTATATTGGCAAATAATCATTCTCATTTATGTATTATGTATGGCTGCTTTTGCATTGTGAAATTGTGACAGATACTATATCGCCACAAAGCCGCAACTATCTAACCAACTCACTCTTAATTTAAAAAGGTTGCTGACCTCTGACATACAGCATGTAAAGTGCTAAAAATTTAAACCTCACATATGATACATAAATGTGTATTAGTATAATTAAACCAAAGTAATTATCATACACAAATTTTACTTAAGACTGTACTATTTGACAAATAGGTTTTTAAAAGACCAAGCAATATTTACCTGTACCATAGCAACAAGATCTTGTAACTGTCTAAGTTTCTGTTTTGCAGCCATAAGTCGGTTGATCTTCTGTTCAAATTCAGCATCTTCTGGATGCTCATCAACCAGACTGCTCCTGTGACTAGATAATGAAGCTCCACTGACTCCCTCCTCTTCTGCTTCTTCCTCCTCCTCCTCATCATCTTCACCTTGTGCAACATGAATCTCCTGTTCCCCTTCTCTATTATATCGACAATCTGCTGAAAACATGTATAATTAAAACCAGTAACTTTTAAAGGAAAGAGCACACATGAACGAAAACCCACTTTGTAAGAATAACACAGCAAAATTATATGTAAATACAGTCAGTCATACCTAAAGAAGGAGGCATGTTTAGAGCCCTTATGTTGGCAGCAGATCTGTTGTTAATTTCACAATTAGAATTAACTGTTCGCCCATCTCTATTATTAGAAACACACTGTGCATTACTATGACTATTTACTTCATTCCAAGTGGAAGCTACTTGTGGATTTCTAGAAGAAAGAAAACAGCCTGAAGTCATTTAAGGCACAAAAAAAGAGAGAAAGAAATCCAAGTTTAGAACTGCTAATAAAATAACACCAAACCAAGCACATTGTTGGCTATTCCATTTAAATTCAAATTGAATAATCGACTCCTGCTTTTCATTAACTTCTGCATATGTGCTATTTAAGTAGAAAAACATCTGAAAAAATGAAAATTACGCCTAAAAAGAAAAAGACAGCAAAATGCTAAGTTAGATACATCTCATGATTTACTCGAATTCAGTCTAACAAAGGGCAAATTTACTGAACTATTGTACTCCATACTTCCCTATTCATCTTTCTTCACAGGGCAGAGATGATTACACTGACCAAAATAGTAGAAAGCTTAAATAAAAGGCAAATAGTAAATACTACAACGAAGTATTTTTGTTCCCACATTATAAGTATCAAGACAGAATGAATATGCTGGAAAAACATCCCCAGAAAAGTTCTTACCGAATGTTAGTAACAGGCTCGGAATTTTCATGCTCAGAATCATATTCTGACTCTTCAGTTTCTTCATCTTTCCTGTTTTCATTCACAGCATCTGTCATCATGTCTGACGTTTGTTCATAATAATGAACTAATTCTCTTAGCTCATTCAATCTCTTTCGAACTTCATTTAACTTCCTGATAAACAAAAAATTTATGTATACGATTTACACCCATTTTAGCAAAATAATACAGACATTATTTTCATATCATAGCAGCTAACAGAAACAAAATTTAGACCTAATGGAATATCCACCTAGTGAACTCTCCAGGGGGTATGACTGTAAAATAATGAGGTTAATGCCAAGTACAGCTTACTCAAAATCTCACATTATTTTCTTATGCTGTTTTAGGGACAAAAGTGTAAGAAAACCAATTTCAATTTAATTGTTCATTTTAAGCAGGTGTAAATGTTAATAGCAGAAAACCTGATGTCAAAAAGATTTCTAGTTTCTCAAGTATCAAAAGTGTGAAGTACTACTAAATACTAC
The DNA here is from genome assembly GCF_000001405.40 of Homo sapiens. Taxonomy (NCBI): domain Eukaryota; kingdom Metazoa; phylum Chordata; class Mammalia; order Primates; family Hominidae; genus Homo; species Homo sapiens. The sequence continues at coordinate 17,956,250 of NC_000008.11, read as the reverse complement.
CTCTCAGGAAAATCAGGTATACAGACATTACTGAGCATGTATGGAAGGTTCTTGATTTGTCTGCACATATGAGATCTATACACTACATACTACGTTTACCAAAAATAAAAATTAAGTTAGCTGAGTTCTTACTGTAAGTGCCAGGAACTGCGCCAACGTTTTTTAATGAAAACATATTTATCAACAGGTATATTATCATCCCTATTTTGCAGATGAGGAAATACAGGCTTAGTAAGGCTAAGTTATTTGTACAGGGTAACACAGCCTTGTGTGATACAATTTCAGGGCTGTCTGATTCTACAGCCTGGTCTCTAAACCATCTGAATATAGAAATATTTTAACTGTAATCTTATTTTTGATCCTTTATTTGAAAAACAAGAAAGTAACATCAGTTCACAGAAACTATGTTACATCACATCTCTTAGACAACTCAAATTATGCCCACACAACACACACACGCCTCTTCTACCTATCCCTTAAGAATGTTTACAACAATATTAAATAAATCTCGTTTTGCAGAATTTTCAACATAAAAAAAAAAACAGAATTTATCCCTATTATTTAACTTCATGTAAACAATGATTATAAATGTTTTACTGGAGTTTTTCAGATGGATTGAGGTGGCCTTCGTTTTCACTCTCATTCTGAGATACTAGAGAAGCAGTAGGATAAGGAACAGATGATGTGAGGCTATTGGATTCTCCATTGACAACCGGTGCCAAGCCTACAGAAGCAGAGGGAGCTGAAGTACTTCTCTGATCGACACTCCTTTGTGGAGAGGCTGAAGAAGGCACAACAACAAAAAATTTTTTTTAATCACCAGTTACCATAAACAAACACATACAGTTGGCTTGGATATTGAAAACTAAAAAGTAAAAATTAACAACTTAATTTCTGCAGATTTAAATTTCAGAAAATTGTTTATTAACTTACTCCACAATTAAACACATCAAAATGTACAAAGACTTGTTTACCTCTTTCTTCCACAGGTTCTATCACCTTTACAATATAACCACTGGGTTAAAACAGAAAGGAAAGAAAAAAGATGGAAATTGACAAGAATAATGATATTCTACCTTGGAAAACTAACTAGAGAAGTACTCTAGTTAGTTTTAACTAACGAGTAAACTTGGTAACTAACTTGATAAACTTGGTTCTAGGTTAAGTTAAACAGGGCCACTATGAATCATGTGCAGTACTCAATCTGTAATCTTTACAGGGTAGCTGTAGCTGATTAGGTCTTCATCAGTTTTTCATACCCACAGATCAGGGGGATGTCACATCTGGACACCAAGAAGGAACTTTTCTTGCTCCAGGAGAGAAAGAAAAGTGTTAAAAGTGACTGTGGTACCTCAAACCATGAAATATTAAACAGCAATAAAAACCTGCTATTTAGATAATGGCTAATCCTCTATGGTCCTTGAACTAAATTTAATTACTTTCTATTTAACTTCTGTTACTATCAAATATAAATCATGCTTTCAAGAGGAATTAAAGATTAAGAATCTTTGCACTTCTCTACCTCCTACCATTTCAAAGGTGCTGTCATTTACCAGTATCTTTCTCAAAGGAACCATCATTATTTGTTGCTCACTTTAGTACCACAATTCCTGTAGGTGGTTTCCAGCAGTCTCCTCATTCTATTCCTTGACGAGTCTACCTTTTGCTGCTGCTCTCACACTGCTTCCCAGTGAGGAAAAAAATAGGCTTTAAGAGTCATCAGTATACGGAGTGCTACTTTATGCATACAAAACTGACGACAAGGACTTAAGCGCAACTTTCACATGTTAAGTTGTTTTTTTCTTTTCTTTTTTTTTTTTTTTGAGATGGAGTTTCACTTTTGTTGCCCAGGCTGGAGTGCAATGGCACGATCTTGGCTCACCACAACCTCCGCCTCCCAGATTCAAGCGATTCTCCTACCTCAGCCTCCGGAGTAGCTGAGATTACAGGCATGTACCACCACACCTGGCTACTTTTGTACTTTTAGTAGAGACGGGGTTTCTCCATGTTGGTCAGGCTGGTCTCGAACTCCCGACCTCAGGTGATCCACCCGCCTCAGCCTCCCAAGGTGCTGGGATTACAGGCGTGAGCCACCACACCCAGCCACACATCTTAGTTGTATTCATGTGTTTGTAAAGGATAAAAACTGGGATTATACTCTAGAGGAGAAAGAGACTAGCAGAAGTCAGAGAAAAGAAAGGAGTATGTTTTAGGACAGGAATATTAAGGTTCTTTTGTGGGTGGAAAAGGAAAAGGAGATAGGTGGAGAATAAGGACCAGAGGCTCCAGAGACAATGGTTTTGTTATTTTTAAATCCCTCATCTTTTCTTTAATTAGACAGCAGCTAGAATGTTTAAAGACTAGTTGGAAGTTGTCCCTACTGACTTCAATTTCTAATGCTTGAGCCTCTATTACTATTTGGATATGAGACAGGGGCCATGTTTGAAAAGGTATTAGGATAGGAACTGAAGACTAGATCTGATTTAGACAAAGAAGGTTAAACACGTGTGGAGCAAAAAAGATAACTCCCGCAGTTATACCTGCTTGAGATGATTATTTATATATTTTTTAAAAATGAATATAAATCCAGCAGTTGGAAGTTCTGGGCTCTCTAGACTAAACCATATATAAAAGTTTTTCATAGTTTTGTTTTTTGTTTTTTTTAATACACACTATGTTTCACAGTTTTGGGTTTTTAAATCAAAGTACTAACTGGATTAACTTTTCTTTAAGGGAAAATTTTGAATGTTAAGAAACAAAGTATTAATATGTCCACGTATCAAACAGTTGCCTTCTCTTCTACCTTTCCCTTATTAAAATCCTACTAATTTTTCAAGGTCCAACTTTATTCTTTCCCTTTTCTGAATTATAAAACTGATTTATCACCTATTTGGCTTTCATATATATTGGCTTGCAACTTAGAAACTTTTCATATGCAAGTCTTAAGTCCCTACAAATATTTTTGAGGAGCTATGTGTTCATTCACCAAATACTAAATTTATTATGTGACAGTATATATACTTGTGTGTCTTATACCCAATACTGCTGAACCAGATTTACTCACATGATGAATTGTTAAGATGCTGATCTCGAAGTGTATGAAGTTCTCCAAGCAATTTGTCCATTTTTTGTTTCTTTTCCTGTAGCACTCTCATTTTGCTAAAAAGTTCGACTTTCTCATCAGGTAAACGTTCTGAAGCTGATGGTTTCCTGCTCTGGGAAACCTCCCTAGTTAATGAAAGACTTTCTGCCTGTCTTCTATTGTCTGGAACAGCTGGAGGCTTATTAAAAAAAAACAACAAAAAAGAAGAATTAAGACTAACGCAATTAAATGCATTCTCATTTTTTAAATGCATAAATATTCTTTATAAAGAGAAAGAAATATTTGCTAGGCTGTGCTGGTAGGTAAGTATATACCCTTACTATTCCCAAATTAAATACGGTTTCCTGATATGCCACTATTAACATATGAAGTCATCCCTCAGTATCCATGAGGGATTGGTTCAAGGACCCCTGGGGACACCAAAAACAACAGATACCCAAATCCCTTATATAAAATGGTGTAGTATCTGCACATAATCTACACACATCCTCCTATATACTTCAGATCAGCTCTAGACTACTTATAATACCTAATACAATATAAACACTATGTAAATAGCTGTTATATTTTTAAATTTGCATTTTAAAAATTGTTGTGTTATTTCTCCCCCCAAAATATTCCTGATCCATGGTTGGTTGAATCCATGGATGTGGAACCCACAGATACTGAGAGCTGACTCTACATAGTTTTAGAGACACATGACCACACAGAGGTCTTGGATTCACTAGACATCAGTAATTGAATCAAAAGTAATAACAATGCCACGTTACATAAAATAAACCTTCAAAAATCTCATTCTCTCTCTTGCCTTCTTTCTAGAACTACCACTGTAAACTTTAACTTCTTAACCTATCAATTTTTCCCACCACTTCTCTCTCATGTTCCTTTATTTTTTATTTATTTATTTATTTATTTATTTATTTTTGAGACAAAGTCTCACTCTGTGGCCCAGGCTAGAGTGCAGTGGCGTGATCTCAACTCACTGAAACCTCCGCCTCCTGGGTTCAAGCGATTCTCCTGCCTCAGCCTCTCAAGCAGCTGAGATTACAGGTGCATGCCTCCACACCTGGCTCATTTTTGCATTTTTAGTTGAGACAGGGTTTCACCATGTTGGCCAGGCTGGTCTCAAACACCTGACCTCAAGTGATCCACCCGCCTCGGCCTCCCAAAGTGCTGGGATTACAGGCATAAGCCACCGCACCTGGCCTTTTTTTAAATTTTTTTTAATTATGAAACTTTGCAAGAATCCACTAGGGCTTAGGAAATCATATAATGAATATCTCCCATTATGCTTAGTCAAATTTTAAGATTTTCCCATATTTGCATCAATTATTTTAAGAAAAATATAACATTACAGATTTAACTAAAGCTCTGTTTGTACCCTTTCCAATGTCATTACCCACTCCAAAGGTAACCCCAACCTGGAATCAGGCATCTACCATTCTCTACATGTTTTTATTTTCTAATGCCTATGTATACATACATTAAAAATGTAGACTTTTTTTAAAATAAGGTAAGTGGGATCCTTCTTAAACTTGAATTTTGTATTCATTAGCAATGGCTTATTTACTGTAACTGCTATAAAGAATTTCACTCTATGTAAGAATTCATTAGCCCATTTCTGTTGATGGACATTTGGGCTGTTTCTGGTTATTTGCTATTAACACAGAGTTGCCATGAATATTCTTCCATCTACCTCCTTCTGAACATGTGAGAGTTTCTCTAAAGTAGGCCCCAGGTCTACCAGAAGAAATTTACTAGGTACTGCTATATAACTCTCCAAAGTGGTTGGGCCATATTCTCTCATTTTCACTTGGTCAGCAAGAAGACAAGAGACACTGCATCTTCAATCATACTCACTTCCAATGGAGAGGCATTAATTCATCCTTTCTTACCCAAGGCCCCCATATTGAAAATCTGCATTTATATCACTTACAAAGTGCATCAAATTATAACACTTGCTAACTCTCAAATTAAGAACTTTCTTAAAATTGTTAGTAAAATATTCCTTCAAATGAGAATTCCAAGGCTGTATAGAATCCCATGTATCTAGTCGAAGGACACAGATTTAAAGCAAAGTCTTAATCGTTGTGACCATTAAGTCTTTTAGAGGAAAAAAGAATACGTCATCCAGTAGCATACAAAGAAAAACTTCATTAATCACTTCCTTCAAAGTAAACTCTCCTCTAATTTAGTGATTCTTAAAGTATAGTCCCCAGGCCACCAGCATTGGACTGAGACGTGGAGAAGCCCACCCCAAATCCATGAATCGTAATTTTGAAGGTGGGGGGGACCCCACCAATCAGAAACCTACACTGCTCAACAATCATGCCAGGTGATATGTATGCTCACTGAAGTTTCTGAATCACTGTTCTAATTAATGTGATTTTTTAAACTCAACTATACTAAAACATCTAGGTTACCTGAGAATCACGAAGCTGATTATGAAAACGCTGAATTAAGTCATTCAATTCTTCATTTAGTTCAGATGTGATACTGACGCCAGATAAGCTACCTGCAGTTTCTGCAACAACTGGAAAGAAATTAGTAACTACTGATTAATGTAAATAATCAAACACCTTTTTTAATCTCTGAGAAGCTAAAAATAAATTTAAAAAAAGAATTTAAAAAGCTCACATACGTAACTTGAAACTAGTTAACAATCCGATCTATCTGCCAACAATCATTTTATTAGAAGTTACCACCTAACTTAAAAATAAAGGGATGCTCACAAAACTCTGGTAAAGTGGTTCATCTTTTCCTGTCCCAACATACAAGGAGGGTTACTATTACATTCCAATTAATAGTAGTGACTCAGTGGAGCAGGTCTAAGATCAGTGAGGAGTGAAAGGGAAAGTGATAGTGTAAAAAAGCACAGCTGATTCTGACAGGTTTCAATCTCCATGTTCTTGAATAGAATCAATTCTCCGGTAGAGGGGCTGGCAAACTTTGCTTAAAGGTTGAAATAGTAAATATGTTAAACTTTGTGGGAAATACAGTTTTTGTCTCGACCACCCAACTCTGCTTTTACAAGGTAAAAGCAACCACAGACAATGTAAACAAAAGGGCATGGCTGTGTTCCCTAAAACTTTATTTCAGGCAATGAGCCAAACTCAGCTGACCATAGTTTGCTGACCCCTGCAGTAAAATGGATAATTTATTGAAGTGGCTGTTTGTGATACAAGTCATACTAAAAGACTGTGGTTTTTATCTTCTTAATTTAAAAAAAATGCCCCCATATTCATAAAGCAGTTTTGTGACAACAATTTTCATGATAGTCACTGTTCTACTAACAAATAACTCCATCCTTAACCTGACTTCTAACTCTCCAACTCTAAAACAGACATTGGTGGCCAGGTACAGTGTCTCACACCTGTAATTCCAACACTTTGGAAGGCCAAGGTGGGCAGATCACTTGAGCGCAGGAGTTCAAGACCAGCCTGGGCACCACAGTGAGACCCCATCTCTACAAAACTACAAAAATTAGCCCGGCGTGGTACAGCACGCCTGTATTCCTAGCTATTCAGGAGGCTGGGGTGAGAGAATCACTTGAACCTGCGAGGCAGAGGCTGCAGTGAGCCAAGATCACGCCCACTGTATTCCAGCCTGGGTGACAGAGCAAGATCCTGTCTCAAAAAAAAAAAAAAGATAAAGAAAAAAGACAATTAGTTATAAATTGCTTCTGTTTTAAAGGAAAACACTACCTTTTTTCCACTGAGAACTGAGAATTTCAAGGCTATATAGAATCCTATATGTCTAGTCAAAACTCTATGCTGAGAAGAAAGAAATTACAGTAATTATATGTAACTTGTTAGTTAAATGGTGAAAGGGACACTCTTTGAGGTAACATAATTATCCCAAGATAATGTCTCATATACTAGATTAAATACTGTAATTGTAGCTTTCCATGGCTTTTCATTAGCATGCCCCTGCAAAATCTCATAAATACAAGACTAAATTTGTTTTAAAATTACTAAGCTAAAATTCTTTTTGAAATAGTATGAAGTTCAAACTCATGTGCATTATACTCCTATTCTCTGACTCATAATAGTATTTTTTAAAAAGAAATTATCTGCTTACTTTCAAAAGTTCATATTCAGAAAAAGAAACAAGACCCCTGACCTACAATTCAAGAAATGTAATTCTGCTAAAATTCTATATAAATCTAGGCAAGCCACAAACTCTGTAGAGTTCCTTCTCTATAAAACAGAAATAAGAATTAAAGCTCTGACTAACCTAGAAATCTCTGATGATCAAAGGAGATTATGCAAGTTTAGAGATTAATATTAACTACCAAAGGAAAGCTTTTAAATCTGATATTCCAAACTCGAAAAATATTTAAAAGGTTAGTCATTAACCAAACTAGTACTAGTCATTATGTTAAAGCATTTTAATTATCTTTTCCTAAATTATCTGTTTCCTAAATATAAAAGCTAATGGTACTTTAAATTTTACAATGGAGAAATGGGGACAAAAATCTTTGTAATTATTACTGTATACAGTACTCTATACAGCTATATCATTACTACAAAAGAGTAAGTTATTGACCAGGCACGGTGGCTGACGCCTGTAATCCCAGCACTTTGGGAGGCCAAGGCGGGCAGATCACAAGGTCAGGAGTTCAAGACCAGCCTGACCAATATGGTGAAACCCCGACTCTACTAAAAATACAAAAATTAGCCAGGCATGGTGGTGCGCACCTGTAATCCCAGCTACTCAGGAGGCTGAGGCAGGAGAATCACTTGAACCTGGGAGGCAGAGGTTGCAGTGAGCCGAGAACATGCCATTGCACTCCAGCCTGGGCAACAGAGCAAAACTCTGTCTCCAAAAAAAAAAAAAAAAAAAAAAAAAAAGAGGTTATTTGAAAGTCATAACGTTCCTTGTGAAAATGCAAACTTAAATTAGGTATAACAGGGATTAGACAGGTGAGCCAGTGGGCTAGGTTTGGACAGCAGAATAAACTGATTCACAACAGGGTAGCCTCAGTGAGAACCTAACTCACTCGCAAAAACAAAGCGCTCAAAGAAGAGAAATTATTACTAAAAGCAGACAGTGGGGGATAGACTATTAGAAAACATAACTTAGTTTTGTTGACTTTTAATAACTAATCATCTTTTTTTGCAATTTAACGAGAAACTAAAATAAGTTTGAAGGTGATGATAAACGTACAAAATTAGACTCAATACTAAGAAATTCAACACAACTTTCATCTAATTCACACATGGCTATGAGGAAAGGAGGAAGAAAATTTCTGAGTCTTACGAAGAATGTATACACTATAAATATAGTTCCAAGGAGCTAGCATATACAAAAGGATACCTAATTAAAATAACAGCTACTAGCTACTACTAACCTTGAAGGTTAAAGACACTTTATAAATTTACTCACTGCCTCACTTAAGGTTTTAACCCTTTCTTGGGAGGCAAGCAAAGAATGACAATCCTAGCTGAATAAAATAGAAAAAAAGGAAATAAACGCATCATGAGCCTTATCAGTCTGAGGTACAAAAACAGAACTACAGCCTGTCTCTTTTACCTCTTAAGGGTACTCTCTGATGAAAAGGAGAGAGATCTGGCTATCTGCATGGTATAGTATGATGGCCAGTTGTCCCTGCAACCTTTTCTGCATAACCAGAGAAAAGCACAGGAAAGTATAAGCCTCATATGAAGGTTTCTAAACTAGACAACAATCAAGATCTGATTATGTAATAATCAGCATCCACCCTGCAATACAATTATGTATGAGTCTTCCTTACAAAAAGAATATTCTCAGACTGTGACATACCAGAATCATCCATCACTGCAATAGCTTGCTCTGCTTTATGTTGCAGAGCTAGAAGTGCAGCCTGCCGTCCCTGTAGAGCTCTTAGTTGCTCCTGCTGTTGTAACATTCTTTTTAATAAATCATGTTGTTTCTTCAAATTTTCTATCTCTTCCATAGGCTCCTGCTGAGGATCTCTGGCCTGGAAAATAAGACCAACAATACTTGTATCTGACTATTAAAATCCATGTTGCGGTTTCAATTATCAATGGCAAAGTATACACATTGATAACAAATTATTAAATATACAACCCTAAATATAGTTTTAGTAGACATCAAGAAAAAAGAGTAAGAACAGAATGATGACACAGAGATATATATATAGCCTGCCACTTAAGAGGTAATTTCACAGTAAAAAGCTACATAATCAATGGCTCAGCAGGAAGAGGAATGAACAAAAGGAAAAGAAAAAGATATACAAAACATAAAAGGCCAAGAGGGACACGGACACATGGACACACACACACACACACACACACACACACACACACACACTGAAGAATCTAGGCCCCTACAGAAAAGGAGCACATTATACTGGGTTAATGACCTGAAAGTCTTGTAATCCTAGCACTTCGGGAGGCCGAGGTGGGCAGATCACAAGGTCAGGAGTTTGAGACCAGCCTGACCAACATATGAAACCCCATCTCTACTAAAAATACAAAAATTAGCCGGGTGTGGCGGTGTGCGCCTGTTATCCCAGCTACTCAGGAGGCTGAGGCAAGAGAATCGCTTGAACTCAGGAGGTAGAGATTGCAGTGAGCTGAGACTGCACCATTGCACTCCAGCCTGGGTGACAGAGCGAGACCCCGTCTCAAAGAAAAAAGAAAAAAGGAAAAAAAAAAGACTAGAAGTAATATTTAAAAACAACAACAAAACCTAGAAAGTAGGCACACCTACTATTTCTAACAAAGGACTGAAATTTTAAAAATACATTTTTTATTTGATAATCTTATGTAAAAAGATTTTCATTTAATCACATCATATTATCAGACATCTAAGAAAATAACGAATTTTATATTCGTCATCAAAGGCATCATTATTTTCCTCTTAAATTATGCTCATTCATCTGAGTCTGATGACATAAAATGGAAGTAACTACTTCCAAATTCCCCGAAAATGCTAGGAGGTTATCATCTAGTCTAAAAGTAGAGGGATGGATTAAATAAGTGGCACTTACAAAAAATGATGAAATTTTAAGTGTTAATCTTAAAACTATTCAAAATGTAATCCAACAAGAAAATGGAAAAGCAAAGCAGAGACAAATTTAAATACAACCTGGAAACAATATATTACAAGCTAAATTATACATCGAAACGTATACCGTAATTGTATTTTTCATCACCGATTTACCTTTTAAAAAGTCTTTTATTTTAAAAGTTGAACGATTTTACCTAATATTTACATAAAATATTTCACTTTTGTTTCACTTAGTCAATTTTAAATTTGTACTGCTAACAAATTTTTGTCGGGTTATGTAAATTTCAAATAAATGACTAAAGAGAGCAAAGAAGTTCAAAGATTTCTTTTGAAAGTAAAAATGCACTGATCTACACTTGCTATGTACATTTGATTCCCAGAGAAATTATGGAGCATGCAGATGGGCTCAAGAGAAACTCCCTTCTGGGTGACATCCTTTACAATACTATATAAAAATTTCTTTACCTCCCCAAGTAGAACTCATCAGTATTGTGAATGAGCATGAGTAACTGTGGTAATATTTTACACTGTGACTTGGAAATCCATAAAATTAATAAGTAAACAAATAAGTACATGGCAAAGAGTTAAATATTCAAGAAAGTTATGATCAAATAGGAAGTTGGCTATAATTAGATTATTTCATGTAAACATCAGAGGTGCCTAGTCAGTGCCTCTCTATCCTAGACTATCTCTAGACTTCATGAGCATGGGAAACAAATAGCCTACCTGGATCTTGGTAAGCCAATATTTATTAGAGGTTTTTCTGTTGTCTTGAACCTCTAATAAACTGAAACTTTTAACAAATTAAGTACTGTTTACTCAGTTCTCTCCTATCCTATATAAGGGGAGTTACCTTGTAAATATTTACATCCATTTCCGTGGAAATTCATCCTAGTCTGGCTTATTTCCAGACAGTTTACATCATTAGGAAAAAAACAACTTTGAAGGGTAGGGATAATTATCAATAGCTAGCCCTCTCAGAATGCAGCAAAAATAATTTTATAATGATTTCATCAAAGTCAACGGTAAAATGTAAAACCAAATCAAATAGGTACAGATATCAATGGAAGGGGTAAAACAAAATCTCTCTAGGTTGATCAAATACTCCTCTAGCAAAGCATAAATTATAATTAGGAGAAAAAAATATGCAAATGAGAAAAAAGCGTACTTTCTAAAAAGTTCTTTAATCCTTATTAGTCACAAAACTGTGATAACCTAATCATAAAGAATTCTAAGCTATTAAACACAATTATCTTCAGATTTCTCACTAATCTAAAAATGAATTCTCAATTTTCAAAATTAGTGAAATATTACTACTTAATAACTTTCACATTCATATAAACAACATTTCAGACTGATGCTCAAAAAAACTGAGCCAAAAGATGGGAGTACAGCCTATGATGAAATATACAGAAGGGAGAAAATAAAAATATCTAGGTAGGAGTAATAACATACCAGGAAGATGGCACCTGGAATAGAAATCCAAAAAGGATGCTAGGTGTATATTAATTCTTCAAACACATATTTTTCTTTAAACTTTTTTTGAAAAAGTCACTTTCACCAACTATATTTTTAGTTTACAGATTAAAAAAATAACTTAGGCATCAAACCCTGAGTTGTAAATATGTAGTAGTCCAATTTCAGAGAACCCTCAATCTTCCTTTCCTCTACTCAACTGAGGTTCTCCTAGTAATTATTAATGGATCCTAATGTATTTTGACAGCTTCAGATAATTATGTACTTCAATTTCTTCATGTGAAGGTTGAGGAACTATAAGCCTAGAGAAGATAAAGTTGTGACTTATCCAGTGTCACAGTTAAGGGAAATCAGGTTCTTAGGCTCTAGTCTTCTTTACGTCATACTATCTGCTCCAAATTATGTGCTGGGTTCTAAATACAGAAGTATAAGACATCATGTCTGAAGAACCATAGCTGGTTTAAAAGACAGGGCAATCTCACACGAAATAACTAGCAATGATGAAAATAATGGCAAAACACAGGTACAAGGTACAAAGAAAGCTTATAAATTTTAAGAGGTGAGATTAAGTTGGGGGCCATGAGTATAGGAAAACAATGAACGCATGGCTACTCGTAGAAGGCTTTCTTTTGCCTTCTTCTGACATCTTATACAAGATGTCATCATGTCTTAAAATATTTCATAAAGTGGAATGTGCCCTTGGTAGGCAGCTCTAGAATATCAATCATTTCATATCATGCGTTAAGTCTCAAGGTTGCTTTCAACCTTGAATCGCATGTAAGACCCTCAACTGTGTTTTCCACTATTCTAACAGAATACTACATTTTGAAAAGATTCTAAGGAGGAAACAGGGGTGGGGTGGTAAGAATGACAGTTCCTGCAGAGTAGAGAAAAAAATAAACACAGGTGGTGAGAATTAAGATTTTTTCCCCTGAAGAAATTAAAATGTTTTTACAAATAGAATACTAACAGAACAACGAGACAGCCTTAAGAATCAAGAAAGTCAAAATGAAATAAATGCCAAGAAGAGAATTCAAAAAAGAATAATAATCACTTATAAGGATATTATTCAAAGAAACCTAAAAACAGCAAAGTGGTTTTTAAATTATATGTAATGCCTTAAGAAAAAAAGAACTGGCAGATACTGCATTAACTGTTAACTCTTAAATTTCGCTTGTCACTATTCAGAAGGATTAAAGAGAATAAAATTCCAATGGTTACCTATTATGCTTCATGTTTATTTGCTCTTCTCCAATGCCACTAGTTTTTAAAATAATCAGCTACTTTATTCACTCTACTGGTGAACTGGGGCACATTTTACTTGATATTTGATATAATAAGATTCCCATAACTAATTTCAAACTGTGCTCTCAAATTCTTGTAGGAACCAGAAAAAATAAAAAAACTGCCAAAATACTAGAGGTGAAGTTTTACCATTTGTAAATAGCCACACACACCAAAAAAAAAAAAAAAATACAACAAACCCATAAAATAGCCACAAAATGGGAAAGTGTAGTCCTAGGTAATAAACCAGTAATAAAACATATGAAATTAGTCTTACCTATACTCAATTACTAAAATAGTACTTTGCTCCTGCCAACAGATACATGCACTTTTATAAATGGTATTTTTATTCAAACTCTTTTTTTTTTTTTTTTGAGACAGAGTCTCGTTCTGTCACCCAAGCTGGAGTACAGTGGCAGGATCTCGGCTCGCTGCAACCTCCGCCTCCAGGGTTCAAGCAATTCTCCTGCCTCAGCCTCCTGAGTAGCTGAGATTACAGGTGCATACTACCACACCTGGCTAATTTTTCGTGTATTTTTAGTAAAGACAGGGTTTCACTATGTTGGCCAGACTGGTCTCGATCTCCTGACCTCGTGATCCGCCTGCCTCGGCCTCCCAAAGTGCTGGGATTACAGGCGTGAGCCACCGTGCCCGGCCTATTCAAACTCTTTTTATGTGGAACTACAAATAGTTGTCTTTAACTCTATCTGGAATGCCATTATGCAAATCATGGAAAATTAAAAAACCAATTAAACACTGCAGAAAAAACCAGCAAAAAAAGAGGCAACCAAGTCAACTGGATAATTTTTCTAAAAAAAGCAAATGAAAGGGGTTTCCAAAAATAAAAATATAAACCAAAAAATCTGACAAACTACCATCTAAATTTATTTATTTTTATTTCATTATTTTTTTTTTGAGACGCAGTCTCACTCTGTCACCCATGCTGGAGTGCAGTGGCTCACGGCAACCTACACCTCCTAGGTTGAAGCGATTCTCCTGCCTCAGCCTCCTGAGTAGCTGGGATTACAGGCGTGCGCCACCGTGCCCAGCTAATTTTTGTATTTTTAGTAGAGACAGGGTTTCGCCATGTTGGCCAGGATGGTCCCAAACCCCTGACCTCAGGTGATCCGCCCACCTCAGTCTTCCAAAGTGCTAGAATTACCACGCCTGGCCCCATCTAAATTAATAAACACAAATATCAGAAACAAAGGGCAACTGACTGATGGTCAAGGTTTAAGAACGTGTTATAAATTATACTCGCAATTTATAAAAAAGGGAATAAATTACATTTCAAAACCTTTGTTAATATAAATTAAAAACAGCTGTAAGCTATAATCCATGGAGAGGTATATAACAAAGTAGAAAAAAAACAGTAAGGGACAGAATTTTACTAAAGCAAATTACAGTATGACAACTATATTAACAATTAATATGTAAGAGTAATAGCAACAACAGAAAAGCAAATAAAGAAGAGGAAATATGAACAGAAGAAGTGCTCATTTAGAGACTTCCCAAGTTAATATTGTAAAGTATACCTTTGAGGGAAATCCACGTTTTTGGCTATATTTCCTATTAGGCCTCAGTTCCCTGTCATTCTGAGGTCTGTCACCTTTCCCTTTTGGACTTGTAGTAACGTCAATGTCTGAAACCTGTTCTTGTGAAGCTGAATTCCCTAGTTTGTCCTCAATGCACGGCCGAATTCTCAGACTAAAAGATGCCTCCTCCTTTATTAAATAGTGTAGCATATTAAATTCTTAACACAAACTCCTGTTTAACATATAAGCCAGCCTTGTAAAACAATTTAAAAAGTACCAGTCCACCTTTTTTTTAAAAAAAAAAAAAAACAAAAATCAATCCACATCCCCCTCCAAGCAGCAGTATATTTAGTCTTTTAAGTTTTCTGTAGACTAGACTGTTGCTTACTGTAACTAAGCAAGTACCACATCCTGCGGAATTACCATACCACACAGTTGTTAAAGCACATTTTTAACATTTACTCTGCTACATGTTATTAGTCAACTTTCATACCGTCATTTTATATTATGAAAGAAATTGCCATCACAATGAATACTTTATATAAATTACAATAAATCTATACAAGTTCCCACTCCTCCCCAACAGAATTCCTTTACCCACATCGTCCTAACCCTTCCATTTCTGCTGGAACCTAAGGAAGAAATTATGCCTCGCACCACTGTAAATAGAAAAAGAATTTCCCCACAGTAAAATCCATTCTTCAACAACTGTTTGGATCAGGCTCTCTAAGTATCTCCTGTTGAAAATAATGTAGAGAAAAGAAATCCAAATCACCTCTTCAAATTAGGAAGGTCCGGGAAGAGAAAGGAGGCAGGTAAGAATTATGCAGGTCAATACTAATAGGAAACAAACCTTCAAATTCCTAATGCTGAATGGCATTTTGAACACCTCAAAACCCGAAGAGATATATGCTTATCCTCTCAAAACAAAAGCTTTACTAGCCTGTAATAGGTGTTAAAAGCTTAATAATGCATGGTTATAGGCACGCCTGTTTAAAATGCCTAAAAACACCCTAGCATTGAACCACACTAAGTTTTAGAAATCTTTCCTCAAAGTTCTGTAAATTACTATTCTTCAGAAAAACAGTACTTCAACAAATTCCATTTTGCCAAGTCAGCAATTACAGCATTTTTCTCATTGTGAATAAGTCACAATGTAAATGCTATCCTGTCCCATTTACTAGTCTTTCTCTCGATTTTTCAGTCATCTGGTTTTGCTCCAGTACTAGGATAGAGCCCAAAAAATGAAAAATTCTAATATCCTTAACGTGTCCTCAGTGACAAATGAACTTGGTTATTTCCAAAAGACTACATGCTAAGTAATCACTAATGTTGCCTATTGCCCTTAATTCCACCATCCATTTTAACTTCCTCGATGCTTCTTAAAATTAGTGAAGCTTTGCTTAACAAAACAAACTACAAAAACAATGTTTCTATAAACTGAAGATCAAAAATTACATTTTCAAATTAACCATTAAAACTATTTTTAGTGTTAATAAATAAAACTTAACTTCCGTGTTTAAATACAGAAGAACACATACAGCATTAACAATTTGAGGGGTTCTTCCCTGGAATACACTTTTCATTAAGGAACGCCTATAAAAATAACATCTTGAAAACTGGGAGAAAAATTTAAACCTTCATTTCCAGCACTTTAATTACCAAAAAGCCGCTTACCGTGGTATCTGAAGCCTCAGACTGCACATCTATGTTTAGCGATGTGCTCTCAGCTACAGAACCAGATCCCACAGCTGAATCTATAGTCCGAACATCCTCCTCCTCATTTTCTCTAGCCTGAAATATTTTAGCGGTATAAATCATACAACTATTAAAATGGGCAATAAATTGTTATAATGGATGGCATGATTTTTTGAAAATATGTTAACTCCTCTGGGGTGGCATCAGAATGTCATCAGTAAATACACACTGAGATACTACAAAAATAATATGTTATTTTAAAAGTCGAATACTTACAAGGATTTTTTTAAGAAATTTCATATATGACTTCTCTTGTTCTTTAAGGTGATCTATTAGATGAGTAAGGCGCTCAACATTAGCAGATCTCTCATTTTTCTCTACAAGATCTTCCCGCATGGAACTAGCTTTAGTAATATAATCGCGAATTTGAACAAGCCTGCTTACAATCTGCAGGGGAAATATTTTTTTTAAAAAAAGCATGAAAGTACACAATATATAAAACTAAGGATAATTAGTTCAATAGCAACAGTTTTACAAATTTTTATTTCGAAGATAACCAAAGACACTTGGATTATTGTGTGAATTAACACATGCAAAAAATCTGAATCCAGCTTAGATTTTAATCAAGACATAATTGGTAATACTAAAAACTCCAATCACTGTCAATTCAAAAATACATTTCAAAATTTTAATCTACAGTATCTGAAAAATTTTACTTCTACAACTGCATACAATTTTTTATATAAATTTTCCTAATGTTTATAAATTAATTAAATGTATTATAGTTTTACAACTTTTCAAAAGAATATTTGCCATTTTAAAAAATTCCTACAAAAATCTATTAATCACTTTCCTTCCAATCCCCCTTTACTAAAAACTGGCAATATGCTATTTTGTAAATAAACAGAAGCCTTTAACTAACCTGAATATGCCATTTCTAAAATATTTTTGGATAAACAGAAATTTACTCTATTTTAAGTAAATCTGGCAGATTAACAAAGGAGGTCAGTGAAGCACTTTAATTCCACCCAACTAAAATTCCTGTGTGCGTAACCTAATTTTCTAAACCTTACTGTTGGTATTTTGAGGTTTGTGTAAAGAATGAGCAAAAGAAACAAACGTTATCACCTGGCTGCTCTCCATTGCAGGTTCTCCCCTCCCATCTTCTTCAGACACCTGACAGTTTTGCAAGAGGTCATTACTTAAAGCAGAAGCAAACAACTCTTTACACTGTGCTGATCCAATCGTTTCTCTGTTTGGGGGGTTTGTAGATGCATCTTTGCTCTTGTTAGTATTAATCTGCATAGGCAAAAAGTTGAAGGGCTTTCGGTTTTCACTAAGCTGACGTTTGTTGTTAGCAGCTGTTGCTCTACCTTGGGAATCACTTCCAATGCTTCTCTATATATGAAAAAGAAATCAAATCACACAAACATTAACCTTATGACAAAATTTTGTTTTAACCCCAATGTTCTTAGTTTCGCCATCAGATATTGATTCAGAAGGTGCACACAAAGAGCTTTGCACTAAGACCTGAAAGAGCTTTGGCTCTGTAACAGTCTTTCACTACAATATGAAAATTTGATTAGCATTTTCTAGACTTCACTTTGCTGAGACAATTCAACTGACGAATATGAACAAGGTAAGTCTAAATGAAGTACAGCTTGAGTACCCCTTATCCAAAATATTTCAGACAAGAAGTGTTAGGAGTTTCATTTTTTTTCAAATTTTGGAATATATGCATAAACATGAGATATATCTTAGGAAAGAGACCGGAGTCTAAACATAAAATTCATTTATGTTTCATGTGCACCTTATACACATAATCTGAAGGTAATCTTATACAATATTTTTAATAATTTTGTGCACGAAACAAAGTTTTGACGCGTTTTCACTGCAGACCATCACACAAGGTCAGGTGTTAAATTTTCCACTCATGTTGGCACTTAAAAAGTTTTGGATTTTGGAGCATTTCGGATTTTCGTATTAGGGATGCTCAACGTGTCCTAGGACCATGGATCACACTTTAACTCATATTGCTTTTTATTACTTGCTTATAGTATTTTTATACGCTTTGGACCCAATGAATCAATGTAATTAAAGTTGTGTCTACATGAAGAACTGTCTGAAAAAGTATTCAGCTCAGTGCCTGATATACAGTTAAGTGTTCAATAATTGATAAATAGATATAAATAAATGATACATGATCATTACCAACATCATTATCAGACTTGAATCTACCTTTCTACATTTTTGGAAATGTGTGTGTCTCTATGACATATAGATCTAAGAGTAAAATATCTCTCAAGAATTTATTATCATTTCTACTTGTTTTTAGATCTAAACTTTATTTTGGTGATTATAAACAGAAAATAGTTTCATTCTAAACTTGAGGTAACCCAGCACATCCCACACTTAGCCAATGATATATATACTAAACTGGAACTTTCCATTACTTAATACCATTTTATTCAGTTACCAAAATGCAAAATTTAGTTGTATAGTAAAATCACTTGAGTTAGTCATATAACATAGTATAAAGTCCAGAAATGCATGTCTTTAGCAAGTTTAGAAATGGGACTTCATTTCCTTCTAAAGAAGACAGGACCATCCCCAGTGATTAAAATTCTTTCCATAGGCACAGAAACTTTTTTTAAAAATTACATAAACAGCTCAATTTTTTATTCCTAAGACAAATTATTTAATCCATTTCAAGTATTTCTCACAGTAATAGCTTCATTTTTAAAAATAATTCACAAACCTGATCTAAATCACTGAAGTTTATCCGCTGTTTCAGTTTCTCTAATTCTGCCTGCTCTGGGACAGACATCTGACTCATGTATCTACTGTGTGGGAACGTATGTGGAGTCTTTGTTCTTCGCCTTCCAACTCCTGGTGACGACTCCGGAGAAATATCATTGGTTACTCTTTTATCACTTTCTACACCAAACTTTTTCTTATTCTTTTCTGATGATCTATTTGCTTTCTTCTGTTGGGCACCCCAATCCTTTAAAAAAGTAAAAGCAAAAATTAACATGGCCTGTATCAAACCAGGAAAATAGATTGGTATAATTAAAAAGTTTTGGTCAGTTTTAAAATTAAAAAAGACAAGACATTTTTGACAGACTTATACTCCTAGAGACAAATATTTACTTCTATTAACCCATTTTCCCCTCATTACATCTACCTTAATTTTATAGCCCATCCTTCTGAAAAGAGATTATTTTCTTATCAAGATCACTAACAAATACAAATCCTCAAATGCCAACCCTAAAATCAATCTGAATATTTCCAAGAGGATTTTTTTACATTGTGATTTTCTATTATAAATAGTGAAATAAATTACAGATACCTTTACCGATCTCCTATAAAGTCAGTACGTATCAAAAAGAGATCTGAAATCAAATCAACCTAGGTTCTAAACCTAATTACTGTTTTCTGAAAAAACACTCCACTGTGTGACCCTAGGCTATTTATTTTGCTTCCTATAGTCTCAGTTTCCTAATCTCTAAAATAGTGTCACCTTCAAAATAGGATTAAAACTAATTAGTACCTAGCATTTAGTAAGCAATAAAGACAGCTATTATTTTTATAGGTAAAAATGTACATGGTAACAGCTAATATGGAATTACAAAAAGTGCTTATAGTTTCAAATAGAAAACATTTTTATTTACTTAGTTAAACTCACATAACCTAATTCATTAACAAAAAGGTCTGTAAATTCCCACTTTATCCAACTGGAAAATTCTTTTAGTACTAGTATAGTAAACCACTTGGGATATTTTCCTTATTTTAACAAAACCCCCTTCTTTATGAACTGTCCTTCCACCCAATCTATGAGTGAATATTCCTGCCAACCTGTTACACTACTTACACCTCACCCCACCCTCGCCACAGAAGACTGAAAAAAGAAACACATATCTAATCCAAATTAGGATAATCATACTACAAAATTTCAAATTGGAACTAAGAGGTAACTAGTCAGTACATAACTGCACCCATAACTAAAAGGTTTAGAACAATGGGACAGCCACAGTATATCACATGGACCAGAGGAGAGAAAACTGGTCTGTAAAGAGAAAGGTGTGTTAGGCAGATGCACTCAAAAGCAGAGTTAGGGTGGTGAAAACGTAATTCTTGATAATTTCCCAATTCCTTCTCCAAATCCCTTCCTAAAACCCAGCTGCATGTCTTAAACATGGTTTCCATAAAAAAAACACTTTTACATCTTTATGTAACAGTAAATCTGCTTTGGGGCTTAAAAACTCAATTTGATTTGTGTCTTCAATTAATATAATAAACGGCCCAGGGTCCCTTAATGTCTTGGCCAGCAAGTGTATACAAAGAGCATCAGTGAGTTAAATTTGGTCAGGGGGAAAACTGCATTTTAACATTAATAGCCAACAACACACCATGAAGAGTAAGGAATCATACCATATTGTTGAGCCTGTCATCAACATTCTCATTACTCCAGTTTGGTAAATCCTGATCATTCATGCCATCTTCAAAGGGACCTCCTCCTGTGGCCATACTGGATTTAACAATTAACTCTCTGCGAAACAAGTTAAGAACTGAGCTTTATAACACATAAAAACAAATTCAATTTTCAAATCATTCCATGAAGTTTAGCAATACAATCTTTGAAGCACTGATTTTTATGAACTAAAATGAGGCACTGTCAACCACATCACAGACAAATTGATTTAGCTGTGACAGGCATATTATGATTAAAATGAGCTAGGTAGTTGGAATGACAGAGAAGGAAAGGAAAACCCCTGAATATACCTTGTGAGCACCAGTCTGCATGCTTGAAGATTACTTACTTAATTCAACACAGTTCCAAAGGGTAGAACAATAAAGTAGGAAAAGTGTCATAAACAGCTAGACCCAGAACTTCTCCCAGGAAAGAAAGTATCTCTGTTCTGACAATGGACTTGGGATGAAGATGATACCCTGAAAACACAGGCATTAGTTGTATGCCAAAGAGTCAAAGACGGGAGAACTGCTCTGCAAGAAACAAGAAGAAAATTTTGGTTTTAACAGGAAGGTACAATAGCAAGATGATAAGAAGGTAGGGAAAGAGAAGCAGGACTAGGGCCAAAACATCCAAAAGTGCAGTGGCTAGAAGACATTTTAAGAATAGTGATGCTTACTACCCTAGTTTAATTTGTATTAGTGCTTTCTCTAAATCTTGGTAAAGACTACCAAACTCTAATCCTCCCCATAAAAATGGGGTTTTTGCTTGTACATGTGAAAATCAAGAAAGGGACTGAATTTCCTACCTGGGTCAAAGAGATGAGAAAAAGCAGCAGCAATGGTGGAAGTAGAGGTTCAAAGGCAGAGATGATCATCAGAAAGTAAGATTTCTGCATAATCTTGCAGAAGACTTTGGATTTCCACTAGCTGTGGAATTGTACAGGTTGAAAGGGTGCTAGCTGAAAGAGGAGAGGTTGAGATAATTTTATCTAAAATTCAAGGGACATGAAAAGTCATTAAACTACACACAAAAGCACTGACATTCAAAAGAGACAGTTTGGCCAAGGTCATTCAGCTAAAAATGGCAATAAAAAAATATTAATAGGCTGGGTGCAGTGGCTCACGCCTGTAATCCCAGCACTTTGAGAAGCTGAGGTAAGCGGATCACTTGAGGTCAGGAGTTCAAGACCAGCCTGGCCAACATGGTAAAACCCCATCTCTACTAAAAATACAAAATTAGCCGGGTGTGGTGGCAGGTGCCTGTAATCCCAGCTACTCGGGAGGCTGAGGCAGGAGTATGGCTTCAACAGAGGAAGCCAAGGTTGCAGTGAGCCGAGACTGCACCACTGCACTCCAGCCTGGGTGACTAGCAAAAAACCATCTCAAAAAAAAAAAAGATTAAAAATTAAATAAATAGTAATAATGATAAAAATCCAAGTTGCTTTAATTCTAAGACCCTAACTCATCCCATTCACTAGAGAAAAAATATCAAAAGGATTATCAACTCTGAAAAAGTAGAATTTGTCCCACAGATGTTTTGATGCTAGAATATCTATTAGAATAACATATTACTTTAACAAATTATATAGCAAATTAAATTTTATCTCAAAATAAAAATGATAAAATTCAACGAAGTATTAATTTTAAAAATCTTAAAAATCACAAATACATTGACCCTTCCTGTTATATTTCACTCTTTTTTTAATGAGCATATATTACTTTAATAATTCTCTAAAGAGTTGAAAGTAAGTATAAACAAGCAGTCAACATTATGCTTAAAATAAGACATGAAGGACATCTCCAATAAAGACCAAAATAAGAATGCTACATATCAGTTACTTGGCATTCTTTCAGAAATTCTATCAAGCAGACAAATATGAAACAGAAATATTACCACTGAAAAGAGAAAAGGTGGTATTCTTAAAGAGTAGGTATTTTTTAAAAATCTAGAGAACGTCAAAATATCACCAATACCACTTAAACGATGCTACTTATAATAGTGACAAATATATAAAATAACTAGGAGTAATAATTTGGCTCTATGTCAAGAAGCACTATTAAACTCTATAAAACAATATGGGAGAAAAAATGTGAATAAGTAGAAAAACTATCTTCCATGATGGGATACTAAATATTACAACCAACCACTTTTTCTAAATGTAGATTGGCTTAATGTAATTCCAGTTAAGATCCCACTGGGATTCTCCTTAGAACTTGACAAAATAATTCTAAAATTTATCTGGAAGAATAAACATATCGGAAAAAAAAGTTACCATCTGTAAAATAAAAGCAAGGATAGCAACAGAGGTCAGGAGGTTAGAATGCTAATCCAAATTAGCTGTCTATATGGTTTCAACAATGCTGTCTATATGGTTAAATCAGTACTAGCTCAGGAACAAAAACCCTCAAATACATGTAATCAGAAAAATGTAGTAAGAAAAACTAGTAACAGCTAACGCATTTTATTTTGCTTACCACATGCCAAACACCATGCTAAAATATTTCACGTCCATTATGTCATTAAAGCCTCACAACAATTCTATGATGTAGGAGTGAGCACTGATACAACAATTTGCTAACAGATTTGAAAAAGATACATTTAGAGCTTTAACAGTCTTCCTTAAGTGGTATTCTTCACCTCAATCATAGAAGAGGGGAAAAATCGTTTGAGTCACTACTTTCTCAATTCTCCCAAGGATGGTACATATCCAGTACCATCCATCCCAGACACACAGAAAAAAAGTTAATTCACAGTAAACAACAGATGCCTTAGGGTATTGGAGCTTAATTCTCTCCCAACTGAGAAAGGCTGCCTTATATCATACTATCAAAATAGTCAAAGATTAAAACAGAATTTTAAACATCAATTAAGATTTTAAAAAGACAAGAAAATTGAATGGTTTTTAAAAACAGAGAACTTACTAAATTTAGAACACAAAGAAATAAAAAATAAAAAGTTCAACAGATTTTATTCACATAAAAGTAAATTCCTAAGTGTGCTGAGAATAGTAAATGAGAGCTTGGGAGAAAAAAAAATCTCAAAGAAATACTAAGTATAGTTAATACCTTTGTTATACAGAGAATTTGTTTTAAAAAAATAAAACCGGAGAAATATAAGCAAAACAAGTAGTTTGCAAAAAAAAATACGAATATATAAAGTCCAGCTGCAAATTAAAATAAGAAACTATTAAATTTGCTAACTTTCATATAAATTACATATTATCTAATCCTAATGACAGTAAAAGGAAAATGGAATTCTCAGACACTACATTGAGAATATAAACCAGTATAACATTTCTGGAAAGCATTTTGGCAATACTGTATCAAGAACTAAAACTGAATTTTTGACGCAGTAATTCTACCTCTCTATATGCAATCTAAGAAAACAACCTTAAATATGGTGGAAAGAACTATAATGAAGTTGTTTATTACGCTATAATTGTGATAAATTAAAAAACAACACTAAATGTCAAATGACAAAATCAATGCTATTAGGCAAACTGTACTACACTTGCTGGGTAGAATACTAAGTACCCTTCAAAATATGTAATTATGAAGCCTGGACAATATAACCTGTCGGTGTATCATGGAAAAAGTAATATAAAAAAGTAAAAAAGCAGTATGAAAAATTATACATAAATTTTTTTAAACAAAAGCTAAGAAACTTTATTAAAGTGCTTTCACAAAAGCAATTATTGGTTACAGGGTAGGCACTGGTGATTTTTCTTCTTTTTTTCTGTCTCATATTTTCAGGAACAGTTTACGTAATTATTTATACTAGAAATATATTTTAAAACTTTAAAAAATAATACCCATAGAAGTATATCCAGTGAACCAAAATGACTCATTTAAATAAAACATTTTGCAACTACTGTATTCTACATATACTGACATAATTTGTAATACTGAAGAATAAAACAGCCAGGCAACAGAAGTGATGCCATATTTAAAAGTACTAAAAGCAATTGTTTTGAAACGTAAATTGGAAGGGAAAATTAAGATATTTAAGTCAAAATTATTACATATCATTTTTATCTTAAAAGAGTATGTTAGCAATACTTTCTATTAATAGAATAATGAAGTAATAGTAAAGTAAGATAAATGTATTAAGAATATATCTGGGCCAAGGTCGGCGTTACCACAAGGTCAGGAATTCAATACCAGCCTGGCCAACATAACGAAATCCTATCTCTACTAAAAATACAAAAACTAGCCAGCCATGGTGGCACACGCCTGTAGTCCTAGTTACTCAGGAGGCTGAAGCAGAAGAATCAATTGAACCCGGGAGGCAGAGGTTGCAGTGTGCTGAGATCACGCCACTGCACTCCAGCCTGGGCAAGAGCAAGACTCCATCTCAAAAAAAAAAAAGAATATATCTGGAGAAAGAATGTTTTACGCATTCTATTTCCCTATCACAATAAATTCCCCCTAAAATGCAGAGCTTGTTCCAAAGACCTATTTCTGGCTAACGACTTTGAACACTACTAAAATAAGTTTCTAAAACAATTTTAAAACTGTACACTCTAATTAGTTTGGGAAAAACAGATGATTTTTTTAGTATTTTTTAAAACAAAATTTACTAAAGTCTAATCTATCAGGTTGGCAAAATGAACAATTTCATCCACTGTTACACTGTGATTGCCATAGGGGGTAGAATACTTTGTAACTTAATGATGACACCAAATGTGTTTAAAAGGCACAGCATTAGTATGCCTTTAAAAAGTAAAACTATTAGTATGAAGCTAAAGAAATAATTGCATATGGATGAATTCTTTTTTTTTTTTGGAGACAGAGTCTTGCTCTGTCACCCAGGCTGGAGTGCAGTGGCGCCATCTGGGCTCACTACAAGCTCCGCCTCCCAGGTTCACGTCATTCTCCTGCCTCAGCCTCCCCAATAGCTGGGACTACAGGCACCCGCCACCACGCCTGGCTAATTTTTGTTGTATCTTTAGTAGAGACAGGGTTTCACCATGTTAGCCAGGATGGTCTCCATCTCCTGACCTCGTGATCCGCCCGCCTCGGCCTCCCAAAGTGCTGGGATTACAGGCGTGAGCCACCGCACCCGGCCACATTCACAACATTTCCCAAAAATACTAAGTATCTCCCTCATAAGAGTAATGGCATGTTATTTCTCTTCATGTCAACCTCTTTAACCACCTAAATGTCACCATTACAAATACAGAATCTCTGCCTTCTAAATTTTATTCTGTAAACACATTAATATAAACTAGTACTTACAAGTACAGAAAGTATTCCAGTAACGGTCAGGCGCAGTGGCTCACGCCTGTAATCCCAGCATTTTGGGAGGCCAAGGCAGGCGGATCACGAGGTCAGGAGATCGAGACCATCCTGGCTAACACGGTGAAACCCTGTCACCTCTACTAAAAATACAAAAAATTAGCCAGGCGTGGTGGCGGGCACCTGTAGTCCCAGCTACTCGGGAGGCTGAGGCAGAATGGTGTGAACCCAGGAGGCGGAGCTTGTAGTGAACCCAGATAACACCACTGCACTCCGGCCTGGGCGGAAGAGCGAGACTCTGTCTCAAAAAAAAAAAAAAAAAAAAGGAAGTATTCCAATAACGAAAAGACTAAGGATGTACAGAATACCAATTCAAGCAAAACTGCTGTGCAGGATCAATAGGAGTTGGTGACTATAGTCCCCACCTTATCTGCAGTTTTGTGTTACAGGATTATAGTTCCCCATAGTCAACCATGGTCAGGAAACTGGTGAGTAAAGTACGTTATTTTGAGCGACAGAGACCACATTCTTGTAACTTTTATTACAGTATACTGTTGTGACTATTCTGTCTTATTAGTTATTGTTAATCTCTTACTGAGCCTAATCTATAAATTAAACTTTATCACAGTTACATACATACAGGAAATAACATACACATAGAGTTTGGTACTACCCACAGTTTCAGGCATGCACTGGGGGTCTCTGGAAGGTATCCCACACAGAATAGGGCAGACTACTGTATTACAACACGGGCGATAAAGAAGCAGAAGAGTTAAAGGATAGTAGAGTTAAAAGATAAAGGATAAAGGTTGCTAGAAACTGGGTATGTGACACACAGTTAAACTGATCAGAAAAGAAACAAGTTTTCTTTGTTGAGAGAGGATGATGATGAGTTCAAGTTTTAGAAATGGAGAGTTTGATGTGCCTATAATACACCCAATAAAATTGTCCGGTTGACAAATAGCGATCTATCTCTCAACAGAGAAATCTGGGCTGGAGAGTCATCCACTCAAAAAGTGGGACAGAGGACTCAGGGAGACGATAAAGAGTAAGAGAAGACCAGATCTTAAATACACTGGTATTAAATAGAGAGGCAGAGGAAAAGGACACGCTAATACACTAATAAGGTACAGAAAGACAGGAGGGAAACCAGGAGAGCCTGCCAAAAGGGGAAAAGTGTATCAAGTAGAATGTGATAAGAAACCAAACAGTTACCTTGCCAGATAAGAGAAGTACTGAGAAGTATCCTCCTAGATTTAGCAACAAGGTTACTGTTGACTTTGGTGAGAAATTTCAGCAGGGGTAGTGAGGGTCAATTCCATAACTGGAATGTATTATTGGAAGGAAGAGGGAAAAAATAAAGAAAGTCATTAGCTAATATTTTTAAGGAATCAGCCTATGATGAGAAGCAAGCACAGACGGTCATAAGGAAAGTTTTATTAAAATAGAAGTATCTTGAGTACGTTTACAATTTGTTGGTAAGGAGGGAGATACTGGTCGGGTGCGGTGGCTCACGCCTGTAATACCAGCACTGTGGGAGGCTGAGGTGGGTGAGTCATCTAAGGTCAGGAGTTTGAGACCAGCCTGTTCCAAACTGCGAAACCCTGTTTCCACTAAAAATACAAAAATTAGCCAGGTATGGTGGCACATGCCTGTAATCCCAGCTACAAGAGAGGCTGAGGCAGGAGAATCGTTTGAACCCGGGAGGCAGAGGTTACAGTGAGCGGAGATAGTGCCATTGCACTCAGCCTGGGCAACAAGAGAGAAACTCCGCCTCACTTTAAAAAAAAAAAAAAAAAAAAAAAAAAAAGAGGGAGATACTAAAAATGCAGAAGAGAAAGGAGATAAGCAACTAGCATGTGGGCTCTGAGAAAGCGGGGGCCATTGGGGTCTAGAGCAAAAGACAAATGATTAGCTTTAGAGAGGAAGAAGAACATCTCTTTAATTGAAAAAAACCAAGAAAGGATGGAATGGGTTGGAGGCTGCTTAGCAGATGTGGTGGTAGGAAACCAAAGGTGTTCCTAAGTGTTGTGAAGTAGGAAGGACTGTACATTAAATGTGAGGGTGAGACAGCAGTGTCTGAGAGAGCGTAGAAAAGTAGGGAATGGAGAATGACCGTGGGCAGCACTACGGACTCAGGGAAACGAGAGACTATTCACTCATATAACACATACTACAGATATTTTTTTCCAGCAGTGCTCATATCCCTCAATATAAACACTCCACTGAATCCACCCAAGGTTGAAATTTTGCCATGCAAGTTAAACAGAAAGACAGTAAGATAAGAAAGTTGAAACTGTAGGAAAACAATTGGTAGAAGTGATTGATGACAGTACTACGGGTAGCTGAACGGGGATAAAAATAAAATCCTTCTACTTTAAACACGCACTTCTACTCATGCTATGCCTTACTAAACGAAGTTGAAACTGTTACTTTCAAGTTTCATTTAGCTATTTTTAACAGCCTTAGTGGTTTTTTTTTTTTTTTTACAAAGACACAAAAATGAAAATATACTATGGCAATTTTAAGCTACTTTCAATGACTTTTTTTTTTTTTTTTTTTTAAGAAAATCCTGTTAGGCTGGGCGCGGTGGCTCACGCTTGTAATCCCAGGACTTAGGGAAGCTGAGGCGGGCGGATCACGAGGTCAGGAGTTGAAGACTAGCCTGATCAACATGTTAAAACCCCATCTATATTAAAAATACAAAAATTAGTCGGACGTGGTGGCACGCGTCTGTAATCCCAGCTACTAGGGAGGCTGAGGCAGGAGAATCACTTGAACCTGGGAGGCAGAGGTTGCAGTGAGCCAAGACTGCGCTGCTGCACTCCAGTGGGTGCCAGAGCAAGACTCCATCGCCAAAAAAAAGAACATCCCGTTGCAGGATTCTAACTATAGAGACATATTACAGTAGAATATCACAGTATTAATTACCATGAAAATACCTATGACTACAGTTTACCTTTGAAATAAGAATATAAGGTAAAGAAGAAATTCAAAGTAATCAAATAATCAGGCTGGGTGCAGTGGCTCACACTTGTGATCCCACCACTTTGGGAAGCTGAGGCAGGCGGATCACTTGATTCGCCTGGTCAACATGGCGAAACTCCGCCTCTACTAAAAACGCAAATATTAGCCACGTGTGGTGGGGCGTTCCTGTAATCCCAGCTGTTTGGTAGGCTGAGTAAGGAGAATCAATTGCTTGAACTCGGGAGGAGAGGGATGCAGTAAGCCAAGATAATGCCACTGCACTCCAGCCTGGACAACAGAGCAAGACTCTGTCTCCAAAAAAAAAAAAAAAAAAATCAAAGTGATCAGTAACGAAAAAAATTATTTTTTTCTCAAATGGCATTAAATTACTCATAATCACCTCTGAAAATATCCAAGATATGCCTGTACTTTTCCTGACAGTAACTGGCGCATGGTTTCACTTTCTACTTCATTCCCTGCTTGCATGAACTAAACACTTGCAATGACTTTTCTAGGACTCTGGCCTCAATTCCAATATCCATCTCATCTTCTCTATTCCAATACTGAACTGATAATTTGTTCAGGATCCTGAACTTCTGAAGTTCCTCTTTCTGATCATAAGTTTTTGCATTCTACTTCTCTCACTTGATTCCTGCTGAAACTGCTCTTAGCCTT
This sequence comes from Homo sapiens, assembly GCF_000001405.40. Classification (NCBI taxonomy): domain Eukaryota; kingdom Metazoa; phylum Chordata; class Mammalia; order Primates; family Hominidae; genus Homo; species Homo sapiens. Next base: position 17,926,784 of record NC_000008.11, on the reverse strand, counting down.
CCTGAATACTACCAGCCCCTTGATCGTTTCTCTCTCCCTAAATCCATCAATCCCTTGATTCTTTACTCAAACCCAAACCCAACTAAGTCATTGCAAAAATGCCTTGCTAGCTAGCATCCTTCACTTCCTCACCTACTTGCGTACTGTGTCGACTCAATTCTGGCTAAACTCCACTGTCTGTTTTCTCTGCTACTATTCTCAAGCTGTCAAAAAGTGGGGAAATGATCATAAAATGGCATTGCCTGTGATCACTATTAAGATATACTACACTCTACATACACATAGATACTTTTAAAATGTAAATTTACTCCATGAAGAAAGGCACCCTGTCTGTTTTGCACACTGTTTTATCTGTAGTAGTCATTACATAGCACGTTGCCTAGCACTCAAATCCGTAAAAATGAAAGTACTGATAGGTATTTCTGGTTGTCTTCTTAGTTCTGTACTGTGAATCTCACAGCCTTACTAGTTTCTCCAAGTCTCAAATCCACTTTCCTCCTTCAGAAAAAAATGGCCAAATCTCCTATTGAAAAAACCCAGGTCTTCCAATTTAAGTTAACTCAATTACCCTTTATTTTTATTCGTCTTATCCATCATCTTCCCCAATGTGCTAAAAGGAAAATCTTATAACTAATTTTGTAATTATTGTTTATTTTACTAAAGCCCACCATACAGCAATCACTGTAGTATTAACAACTCTAACACACACATTCACATGTGACCTTTCCCTTGAGTTCCATTTTTCTTGCCCTGTTTTGTTAGTCTTCCAGTTTAAAAAAAAAAAAACCCACTGAGAATTATAATTAAGATATACATCAACTACCTATTCGTATTTTCTCATGACAGTCTCATTTCAGGTCCTCATAGGAGAGCTATAAAATAAAAATCTGTCTGCTTTTGTAGAAAGCAAGAATATATATTGATTTCTACAAAAGTTTCTTTTTTTTTGAGACGGAGTCACACTCTGTTGCCTAGGCTGGGGTGCAGTGGCACAATCTTGGCTCACTGCAACCTCCTGCTCCCAGGTTCACGCCATTCTCCTGCCTCTGCCTCCAGAGTAGCTGGGACTACAGGTGCCCGCCACCACGCCTGGCTAATCTTTTTTGTATTTTTAGTAGAGATGGGGTTTCACCATGTTAGCCGGATGGTCTTGATCTCCTGACCTCGTCATCCGCCCACCTCGGCCTCCCAAAGTGCTGGGATTACAGGCGTGAGCCACTGCGCCCAGCCAATTTCTACAAAACTTTCAAAATGAACTTTCTTAAAATTTTAAGAGTAGAATTAAATTTAGGTTATTTATTTCTGAGGTTTTTTTCTGAAGAGCAATTATTTCTAAAAAGCTTTTAACAAACTTCTAATTATCTTTTAGCCATTTTTCCAAACTGCCCTTTGCAAACAATTATTGAACTTCTCCTAGTGAACTTACATTCTACAACACTGACTTTATTCTGCTGGACAGAGAATACCTTTATGTCACTTGCATGTGACAATGTACTATGCGCTAAAAGTAATGTTTCAAGTAACTTTATACCAGGAAAGGGAGATCGAAGTACAAAAAATAATAATAAAGTAATTTTAGACAACTAAATTTCGGTCAAGGTATAACAAGTTCGACAAGTAGAGTTCATGAACAGCCAATTAATAGGAATGTTGTAGGAGAGAACTTGAGATTAAATGGATTTGGAAAGAGAGGCTATCCAGTTATAGGACAAATTCAAACAGGTTGAAAAAATTCTGTGAAGACAAATAAATTTCAAACGGTACTGCATAAACCATTCTAGTAATTAATAATTAGGAATGACAGGGCCTTTCCGAACAAAGATATACCGGCAGGCCAAAGCAGCACGCCGAAAAGCAGAGCAAACAGGGCGGTGAACCCAGAAAGTTTGTTTACTAAGCAGAGAGGATCCTCAGTCATGCACTGTAACTGTGACAGCAGTGTCCACCATAAAGTCTTCTCCAACTCTAATACAAAGGATAATACAGATAATAATGTCAAATTACCTGTTTAGAAACTAGTTTTTGCAGCTCAGAAACTGCTCCTTTCCCGCTCCACACTTCAAAGCTGTTTCCTAATTAGGATTAAAAATATGTATCACTTAAGTAAATTACTTACGCTATGAAATACAGAATAAAAAATACTTCAGTTTTGGTCTAAAGTATGTTTAGAAAGATCAAAAGAAGGGGAAAAATATAACTTATTCATATTTTAAATTTAAGTTACCTCAATTCTTTTGGAAAATAGTGTGATATGCATAAATGCTTAAATCCCCTAAACTTCTGAAATCTTACCAAACAGCAAAGTGATATCTATTTCGGAACAGTGTAACAAAGATGGTTAGCCCTAACTATCCTTTAATAGTCTATGCCAAAGTTTACTCCTCTGATTGATCGAGCTTCCTGTTACTCAAACTATGTAACAACCTCGTATATCCGATGATTTTAAAAATGTTTGCTCATTTAAAAGCTACTGTACTTCATAATAAAATAACCTCGTCACTACATAAATACCAGGTTTACCTTCAATTCAAAAACTCTGTATTATATTGGTGTTCAGGGGTCCTCACCAGGAAGGTGCTAGGGAAAGAAAGGAGCAGGTGCACCCGAGGCTCTGCAACACCCACTCCGGTAACCAGAGAACACCAGCAGGCGGAGTCTGGAAAGCGGTTATGGGGCGGGGGTGGTAGGGGCGCCCAGAAAGCCCGCTCCTTCCAGCGCCCAAACACGAACCGTCACCCGTAAGACACACAATACAGACCTCAACTCGCTCAAAAAAACAAAACAAAACAAAAAAAATTAAACCAGGCGAGTTCCTGGGGAGTAGGCTGAGGGATGCAAAGTTGGCGCGCCCAGCCTCCCTGGCGGGGCCTAATCCCCAAACGCCAGTTTCTGTAAACCAAACAACGTTTCCCCCAGTCCCACTTGGCATTTAGTCTTTCCCGGTTCTAGGCCCAATTCTAACTAGATAGGTAGGAAGGGAGAAAGAAGGGGCAATAATTACTCCATTAACCTTCCCAGGAACGCCTCCCCCGGCCCATCGGCTCCCACAGCACCAGAGACGGCGGAAATCCTGCAGCTCACAGCCCAACTGCAACTCTTCAGAGTCGCGTCGCTCCTCATCCGCCCTTCTACACCCCAAACTCTGGACACCGAGAGTTCCACAGAGGGAACGCGGGGAAGAACTATGGCCACCAAGGCCTGTTTCTCTAAGAACTCGACCCAGTGCCCCTAGCACCCAAACCAGAGTCCCCGCTCCGCTTCCTCCGCCCGCAAGGGGTATAGCCGGAGCCACCGGGACGCAGAACAGCCTCCCCGACAGGGCCAGCAGGAGGGGCGAGGAGGCAAGAAGGGAGTCCTGCAATCACCAACGCGTCGCGAGGTGCTCACCCGGGGATCCCGGCGATCAGTCCTGAGGGAGCGGGCGGACTGACCGCCTAGGGCACGGGAAGCCCGGGGCAGGAAGACCCGGGAACCTACAGAGGAGGCGTGGGCCCGTGGCCAGACCCAACAGGGCCGAGTGTCCCGGAGCCGTTACTCTCCCGCCTCTGGGGCGCGCCGCCCTAGGTTGCCAAGGGCTGGGGACGCGCAGGCATTACCTCTACAAGAAGCAGCCTCTCCTGTCAAAGGCAGAGCGACAGTCAGCCCCCACGACCCGCCGCCGGCAGCGGTCGGCCCTCGGAGACCGCAGCAGAGAGGCCCACACGTTTCCTGGCTGCCTCGGCCCCAGTGGCCGCCTTTTCGACCTCAGCTACGCAGCGCCAACCGCCGCAGCCACCGCCATCTTAGGATCTCATTGTGGTGGGAGAAGAGGGGCGGGGGTACTGCAGAGGGGGCAACGCGCGGCGGGACATGCGCCGTCTCCTCGGCAACGGCCGCGCGGGGGCGAGAACTCGCCCGGGCGGGAGCCGCAATGCGAGCTAGACTGGAGTCATGTGACCCGCCGGAGTCTGTGGTGTCGCTTCTGGCTCTTTAAGCCGAAAAGAGATTACACCAACGAATCCGCCCCCACCCGCCCAGGAACTATGTATCCCAGAATGCCAACTAGACCTCGCGTTCTAAACGCCTGCCGGCCACAGGTGGAGGACTACAAATCCCAGCATGCCGTGCGCTTCCGGCGCTGATCGCGGAGCGTGGGGCCCTAGGCCTATGCGGAAGTGCATTGATCCCTCAGCCCGTGGAGAAAGAGCGGAGGCGCTGTGCGGTTTTCCGTGGGGGTGTCAGCTCCGGCCCGTGCCGGAAGAAGGAGCCAAGACCGGGATCGCTTTTTTGCCCCTTCCTCACCCCACATTCGGTCACGAAGAGGTGGAAACAAAAGGACACTTACAATGTAGTCCAACCTCCTGATTTTACATATGAGGGGATTGTTCCACGGAAGTTAAACAATTTGCCAGACGTCATTATGTATCTACTGAGTGAGAGAATCATAAATATTGTTGATAGTTAACGCCACTTTTGGTTAATGTCCCTTTTCCTTAAAAGAGCCAGATGATTTTAATCCAAACTTAATTTCAGTAAATTTTCTCTGAACTATCTTTTTATTTATACTCTCCTGTTACAGCTCTATTAAGATTAATAAATTGGCAGGTCCTCCCTTTAAAAAACAAAAATCAATAAAGTCACAAGGCCTTCAATGTGCCTGACTGGAAAGGTAAAACACCTGTCAGTTTTAGTTGAGTGCAAGGGCATTCTTCTAGTTTTACGCAGTTTATAATTATGGAATAACTTTTTAAGCAAAATAAAGGTAAAAAGAAGAATTGCATTCTGGGTTTCAACAACAAAAACAAATTGTTCCCAAAATAGTAGGTCTGCATCTCAGTACGCAATTCACATAAAGCTCTTCTATCCCACTGCAATCTGCCACCGTAGGTTCAGTCGTGAGTGCATTGATCGTTGGTCAGACACTTTTTCCTCATATTCTGTGTGTGTATCGCTAACTACTGCGGTAGCAAAAATATAGTCCCTGCCCTTGAAGAGCTCATATTTTAGTGAAGGATGCGGAAGTGGAGTGTGATGTAAATAAAGTTTGTGTTGTAAGAAAAAGTGCTGTGGGAGCTCAGAACACAGCAGCTAAACGCTCAGGTGTTTATTGTAGTCCAGAATGCCCTATCCTAATTCCACCACTCCAAGATCCTGGACAAGCGACGTGCCTTTCTGAGCCTTAATTGCCCCATCTATGAAATGAGGGGGAAGGAATGATACTGCCTACCTTGAAAGGATTTTTTAAAAAATGTTCTCAGAGTTTGTTTTATGCCAGGCACACTGTAAAGCACTTCGGCTGTTGTGATTTTCTTGATCCTCACAGTTACCCTGAAGAGGCTGGTTCTGAATCTGACCCGTTTTGGCAATGAAAGATTATATAAATCAAACTTGTAGCAGCTGCAAGTGGTAGAGCCTAAATTTAAACGGAGGTCTATGTGATTCCTTTAAGATTTTTTTTAATTAAATACAACGCATATAAAAACACTAGTATATGTTGAGGCCCGAAATATTAGCTATCATCATTATTTTGCTTTATACATATGTATTATTATTAAACGTATGTAGAAGCTGTTATCATTAAAACAATTCTAATAAATTCAAAAGCGTGAAATTATAATACGTACTAGTCATTATGTTTTCTGAATTTATGAAGCTCCAGAATGTCAATACTATTGTTTATTAGGAGGTAGGAGGAATTTGAGAAATATTTACATTGAAATGTAGAAGCTGTTATCATTAAAACAATTCTAATAAATTCAAAAGCATGAAATTATAATATCTACTAGTCATGATGTTTTCTGAATTTATGAAGCCCCAGAATGTCAATACTATTGTTTGTTGGGAGGTAAGAGGAATTTGAGAAATATTTACATTGAAAAGGGGATCTCAAACTCAAATATGAGCATTACTGATCTTTGTAAGGGAAGAAGGAAAGAAAAAAAACAAGAAGCGATAAAATTATACCTGGCTTTCAGAAATTTAACATCTATTTTTAGAAACAAACTTTATCAGAATGAATCGACTTAGTGTTAATAGTCCGTCACTATGCCAAACAAATGATGTAGACACTGATTGCTGTGGTAATTTAGATTTTTAAAATAGGGATGTTTTGTCTCAGAGATAATGATAGCTCTAGGATTTATAGGTAGGATGAAATTAGGGGCAGCAGTCTGTGGAAATGTAGATAGGAAACAGAAGAATGGCCTCTAAGAGATAAACATTGAAACTGCCTTTCAGTTTTCCACATTCAAGAGAACAACCTAACACATGTATTAAATATGCAGGGGGTGGAAGTTCCAAATTGCAGAATGATGTTCAAGGAAGTGGGATATACCAAGAACACAGATCACACATCCAGAGTAAGCAATGGACAAAAAACAGACTGGCTGAAGTAGAGGATTTATATATGGTAAGTGATGGGGAGGTGGGAGAAGGCAAGGTTTATTACCAGGTTGGGGCCAAACTATAGAAAGTCAACTACTTATCTAAAGAGTGTGGACTTTGTTCTTCAGTTAGTGTGAAACCATTTGAGACTTTGGAAGAGGTCAATGCTGTAATGAAATGGTTATTTGAAGACTTCAATCTAGTGGCAATGTTTTGTAAAGACTAGGAAAAGAAGACAAGGAGAACAGGTGCCAACCTGTCATGAAGTAATGAAGGCTTGGCCTAAGGTAGTAGCAGGATGAATAAAGTAAGGGATTTAAATTTTTATTCACATAAACTAAATCAGTTGTTATGATGTGAAAATACTATTTCTGTTTCTTGATATTTGGTAGGACACTAACCAGGTGGTACTTATAAGATAACACAGCCGGGCACGGTGGCTCATGCCTGTAATCCCAGCACTTTGGGAGGCCGAGGCGCGTGGATCATGATGTCAGGAGTTCGAGACCAGCCTGACCAACATAGTGAAACCCCGTCTCTACTAAAAATACAAAAATTAGCCGGGTGTGATGGCATGTGACTATAATCCCAGCTACTCAGGAGGCTGAGGCAGGAGAATTGCTTGAACCTAGGAGGTGGAGGTTGCAGTGAGCCCAGGTCACACCATTGCATTCCAGCCTGAGCGAGACTCTGTCTCAAAAAAAAAACAAAACACTTGGTGCTATAATGTTTATCTCTTTAATGTATTCTGTATGCTCCTTATCCACAGATGGATTGTAAGCATGTCTGTAACAGAAATCCAGCCGTTTGTACTTTTTAATCTTTGAAAAACAAGTTTTCTGCAATACCTAGTTTTAACCTGCAGATGGTGACAGAACTTAAAGGAAAAATCTTCAGGGACAAATCCACTACTTTATAACTGCATGTTATTTGTTTTTATTATGTGATTTTTTGATACACCCAAAAGAATATATAACATACATGTAAACTCTATAGTACAATACTGACAACTGGGCGCATTATATGCCTGTAATCTCAGCTACTTGGGAGGCTGAAGCTGGAAGATCACTTGAGGCCAGGAGCTCCAGACCAGCCTGAGGAACTTAAGGAAACTGTTTCTACATACATACATACATGCATACATAAAGTACAATAACGAGCGAAACACTCAAGAACCCACAACCTAACTTTGAAAATAGAATTTAATCAAAACGTGTCTGGGTACAGTGGCTTATGCCTGTAATCCCAGCACTTTGGGAGCCCGAGGCAGTTGGATCATTTGAGGTCAGGAGTTTGAGACAAGGCAACGTGGCGAAACCCCGCTGCTACTACAACTACAAAAATTAGCCAGACGTGGTGGTGCGAGCCTGTAATCCCAGGTAGGTTGAGGCAGGACAATATCACTTGAGCCCGGGAGGCAGAGGTTGCAGTGAACCGAGATTGTGCCACTGCACTCCAGCCTGGTGACAGAGCAAGACTCTGTCAAAAAAACAAAAAAAAAAAAAAGAACTTAAGATGTTTAAGGACTGCTCCCTGCCACATTTTCTTCAAACTCTTTCCTCTTTGCAGACATAAATACTATCCGGAATTCAATGTTATTGAATTCCTTCATTTTATTCATGTAACTATGGATATCCCTAAATAATATGTTTTATTTTGCTTGTTTTCAAGCTTTATATAAATGATATCATACTGAATGTATTTTTGCTTTACTTGCTTTTTTCATTCAACATTGTGTTTCTGCGACTCATCCATTTTAATGGGTATAAACCCCAAATTTATTAAGAGCAGAACGTAAAATTAATTTTTGAATATTCCTGAAAAATATAACTTGGCTTTCTGGGTAACTTAATGGAAGAAGAGACTGGTCATGCCAAACAAAGGACTAATTGGAGGCCTCTGACCTAGTTCTTACACCTTTTGGTTAAATTGTAGCACGGTTAACTTCTCTACCTTTTAATCTAGCCCAGAGTTTCTTAACCTTGATACTATTGACAGTTTGGGCTGGGTGATTCTTGTTGTGGGGCGGTTCTGTGCGTTCCGGGAGGTTCCGCAACATCCCTGGCCTCTACCCACTGTATACCTAGAGCAAACCCCTGTCCATTGTAAAAACCAAAAATGTCTCCTGACATTGATTGCCAAGCATCCTCGGGAGTTTGGGGAGGGAGATTTTTCTCCCATAACTCTTTTGCTCAAAAACTTAAAAGTTGATGTATATAATCTAATCAACCAGCCATTATATAATTATGTCAACGAATTCTATCAAATCCACATGCGTAAGTAATGTTTCAAGGCTCTTTTTACTTTGCTCTGTTTTCCCCAGATCTAATTATCAGAACATCTCTCATTACTGCCTAGTTTTGATTCTTTATTATTAGATTTGAAAATACCTAATTACTGCCGTCGACATACAATATTAACGTTTGTAACGGTCTGAACTGCCTCTTCCTTCATAACCAATTTATGTTCTTTTCTTTCAAAAATCACTCATTTAATGGATGTAACCTTCGTGATTCTGACAATTTCATCTATAGTTGCATTTCATCAGTTTTCACATGGCTTTACTTCTACAGAGTTGTGATTACTACATGATTCTTCCTGTATTTTTCTTGTATGTATGTTTTTACGTCATCTTCTCTATTCACTGAAAATGTGGTCAAAGCTGCAATCATGTAGTAAAATCTTGAGTAAATTGCTTCCTTCCCAAGACACACCAAGTTGGAGAGGTTTAAACGGAGAGATATGAGTAACCATTTTTTAAAACTACAAGGAAAATAATCCACATCTTTTTCCTTGTTTCCCACCAGCACTATACCAAAACAGTTAAACCAGAACTATGTAACTAGATATATGTTGGTAATTAAGTAGAAAAATTGGATAATTAGGTGAGGGAGTTCCAAAAATATGGAAATATGGGCTGATACAGATTTTGTTTCCTAATTCATAGGAAAAATGTTAGAAAGGCATGAAAATTAAACCTCAGCTTTCACTTTAAAAAAGCTGTTAATCAAAACAAAATGATATGAAATAAGGACTCAAAATTATCATGGTTATAAGGAATAATCTGGAGTGATTTTATAAAAGTTGGTTTCTGGGTCAAATAAGTTTTTATTCACAGAAATAAAGAGATCTGCAGGTGACAACTAGATTTGTAATATGCATCCATACGGACTAGCAGAGGAGTATGTGGCATGATTGGGGTTACAATGATTCATGTTAAATTCACGGCATTATGTAGGAAAGCTACAGCTGTATATATTATAATTTTTTTTTTTTTTGAGACAGAGTCTCGCTCTGTCGCCCACGCTGGAGTGCAGTGGCACGATTTCAGCTCACTACAACCTGCGCCTCCCGGGTTCAAGCCATTCTCCTGCCTCAGCCTCCCAAGTAGCTGGGACTACAGGCACCCGCCACCACGCTTGGCTAATTTTTTGTATTTTTAGCAGAGATGGAGTTTCAACGTGTTAGCCAGGGTGGTCTCGATCTCCTGACCTTGTGATCCACCCACCTTGGCCTTATAATTTTTTATTTTACCGTAAAAAGGCTTCCACATTGCATTTCTCCTTCCATGAGAAAGATCCCAAAGTCAGGGGAGAACTAGCAAAACACACGTGAATTCAGATTAACCAGGTAAGAGAAAATGCCCTCTCCTTACCAGAAGAACTAAATAATTTCCAGGGCTAAAAACCAAGGACGTTGGATGGCAGGCCGGTCTATCCAAGACTCTCCCCAATCTAGATAAGGAAACAAGTAAAACTCTGATAGCGGGTGAAACACACTGGTATAGAGGAGAGGTTTGTGGGTCAAAACAGGGGCTTGGATGTGGGCCGAGGTAGTCGAGGGCCAGCGTACAGTGTGCCTGTTTAAGGATTAACAATATATGCTTTAGAATAGTGCTTTATTAATATAGTCATGAATCATAAGAATAGCTTGTGCTTAGTCCAACAATATAAGAATCAGGCGGTGAGCTTGCTTGACTGACCACAGAGTGGAACAAACAACCGCAGGAAGTGTGCGGAGCCTCTAAGCAAGAAAGCTTGCTTATTGCTCAACCTCCCACTTGAGTCCCTGAACAAAGGTCTCGTGGGAAGGGAAGCGACCCCTGCTCCATTCCCCAGAAGGGAACAGCAGGAGGCTGCTTGTAAAAGAGGAGAAGTCCTCTGCGGTAGAGATGAGGAGGAAGTCTTCTATCTCTCGCTCGTTCCCAGAGGCGGAGAGCTCTGCTGCTCTGCTGATGGTGCTTGGAGTGGACCACTCCTTTGATGCACAGGCCTGTGGTCTGACGGGCTATCTGCTTTCACATCCTGTTCTGTTAAGCCCCTCTGCCACCTCTCCCCATGGTCACTCTATGATCACCCAACCATCTGCCCACCCTCAGCCCATAGGATCAAAGGAATTGTACTCAATAAACATCAGTGGAATCCAGAGCTCAAGGCCTTCGCAGTTTCCGTGTTGTGATGGAACCCTGGACCCACTTTTGTTAACTCTTGAACTTTGTGTCTTTATTTCTTTTCTCATTCCTTCATTTCCACCGGGAAGGGGAGAACACGCATGTGGTGTAGCGGGCTGGTTCCCCTACATCTTTGGCACCCAGTGTGGGCTCCTTGTACCCAGGTGGAGTTACACCTGAGCATGGTCATTGCGGAGACCAGTCTGTCGAGGGACTCCCAAGAACGTGTGGTCGGCCTTGCGGTAAGCTTGTGTGCTCGGAGTATTCCAGGGACACCATGGGACAATCGGGAAGTAAGCACTCTGCTTACTTACACTTTATCAAACTCCTCTTAAAGAGGGGGGTAATAAAGGCTAGCACAGAAAACTTGATTACTCTGTTTCAAACAGTAGAGCAGTATTGCCCTTGGTTTCCTGAATAAGGTACCATGGATTTAAAAGATTGGGAGCAGGTTGGAATTGCCTTAAAACAAGTTCATAAGGAAGGAAAACTTATTCTTCTAACGGTCTGGTCAGACTGGGCTATGGTTAAAGCAGCCTTGGAACCGTTTCAAATGGAAAACGAGGTTTATCCTCCGGCAGAAAGAATTCCAGCGGAGGAAGGCGGTGCTGCCGCCAATATAAATATAAAGGAAGTTGAAGGAGGAGAGGATAGTGAAGAAGATTTTGAGGAAAGTACAGACAAACCTGGAGATGACTTAATTTCTTTTGAGGAGCATGTGGGACCTCCAGCTGCTCCTAAAATAGAGAAGCTATTTATGCCAATATGTTTAAAACAAAGAAGGGCCTTGAGGAATCTTTGGCTCCTCATTGGGATCATCCGGAGTGGCCACCTCCAATAAGGCAACGTAACCTGGAGCCTTGGAGGTTTGAATCTCCAATTTGCCCTGTTTCACGAATGGATAAATTAGGGGCTCAGGAATCAAGAACACGTTTTGCAGCACCAGTACAGCATAGGGCTGCACTGCCACCTAATGTCAATGAATCACCATTTCAAATGGTTATTCGGCAGGCTAGGTTAGCTGGAGATCCCGATGCCTGGCAGTTTCCAGTAGTTTTGGAACTCCCACAGCAGCAGGGTGGTGCCCATCAGGCGGTATGGGAACCATTTTCTTTTAAGCTGCTTAAAGATCTCAAAGCAGCTGTTGGTCAGTAAGGTCCCAATTCGCCTTCTGTCCAGTCACTATTACACTCAGTAACTCAGGACAAGCGATTGGCCCCGGACGATTGGGAGATTTTAGCAAAAGCTACTCTTTCGCCCTCCCAATTTCTTCAATTTAAAAGTTGGTGGACCGATGAGGCTCAAAATCAAGATCAAAAAAACCGTGCTGCTAATCCTGTTGTTGCCATTTCACTTGAACAACTGTTGGGAGTTGGGGGCCAATGAGGAACTGTACAACAATTAGTGCTTCAGGATGATGCCGTTGAGCAAATTCGCAATTGTTGCTTGAGGGCATGGGAAAAAATTCAGGACCCGGGAACTACTTATCCCTCTTTTAATTCTGTCAGACAAGGCTCAAAAGAACCGTATCCTGATTTTATTGCTCCTCTTCAAGATGCAGCTCAGAAGGCTCTCACTGATGAAAGTGCCAGGAAGGTGATTATAGAATTCTTGGCTTATGAAAATGCCAACCCTGACTGTCAATCACCTATTCGCTCTGTGAAAGGAAAGGTTCTGGTGGGAGTTGATGTAATCAATGAGTATATCAGGGCATGTGATAGATTGGTGGAATCATGCATAAGGCTATGATAATGGCTCAAAACATGGCAGGATCAAAGGTGGGAGATCCAGTGAAAAACTTTTCAGGCAATTGTTATAACTGTGGGCAATTTGGAAATACAAAAAAGGAATATAAGAACAAATCAAACAAACAATCCAGATCTAATCAAACAAAGGAGCCACCTGGCTTATGTCCCAGGTGCCAGAAGGGTAAATGTTGGGCTAAACGGTGTCACTCCAAATTTGATGAAAATGGCCAACCCTTGCAGGCGCAATTGGGAAATGGGAAGAGGGGCCAGCCTCAGGCCCCACTCCAAACTGGGGCATTCCCTCTCCAGCAGTTTGTCCGTCAGTGGGCACCAGTGCCCTTAATCCCTCAAGTGACCACCACAGTAACATAATTGGCGCCAGTTACAACAGGGGGCGCTGCTTTAGATTTATGTTGCACCAGAGCTGTGTCTCTGCTTCCAGGGGAACCACCTCAAAAGGTGCCCTCTGGAGTATTTGGCCCTTTACCTGAGGTAACAGTTGGACTTGTTTTAGGGAGATTTAGTCTAAATTTAAAAGGAGTTCAAATTTATACTGGAGTGATAGATTCCGATTTTGTGGGAGAAATTCAATTGGTTATTAGTTCTAGTATTCCTTGGAGTGCAAGCCAGGCAGAGAGAATTGCTCAATTGTTGTTATTACCTTATTACCTAATTGTTGTTATTACCTAAGTAGGAGAAAGTACAGTAAAAAGAGAAGGTGGTTTCGGCAGCACTGATAGCAAAGGAAAAGCAACTTATTGGGTAAGTCAAGTTTCTGAAAATAGACCTGTGTGCACAATAACGATTCAGGGAAAACTCTTTGAAGGACTTGTCGATACAGGCGCTAATATTTCTGTTACAGCCCTGGATCAGTGGCCAAAAACATGGCCCAAACAGAGAGCTTCTATGGGTTTAATTGGAATAGGCATGGCATCTGAAGTTTATCAGAGTGTTACAATTTTACACTGTTTAGTACCAGATGGACAGGAAGGCACCATCCAACCTATAATTACTGCCATTCCCATTAATTTGTGGGGAAAAGATTTGTTACAACAGTGGGGTACGGAAATCACCATTCCCTCTATGATTTACAGTTCAGAGAGTCAAAGCATGATGACTAAGTTGGGGTATACTCCTGGAAAAACATTAGGAAAGAATGAGGATGGAATAACTCAGCCAATTGAAGCTTCAGTTAAACTTGACCGAAAAGGAATTGGGTACTCTTTTTAGGGGCGGCCACTGTTGAGCCTCCAAAGCCCATCCCATTGAAATGGAAAACTCAAAAACCTGTGTGGGTTGATCAGTAGCCGCCTCCTCAGCAAAAACTGGAGGCATTACATTGACTAGCAAAAGAGCAATTAGACAAAGGACATATTGAACCTTCTTTCTCACCGTGGAATTCCCCGGTTTTTGTAATTCAGAAAAAATCCGGTAGATGGCGCATGTTGACCAACCTACGAGCGGTTAATGCAGTCATTCAACCGATGTGGGCTCTCCAACCGGGGTTGCCATCCCCAGTCATGATTCCAAGAGAATGGCCGGTGGTAATAATTGATTTGGGTCGGGCGCGGTGGCTCACGCCTATAATCCCAGCATTTTGGGAGGCCGAGGCGGGAGGATCACGAGGTCAGGAGATCAAGACCATCCTGGCTAACACGGGGAAACCCCATCTCTCCTAAAAATACAAAAAATTAGCCGGGTGTGGTAGCGGGTGCCTGTAGTCCCAGCTACTCCGGAGGCTGAGGCAGGAGAATGGCGTGAACCCGGCAGGCGGAGCTTGCAGTGAGCGAGATCGCGCCACTGCATTCCAGCCTGGGCGACAGAGTGACACTCCATCTCAAAAAAAAAAATTTGATTCGAAAGATGGTTTTTTCACCATTCCTTTGGATCCCCAGGACTTTGAAAAATTTGCATTTACAATATCTGCTATAAATAATAAGGAACCAGCTACTAGGTATCAGTGGAAAGTTTTACCCCAAGGAATGTTAAATAGTCCTACAATTCGTCAAACTTTCGTTGGGAAGGTCATTCAGCCCGTCCAGGATCAGTTTCCTGATTGTTAATATTATTCATTATGTTGATGACATTTTATGTGCTGCTACAAGTAGGGATAGACTTATCAAATGTTTTTCTATGTTACAAGAAATGGTGGGGCTTACAGTTCTCGCTATAGCGCCAAATAAAATTCAAACTACTACACCCTATCATTACCTAGGAATGAAGGTGGAGGAGAGAACAGTTATGCCTCAAAAGGTAGAAATTCGTAAGAAGTCCTTAAAAACTTTAAATGATTTTCAAAAATTATTAGGAGACGTTAATTGGATAAGGCCCACCTTAGGAATTGCCACTTATGCGAGGTCTGACTTGTTTGCTTTGCTGAGAGGGGATCCAAATTTACATAGCAAAAGAACTCTGACGCCTGCAACAGCTTCAGCTGTTAAGAATAATTGAGGAAAAAATTCAAAGTGCTCAAGTCAGTAGAATAGATCCTAGTGTTCCCTTACAGCTCTTGGTGTTCCTACTCTCCATTCTCTTACAGGAGTGATTATTCAAGATGTTGACTTGGTTGAATGGTCTTTTTTACCCCACAGTACAACTAGGACTTTTTCAATTTACTTAGATCAAATAGCTATTCTTATAGGCCAAGCCCAATTAAGAATAGTTAGATTCACTGGCACAGATCCAGATAAAATTGTAGTTCCTTTAAACAAAGCACAGGTTCAACAAGCCTTTATACATTTATCAGAATGGCAGTCTAATTTAGCTGGTTTTGTTGGCCATATAGATAATCATTACCCTAAAACAAAAATTTTTCAGTTCCTAAAATTGGCTACCTGGATTTTACCTAAAATAACCAGTTCTATCCTCTTGGAGGGGGCTGTAACTGTCTTTACTGATGGCTCTCAGAATGGAAAAGCAGCTTATACAGGACCAGAAGAAAAGGTTATTCAAACCCAGTTTCATTCTCCACAAAGAGCTAAGCTACAAGCAGTTATATTTGTATTGGAAGATTTTGATCAACCTGTTTATATTGTCTCTGACTCTGCCTATGTGGTTCAGGCGACAACAATGGTAAAAACAGCTTTAATAAAATATATTTCTGATGATCAGCTAAATTTTTTGTTTAGTTCACTTCAACAAGCAGTTAGAGTTTGAAATTTTCCTGTTTATATTACACATATTCTAGCTCACACAAATTTACCAGGACCTTTAACCCAATTAAATAATCAAGCAGATTTATTAGTGACACTTGTTTTAACAGAGCCTCAAGAATTCCATTCATTAACTCATGTAAATGCTGCTGGATTAAAAAATAAATATTCATTTACCTGGAAACAAGCTAAAAATATAGTGCAACATTGTCCGCAATGCCAGGTGCTACAGCTACCTACTCAAGAACCTGGAGTTAATCCTAGGGGGCTTAAACCAAATGCTCTTTGGCAAATGAATGTGACTCATGTCCCATCACTGGGAAAACTTTCTCTTGTGCATGTTACTGTTGATAATTTCTCTTGGTTTATCTGGGCTACGTGCTAAACTGGAGAAAGTACAGCTCATGTAAAACGACATTTATTATCTTGTTTTGCAGTCATGAGTGTGCCACAGAAAATGAAAACGGACAACGGACAAGGATATTGCAGTAAAACTTTTGAAAGTTTTGTTCAGCAATGGAAATTTGTACACACTACAGGAATACCCTATAATTTGCAAGGTCAGGCCACAGTAGAAAGGGCCATTCGGACTCTTAAGACACAATTGGAAAAACAAAAGAAAGGGGGAAGCAGTAAGGAGTATACCACGCCCCATAGGCAGTTACAATTAGCCCTTTTGACTCTAAATTTTTTGAACATTTCCAGAGATCAGGTCTCCACAGCAGCGGAACAACACTTTTCTGGACAGAAAGTTAATTTACATGAAGGAAAAACGGTCTGGTGGAAGGATACCAGAACTAAAACTTGGGAATTAAGAAAAATTATGACGCGGGGAAGGGCTTTTGCTTGTGTTTCACCAGGAGACAATCAAACACCCATTTAGATACCCAATAGACATTTGAAATTCTGCAATGAACCCTACACCGACCGGACAGAAGAAAGGGAAGAATCCAAAGAGGAAGAAGACTGGTCCCTCCGACCTGTCCTTTCGGGAGCTGAGAAAGATGACGAAGCTGAGCGTCTCAGAGAAACAACAGAAGACGGAGAAGACCCGCCAGGCTACACCACCGACATGAGAACAGATAAAGAAGCTGACTCAAATGGCAGAGGGCAGCCTAAAGGAGAAACAACTGGCAATTATCCCGGGTAATATGATCTTGGCTGCCTTGATGGTAATTACCGCGGCGGTAAGTCTCCCTGCTGTCTGGACTGAAGAAAATTTTACATACTGGCTTCTGTTCCATTTCCTCCTTTAATTAGGCCAGTTACTTGGATGGATTCCCCTATTGAAGTTTATACAAATGATAGTATTTTGGATGCCTGGGCCGATTGATGATGGCTGTCCTGCACAGCCTGAGAAGGAGGGTATGTTGATGAATGTAACTGGTATGAATACCCTCCAATTTGTTTAGGAATTGCTCCTTGATGTTTACCATTGCAAATACATAGTTGGATAATCTATGTACCTCCTCATAATCGTTCCCAACCCAGTTATCACGTAGTGAGTGGAATGTCTTTCCAACCTATCATGACTGTAAAAACTTATGGGGATGGTTATTTTCGGTCAAATTTAAAAGTAAAAAATTACAAATCTCAAGGACTGGCTTGTCCTAAAAGAAATCCAAAATGGTCAGAAAAACTAGAGATTCTTGCTTGGGACAACTGTGTAGCAGATGGTGCAGTAGTTTTGCAAAAGGATTCTTATGGAATAATTATAGATTGGGCCCCCAAAGGATCCTTTGCCAGAAATTGCACTGGACAAAATGCTGGGTGCGCTGAGGATTCCTTCATGATAGATTATAGAGAAAGTCCCAATAATCCCCCCACTTTAGTTAGAAGATTGGAATCACTATATCCATTGAAATGGGAAGATAAAGGTACTGCTCCTCCCTGGCCAAAGATAATTAGTCCAGTCATGGGTCTGGAACATCCAGAATTGTGGAAGTTGCTTATGGCTACCTCCGGAATGAGAGTGTGGAAAGGGGAAGCATCATGGGGAACAAGAGGTAATAAGCTACTGTTTACCATGCTTCTTCAGTCTAATCAGTCTATTTCTCTTCAAAGTTGTGTTAAACCTCCTTACATGTTAGTTGTTGGAAAACTTATCATTTTACCTGACTCTCAAACCATTACTTGTGACAATTGCCATCTGTTTACTTGTATTCATTCTACTTTTGATATGAGGAATAGCATTTTGCTGGTCCGAGCACGAGAGGGCGTTTGGATTCCAGTTACTCTTAATAGGCCTTGGGAGACTTTTCCCTCTATTCATGTAATAACTGGAGTTTTAAAAGGGATTCTTAATCGTACAATAAGATTTATTTTTACTTTAATTGCTGTGATTATGGGCTTGATTGCTGTCACCACCACCGCGGCTGTGGCAGGTGTTGCCTTGCATTCTTCCATTCAAACTGCTCATTATGTTAATGCCTGGCAGAAAAATTCCACCAGATTATGGAATTCTCAGGCAAAAATTGATCAGAAGTTGGCCAATCAAATTAATGATTTGAGGCAAACAGTCACCTGGATAAGAGATCGTTTTATGCATTTAGAGCATCGTATGCAAATGCAATGTGATTGGAATACATCTGCTTTTTGTATTACTCCTTATTCTTATAATGTTACTGAACATCAGTGGGAAAAGGTCTGATGCCACTTACAAGGAAGAGAAGATAATCTAACCCTGGATATAACTAAATTAAAAGAACAGATTTTTGCAGCATCGCAGGCTCACTTAAATTTGTTGCCTGGAGCAGAAATGCTTGCTGGAGCTGCAGATAGGCTCTCGGAGCTCAATTCTATCAAATGGATTAAAACTCTGGGAAGCTCTGCCATTGCTAATTTTGTTTTAATTTGTGTCTGCTTATGTTGTCTGTTTTTAGTCTGCAGATGCGGAAGGCAGCTCCTGAAAGAAAATCAAAACCACAAGCAAGTTATGATTGAGATGGCTGTTTTAAATTTAAAAAATGGGGGAAATGTGGGTCAAAACAGGGGCTTGGATGTGGGCCGAGGTGGTTGAGGGCTGGCCTATGGTGTGCCTGTTTAAGGATTAACAAAATATGCTTTAGAATAGTGCTTTATTAATATAGTCATGAATCATAAGAATAGCTTCTGCTTAGTCCGACAATATAAGAATCAGGCGGTGAGCTTGCTTGCCTAACTGCAGGGTGGAACAAACAACCACAGGAAGTGTGCGGAGCCTCTAAGCAAGAAAGCTTGCTTATTGCTCAACCTCCCACTTGAGTCCCTGAACAAAGGTCTTGTGGGAAGGGAAGCGACCCCTGCTCCATTCCCCAGAAGGGAACAGCAGGAGGTTGCTTGTAAAAGAGGAGAAGTCCTCTGAGGATAAGGGGAAAGTCTTCTATCTCTCGCTCGTTCCCAGAGGCAGAGAGCTCTGCTGCCCTGCTGATGGTGCTTGGAGTGGACCGCTCCTTTGATGCACAGGCCTGTGGTCTGACGGGCTGTCTGCTTTCACGTCCTGTTCTGTTAACCAATTAGTTGGACTTTAAGGATTATCTGTAAGTTAAACATAGAGTATTAGCTTATACAGTGGAACAGTAAATAATATTAACTTGCTGATGACGCATGCTACCCCCTCTGCCACCTCTCCCCATGGTCACCCTGTGATCACCCCACCATCTGCCCACCCTCAGCCTATAGGATCAAAGGAACTGTACTCAGTAAATATCAGTGGAATCCAGAGCTCAGGGCTGTCGCAGTTTCCACATTGCGATGGACCCCTGGACCCACTTTTGTTAACTCTTGAACTTTGTGTGTTTGTCTTTATTTCTTTTCTCATTCCCTCGTCTCCACTGGGAAGGGGAGAACCCGCGGGTGGTATAGCGGGCTGGTTCCCCTACAAGGTTGACCAAACTTTTTCTGTAAAAGACCAGATATTAAATATTTTCAGCATTGTATGCTATACATTCTGTTGCAACTTCTCAACTCTGTGGTTATAGAATGAAAGCAGCTACAGACAGTATATAAACAAATGAGCATGCCTATATTCCAATAAAACTTTATTTGTAGACACTGAAATTTAGATTTCATATAATTTTCACAGGTCACAGGATATCGATCTATTTGTGATTTTTTTCAACTACTTAAATATATAAAAATGGACCATGGGTCGAGTTTAGACTGTGGGCGATACAATAGTTTGTTGACCTCTGATGTAGAGCACTAAACACTTAAGTTCTTAGATAATTAATGTTAGGTCAGAGGAGAAATTAGCAATGGAAGAAAATTCAGTTTCATTACTTTACAGGATGGTTATTTTATGAGTACTATTTTGAACTAATAGAAAGAGAGGGTATAAAGCCAATGTAACCGAATGATATTTGTAGGTATTAGTTTGTACCATATATTTTCTTTCTTTTTTTTTTTTTTTTTGAGACAAAGTCTCACTTTGTCACCAGGCTGGAGTGCAATGGCACAATCATGGCTCACTGCAACCTCCACCTCCCAGATCCAAGTGATTCTCCTGCCTCAGCCTCCCAAGTAGCTGGGACTACAGGCATGCACCACCACGCCCAGCTAATTTTTGTATTTTTAGTAGAGACAGGGTTTCACTATGTTGGCCATGATTGTCTCGATATCTTGACCTTGTGATCCACCCACCTTGGCCTCCCAAAGCGCTGAGATTACAGGCATGAGCCACCATGCACAGCCACTGTACCATATATTTTCTTATATACTGGATTTTGTTTTTCCCCATTCAGACTAGAGGTAGGCATGCATTTCCTCTGCGGATTGTCACAGCCAGCAATATTAGAAACAACAGATGAAAAAAGATTAAAATCAGAGAAGCTCCCACTCCCACAATTTGCCGGGGTGGAAAGAGGATGAATTGGTGGGAAATCAAAAGAATGTGATGTTTTCCCTTGCATTGCTGAAAAGGAAGCGGGGGGATTTGCGGCAGCAATCTGTGTAGTCCCTCAGGCTGAGGTCCCAGTGACTAGAGCAAGAATAGACAGTTGTAGTGATATTATACCAACTTCACACCACCCCAAACCCCAGAAATCATATGCAACCCCCAGACTGGAGAGAAACTCTAAATTGTCTGATATCATGCTGAAAGCAGTAGAGAATCAGATTTCTCTGAGCCCATGGAATGGAGCCTTGAAATTCAATTAGAAAACAGCTGCAGTTATTTCACATGTAAATTGTCAAAAGACACATATCCGCTTTACTAACATAGAACAAGTATCAGTTACCTGAATGCTCTCAAGCCTCGAAGTTGGTGGGGAAACCATGTTTCCATTACATCTACAGTGGGAAACCTAACCTCACTTGCTGGCACCTTCCAGGATCTTTGGAGTCAATGTTTTTCTATTATTTCCTGCTTTTACTGAATTACTGTAATTTCTCTCAAGTCTAGCCTCTTTTGGCTGTTCTTTTTCTCCACTCTGCATCATTCCCAAAGCAACAGCCTCTTTCCCTCTTCTCAAAATGCTGCAGATACAAGGCATCTCTGTGTAGTAGATTCTTACGGAAGATTCAGGCAGGGGAAGAGGAAGAGGAATTTAGGCTGCACCAAACATCTTAAAACTGACTATTTAAAGATCCTTGCTCTTTAAAGATCCTTGGCCATAGCCCAGAACTTCTCCCTGGCTGCCTCTTGCTCAGCTCCCTGGCATCTTGATGTATTCCTTCCTCACATCCTCCTCCCCATTCTTATCTCATTCACTCCTTCCTTTTTCACACCTTTCTTCTTGGGTTACCTAAGGAAACTCGAAAATCTTCATTAATTCTTCATTAACAGAATAATTTTGCCCTTCTAGTTTCACTGCTAGCCTATTTCAGCCAGGCCTATTATTAAACACTGTTCTTCCTCTATGACTATGCTAATGAGTATGACCTATTTCCTCACCATGGAGTTCTGAGAAATTATTTCTTTTTTGAAAGCTAAAATTAATTGCACAAGGCCCTGAACAATCCTGATTAGCAGATATTGTGAGAAGAGACATCTCCATTTCCCTGACATCCCCTCCCATTATATTCAAGAGAAGAACAGGGCATGGCTAACTCGGTTCTTAGGGGCCAGTGTTCATTCCAAACCCACAGTGCAGGGAGGAATTAGAGACCACATGTGGCTCTCTAGATGGGTCCCATTTTTTTGCTTGTTTGTTATATTCCCAATATTTTGTCATTTTTAAAAACATTCTCATGTGGTCTGGGGCCATCCATCATTACCTTCTGCAGCAATAATTCCACTTCTGATCTGGTGAAAGCTTCTCATGGATTGTGTGTGTGTCTATGTGTGCGTGTGTATGTCTGTATCTGTGTGTGTGTTGGATGACAGAACTATAGAGGATTGGGAAGATGTGGAGATAAAGATTCTCCTGGTGATGTTACGCTCCAAGTTCAGATTGCCATCAGTGGCTTGGGCTTCCACTCTGCTTCTTTCTTCCACTCTTCACCTCTGATTCATCTAGATCCCTGCACAGGCTGGAATTATGTTCTAAGCCTGGGAACCCCACAGCCTCTGTGTAAAGCTAACAAAGCCCATAGCAAATGGATAAGACCCTGCTTCTAGAACAGTCTACTTCAAGTCAAATCGTGGCATATATGATGTTAAGCAAGTTGCTTGCTCTCTTTATGTCTCAGTCACCTCACTGGGAAAATGGGAATTAAAAATAATAATACATATCTCAAAGGGCTACTCTGGAGATTACATGAATTAGTACATAGGAAGTGTTCAGAGAGTACCTGGCTCATAGTAAGTGACTTCTAAATGTTGACACTTAATTTAAGTTTACAGAGAAGGCTCTGTGCCAATACTGACTTAGGGCTACAAGGTCTCAGGATCCATTCCCACACTCAGATTTTAACCATTGATTTCAAAGCACCCACACATGCCAGGTTGGCTGGCTCATGATGGCTTTAGCCATTGGGACCACCTGAGCGGCTTCTGGATACTGACACTGGGACTAGCTAGATCACCACATAAAAGAAATCAGATTTTAGCTTGTTGATTGTTGACTTGATGGAGAACTTCTAAGCCTTTTTAAGTAGAGAAGTAATGTGGTCTTTTTTTGCATCAAGATAATGTTTTATACTCTGTAGCAGATGGTCTGCATGAGGAAGAAACTGGGAGCAGATTGATCAACTAAGAGATACCAGTAGATTATGCCAAGGTGATGAACACATGAATTAAGGTGACAGCAGCAATGGCGCTGATGGAGAGAATTTACCATTTAGAAGGTAGAATCAGCAGAACTTATTGACTAACTGGAAATGCAGGATGAGGAGGAGGAATGTTCTCTGATAATCCCAAGATTTTGAAGTGGGTAAATGAAGTGAGTAAATGCTGGTTTTGCCAACTCACTATCTTCTTTCGAAGGCAAGCCTTTCTTCCCAAGGGGAGGGAAGAGGAAGAGAAGAGACTATAATAAATTTAGTCTGAGCTAACAGGCTACTGGACAAACACTTCTGGAGTTACAGAGAGAAGTAATAGCTGGAATGAAATATTTGGGAGTTGTTAAACACTAACATTCAATGGACCAAAAAGGAAAGAATACTCCATAAAGGAAAGATGGAAAACTTGGAGGATGCCCAGAGAACTAAGAGGGATGGGTTTTATAAAAGCCTGTGGAAGAAGAACTTTTGAGGAAGAAGGAGCAGCCTGAGAATTCAGCGAGAAACTGCCATGAGGAGTGTTGTGGCATCTTGTAAGCAGCCGCAATTGCAGTAAAGGAGTCAGAAGTCACTGGCTTTAATTGAGGAGTTCATGGAAAGAGAGACCGTGGAATCAGTGAGTGTGGACTGTCTTCTTAAAAAATAAGCATAGTTGAAATGGAGAGAAAAATAGGAAAGTTACTAGAGGCAGGAGTAAGAGAGATTTTAATTTTCTAGGGTTTAATAGACTTGGGCTTGTTCATAGAGTAAAAAGGGGAAACAACTGTGGAAGGAAAGGGTGAAGTCAATAGTGAAAAAGAGGAAGGTAATCAACCTAGCTCTAGAGAAGAAATGAGGAGCTGGGGATTAAAGCACACGTGGAAGGATCATAGTACAACAGGTGGAATCAATACCACAGAAGCAACCCTCAAGCAACAAGGACCTGGGGTTGGTGGATATATACCTACTCTTGGTCTCCTGCCACCTGAGAGGAAAATTCTGATGTGGGGCTCTCAGAGGTTTCAGTAGGTTGGAGCCTCAGTTGTCTATGAGTGTACCCCCACTCATTAGGTACTTTTTGGCTTTCCTCCCTGTTCTATTTCATTTGACCACACCCTTGTTTATGCTCCCTGGAATCACCTCCCAAATAAACTACTTGTATCCAAATCTTTGTCTCAGGCTCTGCTTTCAGGGAATCCCAATTTAAATAGTTGTTGAGCAAGAACATTATCCCAGACTTTGTGAATCCAGGTCACAAAAACATTTTTCTTATATATATCTACTTTTCAACTTTCTTGGTAGCAATTTTGTTCTGCTACAAGGTCTTCCATTACAGATTAAAGAAGTTTCTTTCACCTTTCTTAACTGAAATGTAAAATTCTTGTGCTAAAGCATGAGTAAATTTGGGAATCTTAGTAAAATGAGTTTAGGGGCATTGTATTGTCTGCATCAACGTTCACTGCATCCACATTTCACAAATAGTTCTACATTATTAAGAATAACATCATGACTCTTTCATTCGTTCTGTAAAGAATGATGCAGCAGGCTGGACATGGTAGCTTCCTAATCTAACATTGGAATTATCTTCATGAAATGATGTATTATCTTTGGTTGTACATTGCTGCCTCACTCTTTTTTTTGAGACAGGGTCTTACTCTGTTGCCCAGGCTGGAGTGCAATGGTGTGATCTTGCCTCCACCTCCCAGGTTCAAGTGATCCTCCTGCCTCAGCCTCCCTAGTAGTTGGGATTACAGGCACCTGCCACCACAGCTGGCTGTTTTTGTATTTTTAGTAGAGATGGGATTTCACCATGTTGGCCAGACTGGTCTCAAACTCCTGACCTCAGATGATCCACACGTCTTGGCCTCCTAAAGTGCTGGGATTACAGGTGTAAGCCACCAATCCCAGGAGCCAGCCTGCTGCCTCCTTCTTTACAGAACGAATTAAACAATCATGACATTGTTTCAAGACAGAAGGAAACGAAAATTTATCGCATATTTTCTATCAGGCATTGTCATAAGCACTTCATGTAAGTTATCAAGTTTAATCGTTACCAATTTTGAATATTTACATTATATGCTAATACAAATAGGTGATATTACTATTCCATGCATAATAAATATTTCTGAGCTTCTATTGTGTGGTGTGCATATGCTGGGTGCTGTGGATATTGAAATAAGAAAAAACAAGCCCCTGATCTCCCTGGAATGAAAAGAGAAGCTCCAGTACACAATATAGTGATGTGTGATATAAGAGAAGTAAATACATAGGAGAACATCTAGCCTTGGTGGATGGGCTAGGAGAAGGGCTGGTGGCTAATTAAGACTTATTTCATTCAGAGAGGGTACATAGAAATTAGAATAGGCAAATAAAAAGGTAACAACTATATACATCACAGCAATAGAAAAGGGTACATGTATTATGGTTAATTCATTGGTGAAAGAGTCATTGGAGATGCAGTCTTAGGCTTGCCGAGCATCTTTATTGAGCCAGGCAATCTTCCATTAAACTGGACAGATCCCCACCTTTCATTTCTCTTGAAATTTCCTAATTTTGTAGTAGGAGAATGGCACATACTATGGAGCTTTTCTTGCTCACAACAGATCACCCAGCAGCCACATTTGACAAAAATTTTGGGGCCAGGGAGTAAAGGTGTGGCCTCAGTGTGTGGGTGCCATATATCTAGGTGTACACTGAAATACACAGATGGCTGGGTGTGGTAGCTCACGCCTGTAATCCCAGCACTTTGGTAGGCCGAGGTGGGCGGATCATGAGGTCAAGAGATCGAGACCTCCTGGCCAACATGGTAAAACCCCATCTCTACTAAAAATACAAAAATTAGCTGGGCATGGTGGTGCATGCCCAAGTCCCAGCTACGTGGGATGCTGACGCAGGAGAATTGCTGGAACCCGGGAGGTGGAGGTTGCAGTGAGCTGAGATTGCACCACTATCCTCCAGCCAGGCAACAGAGTGAGACTCTGTCTCAAAAAAAAAAAAAAGAAAGAAAGAAAGAAGAAAGAAAGAAAGAAAAAGAAAGAAAGAAAGGAAAGGAAAGGAAGGAAGGAAGGAAGGAAGAAAGAAAGAAAAAGAAAAAAACAGAAAGAAATACCGATGACTGGGCTAATTGGATTCTCCCTCTTAGGGATGTGAGATTTGTATGGACAGACACAGAGGCCAGAATTCCACTGAAATTAAAACATTTTAAGGGCTGCATACTACAGAATAAATCCAAGAACACATCTTTGAGAGATTTTTGGAGCTTTCCTTATTCTGCCTTCCCTTGGCTTGTATCAGTCTGTCACTGATTGTACTACTTACCTCAGTCCGTAACCCTCCAACAAATCCAATTATTTTTGTTCTAGATGGCTGAAGTTCATTTCTTCAGATTATAAACAACAACAACAAATAAAACTAGTATAAGTGTATGACTCTCAAATAGGGCCTCAATATTTCAGAATCTTTGATCGCTGGAGTCAAGCACACAATGTCTATTCTAAAAGTTCTAGAATTTTTCCACAATGTGTCTCTGAGGGGGAAGCAGGAAAAAAACATTTCAGTCTCAGAGGAATCATTTTGTAGTATACTCTTGGTCATGCCTATAGGAGTCAGGGACCTAGCCTTTGTTTTTGAGGGAGTTCTAGTTATTGGCAAAGTTATCCAAGTGCAAATATAAATTTTTAAATGTAAATTTTAAAGGTTTCATATGCCCGGTTATTGTCCCAAATGCACATGCAGAAAAATAAGTTGTGCCTGATGAACTAAATGTGGGCTAACCAACAGATTAATCAGAAAGTATGTGTAATTGTAGACAATGAATTTTTTTGTCTCTCAACCTAATGTACAGTTATTTTGAAGTGAAAGGAAACTATATCTCAGGGAATTATATTTAGATTGTCTTCCTTTTTCTAAGAAATAAAAACTGAGTAAAAAAAAGACAAAATTTAAATTCAAATGGGCAAATATATTTTTG
This sequence comes from Homo sapiens, assembly GCF_000001405.40. Classification (NCBI taxonomy): domain Eukaryota; kingdom Metazoa; phylum Chordata; class Mammalia; order Primates; family Hominidae; genus Homo; species Homo sapiens. The sequence continues at coordinate 17,899,982 of NC_000008.11, read as the reverse complement.
TCAAATGTATATTTTTACATTTTCTGCTAGAGTTCAGAAATTTTGTCAGAATAGCTTGCAACCCTGAGGATTCTACTTTCAGATATTGTCATAGTGGTAGGAATCACGCATTTTCCAATTAGTTGAATTCTTCATGAAAAGATAATATTTTAAAAGTCTAAAAACTGGAGAAAAGAGGTACATATAGAGACTGGATTTAGGCATCAGGATGAAAAGATACACTGCAAATTCATCCAAAAAAAAAAAAAAAAAAGCAGATACATCATCACCGAGGAGTAGAATGAAAGCAAGTATCTTCTGATACCTTCCATCTTCCGTGTTCCTAAAGGCGTATTTTAAAATGTGGTTTTACTTAACACGAGCTCTTGTGTTCTTTTTTCCCTACATATTTTTATACAATATAGCTAAATTTCTTCTTCATGTGTTACGGGTAAAAAATCTGTTTTCTATTAGAATTTACGTGTATTTGGTTAAAATTGTTTTTTTAATGACATGTGACCTTCTGGGGAGATTCTTCTTTAATAAGAAAGATGTTATTATTCAGAAGCATAAAATAAATGCCAGTCCACAGTCCTTGCAAACACACAGAAAGAAAAACAAACATATTCCTCAGCAAGAACACTTTTTATTTTTTGTGGCAGAAAAAAAAAAAGAAAACATCTTTGTACTCTTCCTGCTAGGGAACCAATCTAAAATTAGTTTGAGAATCAGAGGGGAAAAAAATCCAAACACATAGGTGAGAAAGCTCTGAAAAGATGAGTAGTGAATAAGCGTTTCATTTTATCTTAACTAGTATGCAGGGGAGGACATAGGTTGTGTGGAACCTGAAGCTACACATTTGGGAGTATCTGCCAAATGTCTATCAGTATTACTTTTTACATGCCTCATGTAGCAGGCCTAGAGGGAGAGCAATCCAGATGTGAGCAAAAGAACAGAGAGCTCTGGGAGGAAGAAATAATGGTGCAGTGACAAAATTCCTTCTGAGGCATTCGACTTTCCTGTCCAGGAGCCTCAGAGTTACAGGCAGAGTTCAATCATAGAAGCAGAGCTTCTAGGATATATAAGGGATTTGACTTAATGCAACTGTGGGAGCTGGTTAAGTACTCTTTGAAAGGCAGCTGTCTCCAGGGATGATGTTGGAGCTTGAAGTACGAACTGCAGTTAAGCGAGAGAGTAGATGAGCGTAATAGAAGCAGGAGCTGGAATCTATGAGGACGGACTGAAACCTGTGTCAGTTCTTGTTGCCTCTGACCTTGGTTGATGTGGGTGTCCTACAGAAGCCAGACCCATTTGTAATGTGCTAAACGAGGCTCCAAATTATATCCAAAGGGAAGTGAAACAGCTGGAGGCTTAGCCACTATCTTAAGGCCAACGAGATACGTTACAGCATGGGAGAGCTGCAAAGATGGCTGCCACTTCCTTTCTGCCTGCCAACTGCTCCTAATGGAAAACATAAGGCAAAAGGAATTCTGGGAACTGTAGTTCGGCCTACCCAAGTTGACACATTACAAAGCACCTCAATTTTTCTTTTCTTCCTCTTTTTCTTTATCCACCTTTACCCTTATTTTTCTAGTTCATATTGTCAGAATCTTTCCCAGAAAGTGTGTGTGAAGGTGGAACTATTTATTGATCATCTATTAATGTAAACTTTCTGCTAGTTACATCAATAATGGGAATACTTAGGATAACTCACTAGTAAAACTGTTTTAGTTTTATTAATTTTAAAATGCTTCTCCATTGAAATTTCTGAGACCTACGTTATGTGCAAATAAACTTTCTAGTTTTTCAGGACTCTGCCTGAGATGACATTGAAACCAGCATTTCAGGAAGGAATTTGATTACCTCCACCTGAGGAAGCTCTGCTAGTTGTGTGGAACGAAGACTGTTCTTAACAACCCCTTTCCTTGATATCTACAATACGCTCCGTTCTAAATATTTTAATAAAGGGCACATTTGAAGTTTAAAATGTTATCATTGTAATCAGAGCATGGAGTTTTATAAGTCCCATAAAAGGGTGCCTCCTGAACTGGGAGTCAAGTTTGGAAAATATAACCATCAGAAATTTATGCTGGTAGAATACAGTCAAGGATATAAGATCATTTGTCTGAGTCTAGTTCCTCATGCAGCCTTAAGTAGACATGTTCCTCGCTGCAAGCTTGAGTGGACTGGAGGCGGCAAGATCTGGAATTAAACCTTCCCACGGTGACTGGGTCAAGTATCAAATAATGGACAGGTGTTCAATCTGGCAGGCACAATACAGGGTCCAGAGGGTTTGGATGAAAATTGTGCTGTAACTGATGTATTAATTGAAGAGTTCTCTGAAAAAGGTCTTCCAAAAGGAAAAGGAAAAAAGAATTGACAGTGTCCGTTTAATGTGTTTGAGAGCCTAATCAGCCTGATCTTGGTGGGACTGTACTTGTTGTCCTATTATATCATGCTTTTCTTGTACTTTTTTCAGCCAGTGATCTCAGGTCTCATTCTCATTTCATAGCTTTGGTGCAGTTGTGCAAGGTCACAACTCTTCTTTCTTGCTTTTTTTCTTTTTCTTTTTTTTTGACAGGGTCTTGCTCTGTCACCCAGGCTGCAGTGCAGTGGCGCGATCTCGGCTCACTGCAATCTCTGCCTCCTGGGTTCAAGTAATTCTCCTCCTCAGCCTCCTGTGTAGCTGGTACCACAGACGCCCACCACCACACCTGGATAATTTTTGTAGTTTTAGTAGAAACTAAAAATACATGGGGTTTTGCCATTTTGGCCAGGCTGGTCTCGAACTCCTGACCTCAGGTGATCCACCTGCCTCAGCCTCCCAAAGCGTTGGGATTACAGGCGTGAGCCACCGCACCTGGCCATAATTTTGACCTTTCCTGATGATAGTTCTTCCACCATGTTATGGCAGTACATCCATGGAATAATGTTACTCCAAGAAAATTTGGCTTTTGGAATTCCTCCACAAAGTATTGGCCCTAGAGTAGTCCTTACTGCCTGATTAACTTTTGCAAGTTTCTCCTGAGGTAATGATGCTAGCCAAGTTTCCGAAAGACAGCATAGTCTACCTTTAGTAGAAAAGAGGACAGATTCTGAGCAGGATTGCCTTTGAGCCCAGCTATACCTCTTGTTAGCTGTGTGACCTCGTGCAAGTCACTTAAACCTCTGTGTCTCAGTTTCGTCATTTGTGAAATGGAGATCATTAACAGTACCTACTTATAGGGCTGTGTGGCTGAGTGAGTTGATAAAATTACCATGTTTAGCACATGATAAGTATACCACATGTTAGCTGCTGTTAATGTTATGTCCCTCCAGTGAGGAAATGAACACAAGGCTAAATTATTGCTTGAATGGGGACAAAGCTAAAGGCATACAAGAAGGAAAGATAAGTTTGTATTTCAAAATATGTCATTTTACCACAGAGATCATTATTGAATTAGCCGAATAATCCCATATTTTTGCTTTTGAAATTTAACATTAGCAGCTTGAATTCTCTACAATTATGAATGTATAATTTCCACTTCTTCTGTGTGTGTGCAAATCACTTCAGTCTAACTGGCTTTTTTTTTCCTTCTTTTTTCCAGTAAATCAACAGGATTACCTTTCCCTTAATAATCTTCAAAATGTCCACGTGAAGGACAGGAAGATGTTTAATGGGAAGACCAAACATCGTCAGTGCTCAAGTCCAGTAGATAACAAAGAACAGAAAGAAAACAAAACTTTGGTATTTTACTGGAATCTGAGTGAATAAATAGGGACCACAGGACAAATGGCAAACAACTGCTTGAGTTACATCAGAAGGAAAGAAGAAATGATGAACCCAGATTTCCAGTAAGAAACTGTTACACAATACGATTAATGGAGCTAACAAGTGCCTATTACACATTAGAAAATCTTCTAGAGGATTTTAAAACAAAAGGAACAACTTGTCCAGAGTATAATCGATGCTTCCAGTTAAATTTCACAATTTTGCACCTCAGGGAATACTTTTGTTTTTCTTAGAGAGCAAATAAACTGACCATTTCACCTTGGCAATTATTAACCTGCCTTGTTTTTTATAACTAGGAAAAATTTGGCTTATCTCCATATTTTAGTTGAGATGACATATTAATTCATATTTTTGTGGGTAAAATGTTATTACCCTTAATACAAAGCAAAGTTTCAGCTGGACTTCGTTTTTACTTAATCTTCAATGGAACATTATTGAAGTTACAGTACAAAAATTCTCTGAATGAACATAATAATAAGTTGTAAAATATATATATCTTTATAAAGATATATTATTGGATCTTTCACAAAAAGTCATACAAGTGGGGAAAAAAGAAAAATATCAGAGTATTGGGATTTGTCCTTGAATCTTCTCTTTTAGCTTTCTTTCAGTTAAACCTGTGTCCACATGTTTGTTTCTGGATTGAAGCCAGAATCAACATTGTCCCTATTTCTAATCAAATAATGGAGAAATAATTACAAATTCCCAATGCAGTTACAGGATCCTGGGAAGCAGAGTGTCTGGATGGAACCTGAGCTGGGTCTCTGACTCACTTCTGACTTTAGGCAAGTTATTTAATGTCTCTGCATTTTTGACATGCTTGTAATAATGCTAATTTATTTCACAGGTATGATAGTAACCAAAACTCAGGTAACAACCATTAGCTTTTGCAAGAAGTCAGGTTGACTAGCAAGGAGTCTGCTTCTGCTACTTGGAGAAGAGATTTAGAATTATGTATCTTTTGTTACAGATATACAGATATACAAATATACAGATATACAAATAAGGTATGTTAGAATTACAAATGAGGAAAATGGAAAATTTTAGAGAACTTAAGATATTCTCAGGAATTATTCTAAAGCTAATCAAAGTAATATAATGACTTTCTAAATATGTATAATTACATTTTGAAATGCTTTATTGTTTATATGCTACCAGACTAGGGGGTGCCTTTTTGATTATTGGATTATCTTAATGGTAATGAGATGAACATTTCAGGACATCAAGAGACAGAGGCCTGTCAAAAAAATTTCATTAGCCCTTTATTTTTTACTAAATCTAATGCTAAGCAATATTTATATACCTTATATAATGTATATATAATCTATAATATATACATAATTATGTATAATAATGTTACGTACATACATATACATATATATACAGTGTGCGCAGGTAAAATTATATGATATATAGGTGCATCACCCAGAGCATTTTCAAAACATACTTCCATTTATGCAAGAGCCAGAATCAAACATTGGAATAAGAAAATTTCTTTTTTAAGCTCTAGGCGTTTTTTGTTGTTGTCGTTTGTTTGTTGGTTTTTTGAGATGGAGTCTCACTTTGTATAATTTCCTTTACATTTTGAATGAATTGCATGGGAGTTTGACGTAAATGATAGGTTTACAGTTTCAGTATAAAAAATTAAAAATAAAATGGACTATATGACAATTTTCACTTCAGAAGTCAAAAAACTTCAGAAACATTTTTCTTTATTGCATTTCTTGAGGGATCAACTATATTTAGCTTTGTAAGGCTTTCAGTGAGTATGGATTCTTAAGAAAAATACAAAAGCACAGTTATATTCCATTTTCAGAAAGAGGAAAAAATTTGGAAGGAAATAGCTTAAAAGGAGTCTCTAAGCTTGTGTTTATGGGTACATTTTTAACTCACTGACTTAGGTTATAGTCCTAAGCATTATAGTCCTATAGCGTTTGTGAATGCTAACTTATTAAACATACTTCGTTCAATAACTTTTTCCTTCCTTTTTATTTCTTTTATATATCCTTTTACAATGCTTGCTTAAAACATACCAGTTTTGAAATGTTTGCATGCTACTAATGTACTTCTGTTTTGTAATTGTTTTTAAAAATTATATATTATTTTTAGAACTTTTCATTTACAAATTTAATGTCTTCATCTTTAAATTTAATGCAGCGTAATTAATTAAATTTTTTTTAAATATAGTGGGGAAGGAATTAGAATTTATAGCATTAAAATTATGTAAAATAATATAGTCCACCAAAGAACAGCCATTTGATAACAATTTTAATTTTATAATAATTAAAAGTTTTGATACTGCCTAAGGCAAAAATATTATAAAAGAAATACAACTAATTGTGCAATAAATGAACAGAATAATTTGATACAACTTTACTGTAAGCCAGATGTGCAGAAGAAATAATGGTTTACTATAATGAATGATGGAGACCAGAATTTCAAAGCAAGTTTCTTAATGCTTAGCATTTCTTCAATATTACAGAGAATGTTGGTTAGAATTGCAAAGGAGGAAAATGGAAAATTTTAGAGAACTTAAGATATTCTCAGGAATTATTCTAAAGCTAATCAAAGTAATATAATGACTTTCTAAATGTAAATAATTACATTTTGAAATGCTTTATTGTTTATATGCTACCAGACTAGGGGGTGCCTTTTTGATTATTGGATTATCTTAATGGTAGTGAGATAAACATTTCAGGACATCAAGAGACAGAGGCCTGTCAAAAAAATTTCATTAGCCCTTTATTTTTTACTAAATCTAATGCTAAGCAATATTTATATACCTTATATAATGTATATATAATATAATCTATAATATATACATATTATGTATAATAATGTTATGTTCATACATATACGTATATATACAGTGTGCGTAGGTAAAATTATATGATATATAGGTGCATCATTCAGAGCATTTTCAAAACATACTTCCATTTATGCAAGAGCCAGAATCAAACATTGGAATGAGAAAATTTCTTTTTTAAGCTCTAGGTGTTTTTTGTTGTTGTTGTTTGTTTGTTTGTTTTTTGAGATGGAGTCTCACTCTGTCACCCAGGCTGGAGTGCAGTGGTGTGATCTTGGCTCACTGCAACCTCTGTCTCCCAGGTTCAAGCAATTCTCATGCCTCAACCAACACAGTAGCTGGGATAAAAGGTGTGTGCCACCACACCTGGCTAATTTCTTTGTATTTTTAGTAGGGACGGGGTTTTGCCATGTTGGCCATGCTGGTCTCAAACTCCTGACCCAAGTGATCTGCCTGCCTCAGCCTCTCAACGTGCTGGGATTACAGGCATGAGCCACCACGCCTGGCTAAGCTCTAACTTTTTAAGCTAATTTATTCACTTCTGAAATAAAGTACTTGATCCCACAAATGCATAAGAAAACTTTAATCAAATAAAAAAATTTTTCAACAAATAACATTAAAGCAAAGTCTAGAAGATACAGACATTTCATGATTTTTAATTTTTGACTCCTGAATATTATCTGGGAGCGGATTAAAATAATGAAAATTTGTTTCCTGTCACATAAAAAAAGAGGACATTATTTTTACTACTAATCCTTAGCAGTTTCATTTATCAAGGAAAAATCCTAATCAGTAATCTATTAAATACATTGGTTATTTTCAGTCAGAAGAACAATTTGAGTTGGAGTCACAAATAAATGGTATTTATGTCATGTCGTTATGCTGATTTCCCAGACTAGTGTAAATATACTTAGTGAAAGTCTCTTTTATTTCTTTAGGCAAACAATTTTCCCTCTCTGAGCCTCTAGTGTTGATGATATTTGACTGAATGATGTCACTTCCTCTAATTATATTTTCTCTGCATGTTCTAGTCTCGGGGAACAAGGCTATTTCTAAAATCTCTTTATATTTTTTAAATATTTTGTTTTCCATCTTTATTTTCTTTTGCTTCCTTATAATAAAATGTTTTTGTTTCTTATTTTCTGTAACATGAAAAATACTTTATGACTGTATGTCTGTGACTATGCAATTGTTTATGTTTAAGAAATTGCCATTTGCATAAGGGCATTTATTTTTTTCCTTTATGCTACTTGAGTTTTGTGATAAATTTTAAAATTAGATAGTTAAAGACACAAGGGTACAAATTTAAAAAGCAACATAGCTATTATAATTTTGCTCAAAAAACATATTTATTGCCAACTGAAAACACGAGTCAAACTAAAAACTTATTATGAGATAGCTATGGTAATGACCTTGGCCCAGTGAGAGAGCCAACTTTCAAATATCTTAGGTATTATGTTTTCAGGTATATATTTTCTTTTGGGATTTTATAAATCCAAATGTCTCTTTTAAAACCAAAATAAGCTGTTACATATTGACATGACATATTTGCAAATCACAAAAAAGTTTATGAAAAGCATAATTCATTAAGAGTAGTTATTTTTGTTGTTGCTGGAAGGGTGAAGATGGAGGGAATCTGATAAAGACATCTTATAAATTCAACAGACACAAAAGAATTTGATCTCCCATAAGCAACTGTGAAATTACAATAACAGATCCTGGGAAGTTCTACAATTCTAATTCAGGTTTACAAGTTTTCTTCTCATCTATTCAGTAGATATTTTGTCGAGTACCTGTGCTAGGTTCAGCTGTGCCCCCAAAACATGTACATTCCTAACTTTTATTACCTGTGAATGTGATCTCATTTGCAAATAGGGTCTTTGTACATGTAACTGAGTTAAGATGAGGTCATACTGGATTAGGGCAGACCCTAATCCAATGACCGATGTCCTTATATGAAGAGGGAAATTAGACACAGAGACACACAGAGGAAAGACAGCTATGTGAAGATGGTATCAGAGAATAGAGTGATACTGCCACAAGTCAAAGGATGTCAAGAATTGCTGGCAACCACCAAATGCTAGAAGAGTCCAGAAAGGATTTTCTCTTAGAGCCTTTGAAGGAAGTATGGCCCTGTTCTTCTTGATTTTGGACTTGTATCCTCCAGAACTGTGAGATAATAAACTCCTGTTGTTTTAGGCCACTCAGTTTATGGTAATTTGTTATGGTGGCCTCAAGAAACTAGTACAGTACCTAACTATCCACCTAGCATTAGGGCAGTATACATAATAGATGTAGCCACTCACCTCTTCGTGCTTACATTGTACAGGGCGGTTGGAGTAGGTAGACAATAAACACATATATTATAATATTTCATTATATTTGGTGATAAGTGCTAAGGAGAAACTGAATCCATTGTGATAGAGATATGAAGTGTGTGGGTGATGTTGTTTGCGTGTGTCTCCACCCAAATCTCATCTTGAATTGTAGTTCTCGTAATCCCACATGTTATGGGATGGACCCAGTGGAAGGTAATTGAATCATGGGGGCAGCTACCCCCATGCTGCTGTTTTCGTGATAGTGAGTTCTCCTGAGATCTGATGGTTTTATAAGGGGCTTTTGCTTGGCTCTTCCCCTTCCTGCCATCATGTGAAGAAGGACATGTTTGCTTCCCCTTCCACCACGACTGTAAGTTTCCTGGGGCCTCCCCAGTCATGGCAAACTGTGAGTCAATTAAACCTTTTTCCTTTATAAATTACCCAGTCTCAGGCAGATCTTTACTGGGTAAATTTATAAAATGAGAATGGACTAAGACAGTAGGGGACAGCTGTTATTTTATATGTGGTAGTCAGGGAAGGTATCTCTGGGAAGGGAATACCTGAGCAAAGACCTGAAGGATGTCATGGAGCAAACCACAGAGATTTTCAGAAGAGCATTCCAGGTAGAGAGAACAGCAAGTGCAATCGCCCTGAGAAGTCTGTGTATTTCAGGGTTTTCCAAAAATGCCAAAGAGGCCAATGTAGCCAGAACAGGCAAAAATGATGGGAAAAGAGATGTGTTGAGGAGGTGGATGCTCACAGATTATGTAAAGCTTTGTCGGTGAATGACCAAATATCCCGGTTTGCCCAGGAAAGGCTCAGTATAGAATGTTGTCTCATTGTAATTCTAAAAAATTGTTTGGAATCTTCCATTGGTAGCTTGGGCCAGACATTAGCAATAGAGGTGGTGAGAAATGATTGGATGTTGTATAAATTTTGAACGTAGAGTCTTTCCTTAGGAAAGTTACTTTGCTTCACTATTTGAGCTTCCTTTAGTAAAAAGTAAACATAATGTGTCTTCTAAAGACATCGTGAGATTTCATGTGTTGATGATGTATTAGCAATTTTGTAAACATATTTTAAATGGCACACATTAATGTATTAACATGGGAGGCAGCATTGATATAAAAACAGGTTCTTGCCAATTTGTTCTCTCTCTGATCAAGTAAGCTGCAAACAGTATATTTTGAACCTATTTTTTTGGTATTCATTGTAGTATAAATGGTTATAATGATTTTCAAGTGTGTTCTTCCTATCTAAACAATATGCATTAATTTGAAACAATGAAATTGCCATTTTTCTAAGTCAGAAATGTTCAAACATCTGCCATTTCTTATAGTTCAACATAATACAGTAAGAAAGGATTAACCAGGCAATAAAGAAAGAGGTTCAGGAGATTTGGGAGATATTCCCAGGGGATATCCCCAGAGGCTGAATGGTCCTGGAGAAATCATAAGCATCCTTGTGCTTGTTTTCTTATTTTCACTGTGAGGCTAATGAAATAAAATAAAATGGCCAATTAAAATTTGATAGTGTTTTGATAGTGTTGTTGTTGTTTGAGGTGGAGTGTCGCTCTGTCACCCAGGCTTAACTACAGTGAGACAATCTCAGCTCACTGCAACCTCCGCCTCCCAGGTTCAAGTGATTCTCATGCTTCAGCCTCCCGAGTAGCTGGGATTACAGGTGTGCACCACCACACCTGGCTAATTTTTGTATTTTTAGTAGCGATGGAGTTTTATCATGTTGGCCAGGCTGGTCTTGAACTCCTGGCCTCTGGCGATCCTCCCACTTCGTCCTCCCAAAGTGCTGAGATTACAGGCGTAAGCCACCACGCCCAGCCAAAGTTCGGCAGAGTGTTTAGTGATGCCCAAACACAAACACAATATGGTTTCAGATGAGTATTCCTTATTTTTCCAATCCACGTTAGACTTGGGGAAATAGCCCTTGTCCCCTTGATGATGGGCCCTTTAATGTAAGTAATATTGCAGCCTTGCAGAGGTACATTCTACTTGAATGGCTAGCTCATTTTTATATAATGCCCCAGGCCACGCAGGCTGCTTGGCATCTTTGTGGAACTACGCTTACTGTCCCATCAAGCCTGTTTAGCAATTATTGTGTGTCATTATTAAAATATTATTCTCTTATTGTGAAGAAAAGATACTAAAGCATGCTGTAGGTCAGTCATTTTCTAGTGACAGGGATTAGAGGACTAGAATCCATTCAATTTTTAAAACTTTACCTACGAATAGTTAGAAAATATATGCTTGAAATAATCTCATTCTAGTTTATTGTTATTGTTTATTTTCTAAGCCTTCTTTACAAATATATTTTCCCACTGTAATTCAGTTTAAATGGATGGTTTTTACTTCTTAATAAAATTATTGACTATTGATTTATATCTGATACAATCCTTTGTAGTATTCAATGCTGATGTTGAAAAAATTCAGCCACAATGAATAAGGAGTGTTCCCAAGGACCCTCAGACAAAAAAAGAAAAACAAAAGAAAACATGAAACTACCCCCAGGATCGGAATGAAAATGTATTTGCTCCTAACATCAGATGTCTTCGGTTTAGAATACTTATTTCAACTTGAAATTTTCTTAATTTGTAGACATAATCTTGACATCTGGGAATAAGAGATTTAGGACACTACTGCATTGCAAATGATGACTCTTTAGTGCAGTCAATGTTTTTATCTTAAAGAAAATGATTTTACCTTTCATGACAATAATAAATGTGACCTAGAAAAGTGTTCCTTAAATAATTCCAAGCTTATTATATTAATTAGCGAATATTAATTGATAGCAAACCTAATCATCTTTTCTTCTAATTTGGTCACGACTTCTGTTCCTTTGCAATCCTATTCTCACCCCATTTTATCTTTTATAAAAATACACAGAGGGTGTCTCTTTTTCACATTGGTAAATGTTTTAAATATCAGAAAGTTAATTTTCTCTATTTTTAACATAAGCAAATATTTTAATATAATCAATTATATTTAATACATTACATATAAAAACATCTACTATTTCTATTACTGGGCCTAAGATTACTATTTCTATCACTGGGCCTAAGACTACTATTTCTATCACTGGGCCTAAGATAGGTACATACTCAATATACAATTGAATTTTAAAGAAAAAATATTTACTAAGATAAAATAAAGAGTGAAATGCCAGAGTTCTTATAAATTGTTGCTACAAATTATATCATATGTTTAAAAGGATAACTTTAATGGAAAAATGGGTCTAGAGATACTTTTTTTTTTTTTTGAGATGGAGTCTCGCACTGTCACCTGGGCTGGAGTGCAGTGGCGTGATCTCGGCTCACTGCAACCTCCACCTCCCAGGTTCAAGCAATTCTCCTGCCTCAGCCTCCCAATTTGCTGGGATTACAGGCACCCACCACCACACCTAGCTAATTTTTTGTATTTTTATAGAGACAGGGTTTCACTATGTTGGCCATGCTGGCCTCAGTGATCCGCCCGCCTCGGCCTCTCGAAGTGCTGGGATTACAGGTGTGAGCCAACACGCCCGGCCCATCTTGGTTATTTTGTTCACAGTGTTGGGTGAAAGGGTTAAGTCATGACTAATTGCTATCATATGAATTTCTGCCCAGTGTTGTAATACAGAAATTTGGTGTTTCTCTTTAGACCATTTGATGTGGACAGAGAATGAAATGTAAAATATGCCTCTCTTCAGAAAGAAGACTTACGTTGAAAGAAATAAGCAGAATAGTGTGCCTATACCTTTTATACCTCTCCCAGGTGCATGAAGGAGGCTTCCCAACTGGTGGGATTCTTTGGAGAGCGATCAGTCAAGGAAAAGCCTCCTTTGATGGAGAATCCTCCAATGTCAGTCTCTGAAGATCTTTTCGGTGAAGCTCTGCTGTTCCTCCAGCGAGGAATCCTATGTTCTTTGGCCTGGAAAGTGGTAGGAAGAGTGTAGAGCCGGTTGCCTGGCTGCAAGAGAAGAAGCCTGGGAAAGCCTCACCCTTTTTGAACAGGGTCTCTCTCCTCCCCTCCAGCACTTCTGCTGTCATGTCACCTGGAGCATCTCTGGGCAATCTTAATAGAAAGTAAATCTTCCATATTCTGAAAGGGTACGAGAAGCAGCATTCACCTGGCTGCACAGGATTTAGATGAGGATCTGACTGTTAGCCCATTTGCCTCTACCTTCACTTCCAAGCTAGCAGTGCCTCCAATCCAGAATCCCCTAGGGTGCTACACTGTGACTTCTCTCGCTTCTCATGGTGCTCCTCTCTACTGCTGCTTTGCCAATTCCCCTACTTCTCTTCTCTCCTCTCCTCTCCTCTCCTCTCCTCTCTTCTCCTCTCATTTCGTTTCTTTCTAGACAGGGACTCACTCTGTCACCCAGGCTGGAGTGCATTGGCACGATCTCGGCTCACTGCAACCTCCATCTCCCGGGTTCAAGCAATTCTCCTGCCTCAGCCTCCCGAGTGGCTGGGAGTACAGGCGCCCACCACCACGCCTGGCTAATTTTTGTATTTTTAGTAGAGACAGGGTTTCGCCATGTTGACCAGGCTGGTCTCGAGCTCCTGACCTCGAGTGATCTGCCCACCTCGACCTCCCAAAGTGCTGGGATTACAGGCGTGAGCCACCGCACCAGGCCCCCCACATGCCTTTTTATCATCTACCAACTTGCTGACATTGCACACTAGCTGTTCTTTCCCTTTCTCTTTGACTTTGTCAGTTCGCATCTTTTAAACTTTTTCTTCACTCATTTTCTAGTGGGCTTTGTGAGAAGGAAAAAATTAAATTCATGTGTTCAATCAAACCAAAAGTCCCCAACTCCTTCTTAACTCTTACCTTCAAAACTATACTTAGCCCATTGTTTTCCAGTAAAAGAGGAAAGTATGTCAGTATAAACAGACTGTAGTTTAAAGCAAGGAAATTACATTTTTCCCTCTGAGAACGATTTTGCCTCCTGAGGAATAATTCCGTAGAAGCAACAACAGTTATTGGGGTCACCACAAGAATTAAATGCTAGGGATACCAAAATTAGCAAGGTGTGACCTTTGCTTTCAAAAATCTTACTCTAGGCAGTGGCTCACGCCTGTAATCCCAGCACTTTGGGAGGCCAAGGCGGGAGGATCACTCAAGCCCAGGAGTTTGAGACCAGCCTCACAACATAGGGAGAAAAAGACACAAGCTCCATAAGCAGAGACCAGCGTGCAGATTTTGACTACGCCACTTCCTTGATGTGTAACATTAAATAACTGATTAAAATGCTCCTGTGCCTTTCCACAGCATAACACAAACAGCACATTAGGATAGCGAAAAGAACCAGAGTCCTTCCTCTGTTTTTGTGATGAAACAGATTCAATTCTAGTTAACACTCAGTGTCATTCTGTGTGGTGAGAGGCTGGGAAAGTCTGGGAGAATTTCCTCGGCGACTCTAAGATTAGGGATGGCCTGCGGCTGCATCCGACTTCCTGGAGCTACTGAAGTCTGAACTCTGGTCTCATGAAAAATTCAAGGTTGATACATTTATAAAATTCTTTTTGTTCTTGCAGTTTTTTCAAGGGGGAACATGGCAAAGGTGTTCAGTTTCATCCTTGTTACCACCGCTCTGACAATGGGCAGGGAAATTTCGGTAAGCTTCTTGGGAAAACTATTGTCATATTTATAATGCCTGCTTTTATCTGAATTTTCTTTCATTTTGCATTAAACCTATAGTGACTTGTCATTGAAAAAACTTAACTATGTGGGAAAAGCAAAGAGGCTGGTAGAAATACTGGACACATAGTAAAGCAGCACTTTAAAGCGCTTTACATTTTTGCAGGGGAGGCCGAGATGGGTGGATCACAAGGTCAGGAGTTCGCAACCAGCCTGGCCAATATGGTGAAACCCCATCTTTACTAAAAAAAATACAAAAAATTAGCCGGGCGTGATGGCACGCATCTGTAGTCCTAGCTACTCGTGAGGCTGAGGCAGGAGAATCCCTTGAACCCAGGAGGCGGAGATTGCAGTGAACTGAGATCATGCCACTTCACTCCAGCCTGGGCGACAGAGTGAGACTCCATCTCAAAAAAAAAAAAAGTGCTTTACATTTTTTTAAATAAAAAGTATTCATAATAAATAAGTAATTTTTAAAAATTCACTGGAGTTATTTGGTTGGAATATTAGAAATTTGAAACTGTCCATAGTAATTAAAATTAACCTTGAGCTTTTCAATATTGAAAAGTGTAAAACTAACCAGATTATTTGAAAGTAATTACATCGAACTTGTGTTGTCCTTCATTTGTGAATAAAAAAGACAAAACATTCATTCAAAGTTCTTGGAGAAAGAAAACTCCTAGGTTTTAAATAAGCTTACTAAATATGCGTATGCAATCTCATAAAGATTGGGCATACTTGACCTGTGATGTCTTCAATTATTTTAAAATTGCATAGTGCACTATGTTTAACAATATCACAACCGATCCCCCACTGTTGTAAAACAACTCAGGACCCAGACACCATAAAATGTTCTTGCTGTTCATTTTTTAGCCTATGTGACTCAAGGTGCTAAGCAAATAACTATCTCAGAAGGGATAAATCTGAGTGTTAGGGATAGAGTAACAAGAACAAATAAGAAGTAATCCTAGAGAGGCCTGGTGCAGTGGCTCACGCCTGTAATCCCAGCACTTTGAGGGGCCGAGGTGGGTGGATCGCTTGAAGCCAGAAGTTTGAGACCAGACTGGGCAACATGGCAAAACCCCATCTCTACTAAAAATACAAAAATTAGCTGGGTGTTATGGCACACAACCTGTATAGTCCCAGCTACTTGCCAGGATGAAGCACAAGAATCGCTTGAACCAGAGAGGCAGAGGTTGCAGGGAGCCGAGATCGCACCACTGCACTCCAGCCTGGGCAACAGAGCAAGACTCTGTTGAAAGAAAGAGAGAGAGAGAGAGAAGGAATCATCCTAGAAAAATGGCTGGGAGAGGTTCTGTGACTTGGACCTAGGGATGGGAAGAAAGGAAAGAAAGAAAAGAAAAGAAGGAAGGGAGGGAGGGAGGGAAGGAGAAAGAAAGGAAAAGAACAAAAGAAAAGAAAAAGAAGAGGAGAAAGAAATCATTTTAGAAAAATGGCTGGGAGAGGTTCTGTGACTTGGACCTAGGGATGGGAAGAAAGGAAAGAAAAGAAAGGAAGGAAGGAAGGGAGGGAAGGAGGGAAGGAGAAAGAGAGGAAAAGAACAAAAGAAAAGAAAAAGAAAAGAGGAGAAAGAAATCATCCTAGAAAAGATATCTGGGAGAGGTTCTGAGAAAGGAAACGTAAGGGAAGAGGAAGGGAAAGGGGAAGGGGAAGGAAAAGGGAGAAACCATCCTAGAAAAATGGCTGGGAGAGGTTCCATGACTTGGACCTAGAGATGGGAGGGAGGGGAGATGTACTACATATATATATATATAAAAAATATATATATATTATAGACTATATAAATATAAATGTATTATATATGCATATGTATTTGATATAATATATACTATATAAATCCATTATGTAATTTTATATATACGTATATTATGTATAAATATAATATATTATATAAAGTAGACTATAATATAATAAATACAATTATATTACATTATATTATATATAAATATATTTAATATATTATATATTATTTATATTTATATATTATATAATATCTATTCATTTATATTCATATATATTCATATTATATATTTTGTAATATATATTATATATTATTATTATATTGTATATTATTTTATATATTATATATTATTATTATATTATATATTATTTAATATATTATATATTATTATATGTTATTTAATATATTATATATGATATATATGATATATTATTTAATATATTATATATGATATATATTATATATTATTTAATATATTATATATGATATATATTATATATTATTTAATATATTATATATGATATATATTATATATTATTTAATATATTATATATGATATATATTATATATTATTTAATATATTATATATGATATATATTATTTAATATATTACATATGATATATATTATATATTTAATATATTACATATGATATATATTATATATTTAATATATTACATATGATATATATTATATATTTAATATATTACATATGATATATATTATATATTTAATATATTATATATGATATATATTATATATTATTTAATATATTATATATGAGATATATTATATATTATTTAATATATTATATATGAGATATATTATATATTATTTAATATATTATATATGATATATATTATATATTATTTAATATATTATATATGATATATTATATATTGTTTAATATATTATATACTATATATTATATATTGTTTAATATATTATATATTATATATATTATATATTATTTATATGCATATATAATATATATAATATATAATATACATTAAATATACATATTTAAAAGTATTTATACCAGACAGCCATTCAAAAACCTCATTTATTATGGAGATTTACATGCCAACAGTACAATTAACTTCTATAAACCACATTACTGTTTAGAAAACACATAAGCAATGTCATATAGAGATTGAGAGCACAGTCCTTGAACTGAATTTGAATCCCACCTCCGCTTACCCACTGGGCATCAAGACTGAGCCCTTTCCTACCGCATGGAATTGTTATGAGGATCAAAGGAGACAACTATAAAGCTCCTAGCATAGCGATTCCAATTATTTTATATTATTTGATCTTTTGAGTCCAGGAGTTTTCGCATAAGCCATAATTTCCAATTCTTCAAATAGTAGGCAGTATTAGAACTTTTCAAGCCACTTTCTCTTTGGAATAATATTCTGAAATGGGAACTGGAGACAAAATGGAATCACTGATTTATCCAAATGTTTAAAAAGCACTTGTTTTCCATGAAAATGAGGTGCATACTCATCTCATCTCACCTGTTTTGCAGGCGCTCGAGGACTGTGCCCAGGAGCAGATGCGGCTCAGAGCCCAGGTGCGCCTGCTTGAGACCCGGGTCAAACAGCAACAGGTCAAGATCAAGCAGCTTTTGCAGGAGAATGAAGTCCAGTTCCTTGATAAAGGAGATGAGAATACTGTCATTGATCTTGGAAGCAAGAGGCAGTATGCAGGTCAGAATGGACTTTTCTTAAGTGTTTCTATAACTTACATTATGCACCCATGTACAGTGATGGTGCTAGTTATTTCAGGCTTTTCCTATTTCAGTAACAAGCAATATGAAGCATTATATCTATTGTAAATGTCTTCTTTCACACTTTACTTTTTTTTTTTTTTTTGAGGCGGAGTCTTGCTCTGTCGCCCAGGCAGGAGTGCAGTGGTGCAATTTTGGCTCACTGCAAGCTCCGTCTACCAGGTTCACACCATTCTCCTGCCTCAGTCTCCCGAGTAGCTGGGACTACAGGTGCCCACCACCAGGCCCGGCTACTTTTTTTGTATTTTTAGTAGAGGCAGGGTTTCACCATGTTAGCCAGGATGGTCTCGATCACCTGACCTTGTGATTCGCCTGCCTCGGCCTCCCAAAGTGCTGGGATTACAGGCGTGAGCCACCGTGCCCAGCCGACACTTTACTTTTTTCTATCTCTGCCAGGGCATTTAATGTGAATGCTAAATATCTGAGAATTTATATCATTTAATAAGAAATCAGGACAATAGATTGTTTAAATACTGATGGACACAGCCAAGTGCGGTGGCTCACGCCTGTAATCCCAGCACGTTGGGAGGCCTAGGTGGGCGGATTACAAGGTCAGGAGATCTAGACCAGCCTGGCCAATATGGTGAAACCCCATCTCTACTAAAAATACAAAAATTAGCTGGGCGTGGTGGCAGGTGCCTGTAGTCCCAGCTACCTGGGAGGCTGAGGCAGGAGAATCACTTGAACCCAGGAGTCGCAGGTTGCAGTGAGCCAAGATCGTGCCACTGCACTCCAGCCTGGGCAACACAATAAGACTCTGTCTCAAAAAAAAAAAAAAAATCCGTGTACACATGGCAGATTACAATTGGGAATTTTTGCATTTGAGCTTTGTGTTTGTGTATCTTTCCTTGTTGCATGTATGCAGTTTTCCCTTCTGAAATCCTAATGTGCATTAGGGTGGCAAATAAGGTAAAAAATAAAGGAGCAGAAAAAGGAAAAAGAACCAGAATTACTAAGGAAAATAAAAGAGTAGTTTTTTATATGTATATTTTCTGATTTCATAATGTTCCTTTCAATGAGGTATTTCTCCCCAGAAACTAAATGATTTTAAACTGGCAACACATTACACACATTGCTGCACAAATCATTATTCTCTATGGAAAACTGTTCACTTGAATTCCTCCAGAAGTAAAAGGTATCTTTTAGAGTAAACGACGATTGTCAGAAACAAAAAGAATGCTAGCGAAAGCACTTTGTCCATATGTCTATTCTAGCACTACCATGCTACATTGTAATTTCTGTTTATGAGTCTATTGAGGTCAATTAACTGGGCACTCTGTGAGGTCTAGAATGATATTTAATGTACTTTTATCTCCCTGTTGGCTATTAGAGTGCCTGAAACATAGTAGATCCTCATATTCAGGAATGAAAGGAAGGTAGTTCATAGGGAGAGGAATAGCAAGATAAGCAAATATAAATTCGGACACCTATTTGACTAGAATTGAAAGACTGTAGAGGTCAAAGAGTTGCCAATCTTATGGGAATAGAAACATGTTTATTTTCTGCTTCTAATCATACAAGTGTAGGATATAGGAGTTGTGAGAGTCTATGCTTCCATAAAATGCTTCAGGGCACCTGGCTGGCTCACACTGTAGCGCATGAGACTCTTAAAATGCTCCCTTTTTTTCTACCAAGATCCTTATCTCCCTCTGCTCAGACTCCTCGCCCTGGGCTCCTGCTTCTCTTATGGCCAGCATCTTGATCCAACTGCCCTCCCTCTGGCCCTTAGAGATCAGAAAGAGGCCAGAGCCAGTGGTCTGCAGTAGTGGGGATGGCTATAGCCTGAAGATGGCCAGTGCCTCTGGAGCCAAGAGGAACCAGGGACAGTTCGGGTAAAAATGGGCTTGGGAAGCAAACGGACTATCGTTTAAGGGATGAGCATACAGATAAGTGATCCCAAAAGAACATACAAAGCTGATCTCAAGGGCGAGGAACTCGTAGATGCCAGTGGATCATCATTACTCCAAATTTCAAACCAAGCCCAAGACTTGGGGTTTCTATTTGAACACATTCTGAGCAGGTTATTGGCACAGACTCAAGGGTCAATCATGGCAGGGGGCAGCTAATCAGATGTTTGTTCCCAGGCCTCTACAACCAGTCATGGGAAGACTGAGGCTTAAGTGCTGTATTAGTCCGTTCTCATACCGCTATAACGAAATGAATGAGGCTGGGTCGTTTATAAAGAAAAGAGGTTTAATTGGCTCATGGTTCTGCAGGCTGTAAAGGAAGCATAGCAGCATCTGCTTCTGGGGAGGCCTCAGGGAACTTACAATCATGGCAGACGGCAAAGCAGAAGCAGGCACATCTCACATGGTGGGAACAGGAGAAAGAGAGGGAGGAGGTGCGACACTGTTTCAAAAACCAGATCTCATGAGAACTCACCACTCACTGTAGAGTACCAAGAGAGATGGTGCTAAAACATTCATGACAACTCCACCCCCATGAGCCAATCGCCTCCCACTAGGCCTTCCCTCCCACACTGGGAACTACAACTCAACATGAGATTTGGTGGGGACACACATCCAAATCATATCAAGAGCTGAAGATCCAGTCCTTGTGTTGACACTGCTGGGGAGCAGACTTTGGGAAGTAAGGGGTCACCAAGGAATAAGGCAAGAAATCAGTTACTTGGAAATTACGATGCCAAGGTCAGAGCAGGATTAACTGTACAAGCAGGAGTTAGAAGAGTCATATAGAGATGCTTCAGAAAAAACATTATAATTATTATAAATATAATACTGTTATAATAATAAGACAGATGATAGGAATTCTAGATGACTGTTTTTTGATATAAAAGCCAAAAAAATCAGAATTCAGTAGATTAAAACAATATTTTTCATATATTAATTACAAGCATGAAGAAGAAAAAGGGGAAATAAAATATAAACACAGTTCAATTGTTCTTTATATTTTAGCATATAGGGAGATAGTACTGGAGAGGCTACTAAGAACAGATACTCAATAAATAAAATATATAACATAAAAATTCCAATAAAGTATAGTGTTTTATATATATATAATATGGTATAAAATATATAAGAACTTGTTCACCTCAAAGTTTATGTTTTTGGTGTCCTTAAATTGAAAACAATTAAATATTCATACATATAATCTGTAGAAATATAAATCTTTTCTTCTTATTTACAAGTTACTTTATTATTACTAAATTAGTTATTTTCTGAATTCTAATTTATCTGATGGTAGAAAACACCCAATTACATACAACCTAGCAATTTGTGCAAACAATGCACTAGGCACATGATTTTCTACAGCATACTATTAAGCTGTATCTTTTTTTAAAGAATTTGGGTGCTAGCGGATTATGAATTAAAAGGTTACTGTGTCAAATTCACATTAACTGGTGGCAAGAACAAAAATCTGGCGTCACCACCGCCGTTCACTTGACAACACCACTGGCTCCAGCATCTCCCCTTCTTCAGGAGCCCCCAGTCTGCATGTGAGTGTCTTGAGGCAGGTTACAAAGTGGCCTAAGGTGTTGACTCTGGAGTTTGATTTCAAAGTCCAGCTGCCCATCTTGCTAGCTGTGGCCTTTGGGGACATTACATAACCTCTGTGTGTCCCATATTCCCCATCTGAAGAATGAGAATAAGAATGCTGTGTATTTGTTGTAAGGATTAAAATATATTCAAATGAGTGAAAATATTTTGGCCAGGTGCCATGAATCATGCCTGTAATCCCTGCACTTTGAGAGGCCGAGGTGGGAGGAACACTTGAGGCCAGGATTTCAAGAACAGCCTGGGCAACATAGTGAGACTCTAACACTATAAAAAAAAAATTGCCAGGCTTGGTGGTGCATGCATGCAGGCCCAGCTACTCAGGAGGCTGAGGCAGGAGGATTGCAGAAGTTTGGGGCTGCAGTGAGCTGACTGTGCCACTGCACTACAACCTGCCTGGGTAACAGAGTGAGACCCGTCTCAAATAAATAAATAAACAAAATAAAATGAGTTAATATATTTAACATCGTAGAGCAAAAGAAGTACTCAGTGAATGCCAGCTATCTATGGACATTATTATAGCCTTGTTTTCAAGGAAGAAAGCCTACTCACTCTACCCTACAAGAGTATCGCATTCTCTCAATATTAATTTAATTGCACATTTAAAAATAACAAAGAGAGCAAAATTGGATTGTTTGTAACACAAAGGATAAATGCTTGAAGGGATGGACACCTCATTTTCCATGATGTGATTATTATGCATTGCATGCCTTTATCAAAATATCACATGTACCCCAACAAATACATACACCTACTATGTACCCACCTTCCTTTATCCTTTTTTTTTTTTCCTTATGTTGCCTGGGGGTGAAGATGGCGGTAGCAGGGCCAGTTCTCGCATATCCCAACATGCTCTGGGGAGTGGCAGCTGACCTCTGTTGCTTACCTCTTTTTGTGTTTAGAATGTGGGGTACTTTGTGCCTTTGGTTCTCAGCTTTGTGCCTCAGCCACCATCCTGAGACAAGAGGAAAAAGCCCATTTGGCAGGCTGTCATGTCACTTTATGAGCTTAAACATTCAGCCTTCCAACATGGCTTACTTTCTGCATGATCAGAGAAAGGACACACATAACCCAGTTTAATACAGTGTTTGTCAAAACAGAAGGCAGGATGCCTTGGCCTCTGTCTAGTATTATGTAAATATTCAAAATTCTTTTTCTTTTTTAAAAAAAAAACTCCCATGAACACAAAGCTCTTTAACCTTGCCTTTCTTCTACCTATTCTCCAGGGAGTTGAGTGGGTCAGAACATTTTGAAAATCATCGTTTTAAATATCAAGTTCATATTTTAAATTCTACATTTTTCATACTTTCTGCTGTTACGATTTAAGTCTCATTTCCCAAAGCAGGCTTCTTAACTTGTTAGCTATAAGCAAATTGAACTACTGGTGCTTTTTTGCTTTTTTAATGTTTATTTATTTGTTGGGGGTTTTGTTGTTGTGTTACTGTTTATTTCAGTTAAAAGCTTTTCTTAAGTTGTGTTTGGCATTTTCTTCTGGGGAGAAGGAAAATTTCAAAAACAAGACCAAAGAAATAACAAACTCGCAGTTAGCATAAAATAATAACAAGTAGAAAATTTTGGCTGAAACCTCTATATTCACTAAGTTTTCCAGAGGCAAATGTTATAGCTAATCACTTCCATATTTGCCTGGAAAATAGTTTGATCCTTGTGAGTCTTTAGTATTCAGCTCTTTGGTAGGAAATTTAATGTAAGCAAAAAGCTTCTTTCCAAATAGGGCTAAAATCTGCTTACTTTAATAAAAGTGTTGTACTATATACTTGACTACAAGATGTAAACTTTATAACAACATTGAACTAATTTTAGATAATCATTTTCTCATTGTTTTGCTTCTTGTTTAATTGCCAAAACAGGATCCTTTTTATAATTTAGCATGTATATGAACGCATGTGCTTCTGAATCTTGAAAATAAATATATGAATAAAGCCTAAATCATTACAAAGGTAAACATCTCACCAAAGCAGGAGTATATGGTTGGTCCCAACCATGTGAAGGCTTTATAAAATGACTAAGGTTCTTTCTTTTCTTTTCTCTTCTGATGTCTATGGCCTATTCACCTACTTAATGTGCAATATATTTTATCTGTAACAAAACAAGAGAGTTGTAAATTTGGCAATCTAGTATCAAAACAATGAACATTTGTTTTTAAATCTTTAAACATCTTTAAAATATGCTACAAGAATGGAATTATCCAATAAGAAAAAAATTTTTTGTTAAGGAAATTAACAAAGCGATAAGGGTAAAAGTGAAAGTTGATGATGTTATAGTATTTTTATTCAAATGTTTGTAGACGGCTCTTCTTGAGATTGTTTATAGTGACCACTACTTCAATCATCCTAAAACCTAGCTTTCTATGCATCTGAACAATAGAGAGGTCCCCATTTGCCACGTTCTCTAAGTCTGTACAGATCAACCTAGGTGAGACCCAATGGGTATTAATTTACATCACCCTCAAGTGGCTTAAGGAACAGACATCACCATTTGGCAGGGTGTGGTGGCTCACACCTGTCATCCTTTCACTTTGGAGGCCGAGGCGGGCGGATGGCCTGACCTCAGGAGTTTGAGACCAGTCTGGCCAACATGGCAAAATCCAGTCTGTACTAAAAATACAAAAAAATTAGCCAGGTGTGTAGGTGCGTGGCTGTGATCCCAGCTACTCAGGAGGCTGAGGCAGGAGAATCGCTTGAACCCGGGAGGCGGAGGTTGTAGTGAGCCGAAATAGCACCATTGCACTCCAGCCTGGGCGAAAGAGCAAGACTCTGTCTCAAAGGAAAAGAAAGAAAGAAAGAAAGAAAGAAAGAAAGAAAGAAAGAAAGAAAGAAAGAAAGAAAGAAAGAAAGAAAGAAAGAAAGAGAAAGAAAGAAAGAAAGAAAGAAAGAAAGAAAGAAAGAAAGAAAGAAAGAAAGAGATATCACTTTTTGGTGACAAAGGGGTAGCTACATTTGCTTCAGTGTTCAAAGAAATACCACAGCAAAAAAGAATTAAGGGATGAAAAGAATAGCAGAAGCTTGCAGTTTTTAGCAAAAACATCTAAGAATGTATGGACTTTTAGAAACTTCAGTGGGTTAGTAAAAAATCTAATAAGGCTAAGAGATTATAAGATTTTGACAAGATTATGGGTGCAGCACACCAACATGGCACACATATACATATGTAACAAACCTGCATGTTGTGCACATGTACCCTAGAACTTAAAGTATAATAATAAAGATTTTTACAAGATTACTATTTTGGGTTCATTTTCAGATGTCCAGAATGATTTATCATGCTCTAAGTCAGGATAACCTGTAGTAACTTTGGTGTTAACATTTCTGCTTTCATTTTAGCTTCATGGGTGAGATAAATTTTACTATTCCGTCTGATAAAACTGTAAGTTCCACCTAAATATACTGTTATTAACAGACTACTCATAACTTGTTTTTTTTAAGATTGTTTTCTACAAAACTCAGAAATTAGAAACTAAGCTCACACCTGTAATCCCAGCCCTTTGGGAGTCTGTGGTGGGAGGATAGGATTGTTTGAAGCCAGGAGTTCGAGACCAGCCTGGGCAATATAGTGACACGCCCCCATTTCTTAAAAAAAATGTAAAAGAAAAAAGAAGAAAGAAACAAAAAACTAGATTCTTATTTCACTCCCCTTTTTTCCTCGATGATTATATCAAGGATTCAGGTGGCAAATTTTAGCAAAGGAAATAAAACTTTCCTAATATCCACTGGAAGATGTACAAGATGCAATTTTAAAACGCTGATTTCTATACCATGTGTTATCTGTCTCCAGTGATACTGAGTAGTCTCATTCAGAGGCTCCCTAAGGCGGGGGGAGAAAAAGACACATAATGAATGTTACATTACCTTGTTTTAAAAACAGATTGTTCAGAGATTTTCAATGATGGGTATAAGCTCAGTGGATTTTACAAAATCAAACCTCTCCAGAGCCCAGCAGAATTTTCTGTTTATTGTGACATGTCCGATGGAGGAGGATGGACTGTAATTCAGAGACGATCTGATGGCAGTGAAAACTTTAACAGGTGTGCTAATTATGATGTAAGACTTTATATGTAGCAGCAAATGTGAGATTTATAAGTCAAATATTTTGATCATATCCTGAAGCCTATTAATTAGACAGAATTTCAATCTCTCTAAAGAAGAATACTGAAAATGAATTAACTAATCAAGAAAATATTGGAGGTGGTGGTAGCAGGGGGTGGGTGGTGGTCGCTTTGGTACCACAAATGGAGTTTGCTCTAATCGGCTTCCACTTTACCTTTTTTAGAGGATGGAAAGACTATGAAAATGGCTTTGGAAATTTTGTCCAAAAACATGGTGAATATTGGCTGGGCAATAAAAATCTTCACTTCTTGACCACTCAAGGTAAGGTTTGAATGATGTCAGATTTATTTGAAATATAATAAAAACAACACTAAAATTTTTTTTTAACCAAATTATAGGCAATGGAACTAATTCAATAATTGCTATGATTTGCAGATGGCAGTGATAACTTTTGGGCAATAATCCCAAATGTAAAATGTGGCTGCCTAAAATTAGAAACAGAAAAAAAAGCTAGAATTGGGTTGCGGGGAATTGTTTTCACATATATATTTATGAGAAATATCTAAATATATTTATAGATATATATACATTCTATACATAGTATATATGTAGCTATATATAGATATATAGAATATAAGTCGCTATATGTATCTATAGATATATATAGAATATATATATATTCTACTTCTGAAAAGGATATATAATGTCATAATTATTCCTTTTTGATGCCTTGAGTTCCTGGAGATTATATATGCTGTATCAGTTACCTAATGTCACAATAATAACGTGTAACAATCCTCTTCCAAAGCTTAGTGGCTTAAAATCAACAACCATTTATTACTTCTCACAAATCTGCAGGTTGGCTGGGTGATTTTGCTGATCAGGGCTGGGCTCTGCTGATCATGGCTGGGCTTGCTTATGAGTCTGCCATCAACTTCCTCACTGAAGTTGCTGCTCTGGGATGGAAGGATTCAACCTGGCTCCATAGGGTCTCTCATCTTCCAGCTAGCTAGCCTGGACTTGTTTTTGTAGCACAGGCAGGGTTCCACAAAAAAGAGTGGATGTATATAAGTCTCTTGAGATCTAGGCCCAGAATTGGCATGGAGTCATTTTTCTTCTATTGGTGAAAGCAAATCACAGGAGCAGCTCAGACTTTTTTTTAAAAGGAAGTAAACAATAGGAGGAGCTATGAAGACATATTATGAGAGAGAGGTGAACAATTGGGCAATTGGTGCTATTTTTCCAATAAAACACTATAATATATGAAATGTCCATGTTTCCACATACATCTCATCTTTAATGCTGAAATTTTTTCAAAGCTGCAACCAATTTGAAAGAAGTTTCAACCTACCACCTGTATCCTACATTAACATTTTACTTTGCTTGTTTTTGTTACGTATCTATCCGTTTGCCCATTACTCAATCCGTCCATCAATCCATCTTTTCTGTATATATATTTCAAAGTAAATAGCAGACATCTGGATGTCTCCCTATATACTTTTAAATTCTTATCTTTAGAGTTTAATATTTGTCTAAAATATCATTGTTTTGATAACGACTTTTCCCAGCTTCTATCTCCCATGTTCTTTTGCTCCAATCCATTGTCTTCCCTACCTCTGTTGTAGTCTGAGATTATCATCAGTCCCACTCAAGTCTGATCCTGAATCCTTCATAAAAGGCAACTGTAATGCCCAAAAAAGCATGCTAAGTTACACTGCAATTGCATTAAAAATAAACAGCTGGGCATGGTGGCTCATGCCTGTAATCCCAGCACTTTGGGATGCTGAGGTGGGTGGACCCCTTGGGGCCAGGATTTCGAGACCAGCCTGGCCAACATGGTGAAACCCCATCTCTACTAAAAATACAAAAATTAGCCAGGCATGGTGGCACAGCACTGTAATCCCAGCCACTTGGGAGGCTGAGGCAGGAGAATTGCTTGAACCCAAGAGGCGGAGGTTGCAGTGAGCCAAGATTGCGCCAATCCACTCCAGCCTGGGTGACAGAGCAAGACTCTGTCTCAAATAATAATAATAATAAAGTAATTAAGATAAAACAAAAGTTCCTTTGTTCCATCCAAGTTCTGGAAAGCTATTGGTGTTTCTATATTTATAGTAGTAGGCTTATGGTTATAAAGTTCTTTGAGACACTAGAATGATAAACATTAGACAG
Organism: Homo sapiens; assembly: GCF_000001405.40. Taxonomy (NCBI): domain Eukaryota; kingdom Metazoa; phylum Chordata; class Mammalia; order Primates; family Hominidae; genus Homo; species Homo sapiens. The sequence goes on along the minus strand of NC_000008.11, from coordinate 17,872,170 downwards.
GATGAGTAATCCTAGAAACCTTATACTTTCTTTGTATGTCCTTCTTATGATCAGTGCTCTCTAAATTTACATAACGCTTCCTTTCCTTCAACATATCTATTATTCTAGTTTTAAGTGTTTTATGCCAGATATATAAAATTTGCCATACCAACTTCTGTTTCATTTGCACATTGATATTTATCTGGTTTCTTATTGAAACTATGAAAACCCCAGAGCAGTAACCCTTGGCTCTTTCTAAATATATGAAATTCAAACGTATTATTTTTTAAGTTATTATGATGTACATATTTTCCCAGAGGAACTTTGCCAACAAACCTGTTCCTTTTCATATATCAACTTGGTACTCAGGCTGGCTAATCTCGTTGGAGAAAAAACGTGTTTTTCAGTTCCTGGGCCCCCACCCACGTATCCCATCAATCCAGACAATAGCCAGTGTTTTTGTCTCTGCATTCTTTAATTATGAGAGCATTACGGCTAATGAATTAATGAATTACCTCTGAGAATAGCTTTATCCCCACTACATAAATCTCAACTAGAAGTAGTGGCAATAAAATTGATTTAGAAATGGTAAATATAATTTGTTTACTTATTGAACAAAGAGACATTTCAATGTTAGCCAAAAAATTGAGTCTTTATGTCTCTGTTATAATAGAAGTTTTTTTTTTTTGTTTTTTTTTTTGAGACAGATTTTTGCCTGTTGCCCAAGCTGGAGTGCAGTGGCACAGCCTTGGCTCACTAAAACCGCTGACTCTTGGCTCAAGCAATTCTCATGCCTCAGCCTCCTGAGTAGCTGGGATTATAGGCGCACACCACCACACCCAGCTAATTTTTGTATTTTTAGTAGAGACGGTGGTCTCACCATGCTGACCAGGATGGTCTCAAACTCCTGGCTTCAAGTCATCTGCGTGCCTTAGCCTCCCAAAGTGCTTGAATTACAGGTATGAACCACCGCATCTCGTCTGTAATAGAATATTTTTAAAGACAGTTGACTTAGCCTGCCTTGCTGCTCTTATACACTCTACAGTCTTTTCTCCTGTGACCTTTACTACCTTGAGAGAGCTCCCTGGGGCAAGGAAATTGTGGTGCTAAATCAACAAGCCCAAGAGAGGCCCGCATCACCTCTTAAAGGGACTCCAGTCTTGAGGAATCCAGCATTCCCTGCCCCAACAGCCTTGAGTTTGTTTATAGGACTCCTTCAGGATGTTCTCGTCCTGGTGTGTGCACCCTTAAGCTTGAGGGGAGGCTAAAAAATGGCTTTTTTTTTTTGAGACAGAGTCTCACTCTGTAGCCAGGCTGGAGTGCAGTGGCGCGATCTCGGCTCACTGCAACCTCTGCCTCCCGGATTCAAGCAATTCTCCTGCCTCAGCCTCCTGAGTAGCTGGGATTACAGGCACGTGCCACCATGCCCAGCTAATTTTTGTATTTTTAATAGAGACAGGGTTTCACCATGTTGGCCAGGATGGTCTCGATCTCCTGACCTTGTAATCCACCCAACTTGGGTGTGAATAGAACTTGGATATGCAGCCTGGGATGTCCACAAGTGGATCCAAAGCCCCTTGCTATAAGTGATGGAGATGGGGATGGAAAGAGAGAAGAGGCCAACCAGAGATGGGGCCTAGGTGATAGGACTATTCAGGGACTCTCTTTCCCAGTGCCTCCATGGTCTGGCTTGAAACTCCAAGGAAAGTGAGGCTCTAAATTCTAACCCGACCTTACAGGTCATTGTTATATCTTATTTATCAAAGTAGGAGGATAGAACACATGTGATCTAATAATTTGATTTATAACATTTGGTGCCCCTGACAAGAGTTCTGTTTCTGAAAAAGGAATAGTCTTTGTTATTTCCAAACAATGGGAAAAAAAAGATTACTTGAAGGTAGCAATTATTTTAATCATTTTAAAAACATAATGCTCTTATATCGCCTAGAATTTTTACAGTCATTAAAGTATATCTTTAATGTTTAGAGATTTTTTGTCATCATATATCATTCTTTAGCATATATAAAAGATAATATGTACCCAATACATTGTATTCTTTTTTTTGTTTTTTTGTTGTTTTTTGCGACGGAGTCTCGCTCTGTCGCCCAGGCTGGAGTGCAGTGGAGCAATCTCGGCTCACTGCAAGCTCTGCCTTCTGGGTTCACGCCATTCTCCTGCCTCAGCCTCCCAAGTAGCTGGGACTACAGGTGCCCGCCACCATGCCCGGCTAATTTTTTGTATTTTTTAGTAGAGACGGGGTTTCACAGTGTTAGCCAGGATGGTCTCTATCTCCTGACCTCGTGATCCGCCCGCCTCGGCCTCCCAAAGTGCTGGGATTACAGGCGTGAGCCACCGCCCCGGCCCCATTGCATTCTTAAAATGCTTTCACATGTAGATATCAGTTCTTCAGAAATACCTTTTTACTCAGAGTCATTGATGTTAGTATATTTTCCAGTAATTATCATCATCTCTGCCATTGAGAATGTTGGTGGTACAGCATTTCTCCAGAATGTTTCCTTATTGCCTCTGAAATTCTCTTCCAATGACATCCACTCTACATACTTTGATGCTAAGAGTCTCTTGATCTTATGAGCCAGTATCAAACGAAGGTTTTCGGATAACAATTAGGATTCATATTTCTTCCTCAAATTATTCTTAAAGGGTTTCCTGGCTGATCTTTTATGCTATCAGGAAAATAACCAAGTTCAGGCATATGCAGGCAATGGCAACTACATTTTACAAACCTAGTGGCTCAGCTACTAGAGATTACACAATGTCATTAATAGCCACCATTTATATTCAAGATCAACATTCTTACTGAAATCAAGAAAAAGAGGTCAAACTATTAAAGGTAAAACGTCGACCCTTTCATTGTTAGATTGCTTTAAGTAATCACTTATTTTTTCTGTTGTTCATTATTCAGTGAATTGCACTAGGTTTTACCTCTAAGAGATCTAGTAGACATTTTTTAAATTTAATATTGTATCCATCATTTTTTTTCAAATAAATTACACGATAAAATGTTCATGTTATATATACAAAGGAGTCACTGTTTAATCTTTGAAAACTGATTCTTGGCCAAGGGAAATGGTAAAATTAAAATAGAGCTGTGAATTATTTTTAAACCGCAGTAGTCCGTGTCATGTCACACATTTTTAAAAATTATAATTGCTTGTTTCTTTTTTAGAAGACTACACTTTAAAAATCGACCTTGCAGATTTTGAAAAAAATAGCCGTTATGCACAATATAAGAATTTCAAAGTTGGAGATGAAAAGGTACTACAATTTTCTAAGAAGTAAAACCGTGAATAAATGCTTAAAATGTGCAATATAACCCTGGAGTCAGTGGAAATAAAAATATACAATAGAACCTGTTCTTTTGTTTATGAAATAAACTTAATTTTAAAATGGTCATAGAGGAACTCCACTGACAGCAGAAATGCCCTTTTTCTTTAGAATTTCTACGAGTTGAATATTGGGGAATATTCTGGAACAGCTGGAGATTCCCTTGCGGGGAATTTTCATCCTGAGGTGCAGTGGTGGGCTAGTCACCAAAGAATGAAATTCAGCACGTGGGACAGAGATCATGACAACTATGAAGGGAACTGCGCAGAAGAAGATCAGTCTGGCTGGTGGTTTAACAGGTTTGATGTCTTATGAGCATAGTTGTAATGGAGTTGATGATATCTCACTGATAGACATTAATTATCAATATAATATGTATGGTAATGTTAGTCTTTATTTATAATATTAGTATTATTAAGTAATCATTCTCATTAGAATTCTTCAGCAATGAAGTCGTTTTGAGGATTTGTTCATTGTGTACATTAGTAAAGTGTAAATGTCATAGAAATAAATTATTACTTTTACAAAGATCATTTGCAAACTGAATTATGGATGAGTTATAAATAGAAGGCCACAAATTCACACAAAGAAAGAGAGAGCATGTATATATATGGAGACTATTTGGCATCCTAATAACCAACTAGTTCTTCACCTGACCATATCACACAAAAGAGCCACCGTTATTGCTGTAATGCTTCTGTATAGTACTACTTTTCAATCACTATGGCTTTCATTAATTCATTGAGTCTAAGCCTCTCCCAATACAGAAATTTCCTTTACAATAATCCAGAAACCTAATTCTACCCTCTGACTGAATACATTCATGTTACTTTATCAGCAAATTCATTCCGTTTTTGATTGTATATAGTTGCTTCTTTTTTTACTGATACAAAATATTTTATATATTTCTGGGGTACATGGGCTAATTTTTGCATTTTTGGTAGAGATGGGGTTTTGCCATGTTGCCCAGGCAGGTCTCGAACTCCTGGCCTCATGTGATCCACCTACCCCGGCCTCCCAAAGTGTTGGGCGTGAGCCACCGCACCCTGCCGAATTCATAAGTTTTAAATTGCATGTCATTCTGAGCAGAGATTCGCACCATTGGATTCTTTCTGCCCAGGAGGTGGGTCACCCCTCTGTCTAGCGTATCCACGCTGAAAGCCCTCCCTGCCCCAAGACACTTAGTAGAAGTCTGAGTTATCAGATCCAGTGTTGGAGTTTCATAGTGCTCGTGTTCGAATCATGCTTATTTGATTTAATAATGGTCCCAAAGCACAAGAGCTGTAATGCTGACATATTGTTATATAATCATAATCTTTTATTATTAGTTGTTGTTAATCTCTTACTGTGTCTAATTTATAAATTAACTTTGTCATAGGTATGTATATTATAGGAAAAAACAGAGAACTACTATAGATGGTTTTTTTCCTTCCTACACCCAAAAGATTTTTCCCCCTAGCGTTCTGAAATTTTACAGTGACATACACTGTCGTGGTCTTCTTTTGGTTTACTGCAGTGGGTACTCAGTGGTTCTTTTGAATCTATATCATGTCTTTCAGTTTGGTAAATTTTATTTTCTTTATCTGCTCGTTACTCACTTCGTAGCTGTTTCGGTTATCAGACTGAAAAAGCATAGTATCAATATATAGAATTTGGTATTATCTGTAGTTTCAGGCATCCACTAGGGGTCTTAGAACGTATCCCCTGCAGATAAGGGAGTACTACTGCTGTTGTAAAAATAGTCATCTTTTCTATATTTTGCTTTTTTAAAAAAACATTTGAGTCCATTTAAGATTTGATCATTTATAAAGGAACTGGAGTATTTCCAGCAGTGTGAAGGAGAGAAACAAATTTCACTCTCCTGCTTTGCAAATTGAAGGTGATGATGGTGTTTTCCTTAGTGGTTTTCCTGTTATTTTAAAAACCGTCTTCTTCACCTGTTCCTACTCCTTTCTTTCCCCCTTGTTCTTCTAAGTCAGCATGACATAAAACTTAACGTGTAATTCATGAAGTCATCTGCAAGCATCACCAATGTTTGATTTTGAAAACAATTCCATATACAGAAATAATTACTAATAGTATCCTGAGATCAAAACCATGTACTTTATCCAGCTGACTGGCTTCTAAGGCATCTGAATGAAAACTACCATGTATATTAATGTGGGCAAAGGAACGATTTACCTGACTTTAAAGAAATGGGTTCAGGGAGCACAAAGAAAGGCCATTCATTAGGTGGAGCCTGCCACAGAGCCCACATTATCCTTGGAATCAAAGGGGTTGATAAGGCTGTGCAATTGGAAAATCAGTAGGCATTAAGGGAGAGAAAGTAGATTGTTTTAGAAACTTGGTGCTACTTCTACCATGCCTACTATCAGTGAGTTCGACTATCATCTTTTCTTCCTTCTTACTGTTGCTTTTTTTCTGTCCCATAGTTCTTCTAATTTACATGAAATGTTGGCACTTCATAAATATTACCCACCTATAAAATGTTTTTTTCCACATAGCAAACCAATCACTGCGAGTTGATGTCTTTTCTTTGTTAGTGTAGCATTTCACGTGAGTGTTCACAGCCACTTCTTCACCAAGGAAGACCCAATCATCCCCTAACCTAGTTTCAAATCCAGGCTGTTCTAAAAACTAAACGATGCTAGAAAACTGGTCTCAGAATAGTGAAGGTTTCTTATGTTCATCACAGAGTCAGTTTCCTAATGGGATTCAAATGATAGACCAAATATAAAAATATAGTTAGCAGATGTCTCTAGATAGACAAATATATGCCAAAATATATATTCTGGAGACTCAATTTACAGTATTTTCTTTTTTTAACATTACTTTCCATGCTGTTTTAAAAACACAGTAGGCTTTGACATTTGCAGACTTGACATACATATTTTCAATTAATTACGTCCATTTAAGTTAGGAGGACTTCGAGAACGCTCAGTAGGAGTGAATCATTAAGCTGATAAGTGATTCAAGCCAGCCACTCAGCCTTTACGGGTAGATTATATGCTTTTTTGATTCAATAATTTGGGTTTTTCCATAGATGTTCAGAACTACCTCTTGTGAATGTTCTCCTTCTATCCTAATTCTGACATCTTTTCATTAATTTTATCAATAAAGAAGTATATGGCAATTAATTTCATAACAACACACATAAACTTATTGCATACTGTTACATGTAAATTATACATATCAAGGACAAAATTTACAGACTCCAAAGGAGGAAAGAAACATTTTTATATTGTCGATAACCTAACCAGCTTATCTAGATTGGTGCAATATATGTAAAAAATTAACTCAGCAACTAGGAAAAAATGATTATTGGTTGATGGGTGGCAAAACTTTAAATGGTGATTTAGGTTTGTTTGCTTACCCTTGAGATTGAAATAACTGATAGGCTAGCAATTTAAAGAAGGGGACATACGGAGTTTGAATTATGAAAGCTAAGTCTTAGCAGCAGAGGAATGAACGTGTGAGTGCAAATTATCCAGGAAAGCCAGTAGTAGAGCACCTTGCCCACGACTTGCTTTGCTGACACTCACCTTAGCTCTTGTTAAGTATGAAATTAACACTGTTCTGAGTCAGGAGGTTGTAAGGCTGGAGGTTACAAGGATGCGTTTTTGTTTGCTTGTTTTAATTTTTTGTTTAAAGAAAATCAAAAATTGAAATGCTTATTTTTCAATGCACTGTGAGTGGCCTGGGTTGTATTTTCAGATTTGTAATGGCAGTAAAACTCACCATTTTAAAATACCCATCTCTGAGGCCAGGCGCAGTGGCTCACACCTGTTATCCCAGCAGTTTGGAAGGCTGAGGCAGGAGGATTGCTTGAGCTCAGGAGTTGGAGACCAGCCAGGGCAACACAGTGAGACACTGTCTCTATTATTAAAAAAAAATTAAAAAATAAAAAATAAAATACAATAGCCATCTGTTGTAGAAATTTCTCAGCTTTTGGAAACTAGTAAATATTTACTTGTCTGAAAAATGGCAGAATTCATAGTTCAAAAATTTTGAGCATTTGTAGCAAAATAAAAGGGATTCTGAACAATATTTTTCCAGTCTGATTGTTGTTTTCTTTTTTTTTCTCCCTTCCACTAGGTGTCACTCTGCAAACCTGAATGGTGTATACTACAGCGGCCCCTACACGGCTAAAACAGACAATGGGATTGTCTGGTACACCTGGCATGGGTGGTGGTATTCTCTGAAATCTGTGGTTATGAAAATTAGGCCAAATGATTTTATTCCAAATGTAATTTAATTGCTGCTGTTGGGCTTTCGTTTCTGCAATTCAGCTTTGTTTAAAGTGATTTGAAAAATACTCATTCTGAACATATCCATGCGCAATCATGATAACTGTTGTGAGTAGTGCTTTTCATTCTTCTCACTTGCCTTTGTTACTTAATGTGCTTTCAGTACAGCAGATATGCAATATTCACCAAATAAATGTAGACTGTGTTAATATTTATTGAATCCCTGTGTGCAAAGGGCTCTGATAAGAGCTTATGTCAGACAAAACATAAAAAGCATGGATTATATACCATGACTTAGGAGATACAAGCATAAATGCATAATAAATTATGAATGCAATTGGCAAAACACATGACAAAATCCAGCAAATAATGGATTGCCGAATCAACCGCAGAGACAATAAATATTATGAGTTGGGATTTGAACTCAGGTTTTGGATTACAGAGTGGAAACTTTTAAGCACAACCCAGGATCTTAATCACTACAAAACGCTACTCGTATTTTTAGGAAGTTTATGTAGGTTATACACTTCTCTCACAGGGCTCATTTTAATTCTTATGCCAATCCTGTGAGGTTATTATTATGTCCATTTAACAGAGCTGAGAATCAGTGGGTCTGAGTTTTTGTGACTGCTCCAAGTTACAAAGTAGGGGAACAAGGCCTCAAATCCAAGTCTTCTGATGCTAAATCAAATATCTTGCCACCATCCTATAGCTTCTTCTGGGTAGAACTTGGATTGGTGCAGAATAGGGAGAGAACGTTTCAAATGAGAGTAAAAGATACTCCAAAAGGCTGGGCACGGTGGCTCACGCCTGTAATCCCAGCACTCTGGGAGGCTGAGGCAGGTGGACCACTTGAGGCCAGGAGTCTGAGACCAGCCTGGCCAACATGATGAAAACCCATCTCTACTAAAAATACAAAAATTAGCTGGGCGTGGTGGTGTGAGCCTGTAATCCCAGCTACTCGGGAGGCTGAGGCAGGAGAATTGCTTAAACCCAGGAAGCAGAGGTTGTAGTGAGCTGAGATCGTGCCAACCTGCACTCCGACCTGGCCAACAAAGCGAGAAGCCATCTCAAGAAAAAAAAAAAAAAAGATACTCTAAAAAATATTTGTGTGTCAACTGTGTGTCAGGCACAGAGGATACAGTTAAAGCCCACACGGAGCTTAGTTTTTTGGTAAACACATACACTAATCATAGAATCACAAAATATACATAATTATAAAAGCTGATATGTATGAAGTAAAGATATGTGCCTGGGGAATGTTTACCAGGAGGATCTGACCTGGCTTTGGGGTAGGAGATCAGAAAAGCTTCCCAGAACAACTGACTTTTTGAGCTGAGACCTTTTAAGAAGGTGTACGTGGGGAGATATTGCAGGCAGAGGGAATCATGTGTGTTAAGTACACAGAGCAGGAAAGTGCTTGGGAACAAAAGCTTAGAAAGCCAATATAGTTGAGTGATCCTTAAATCCTTAAGCCAAGGATTCTGCCACTTAATGGCTATGTGACGTTGGGTAGGCAACTTAACTTCTCTGAGCCCTAGCTATCTCATCTACAAGGTAACGATTACAATAGTACCTGCCTCATAGGGGTGCTTTGAGAATTATAAAACTATAGCACTTGGCATAGTGCCTCGCACAAAGTAAGCATTCAATAAGAACTAGGTGTGTTGACTTGTGAAGTAGGCATTAAGGGACAGTAATGATATAGAGGCCCTTGAAATCATAGGCCACATAAGGATATTAAGGTTAGTTGTACTTTATTCTCTAAATCAGTGTTTCCCAAGCGGCACTTCTCAGTCTTTAGTGTCATACAAACCAACTGAAGATCCTGTTAAAATGTAACTCTGCTTCCAGGATGGGGCCTAATATTTGGGTTTTCTAAGAAGTTTCCAGACAATGCAGATACTGCTGGTCTAGAAATTACACTTTGAAAAGCAAAAAGCTAGAGAGCCATAGTTCTGTGAGACATTGGTAGTTCAGTACAGAAAGAAGAAAAGGGCTGCCTGATCAAATAAATTTAGGAGATGACAAATTCAGCAGAATTCCACAGGTTTCTTCTCTTGGGAATTTCTCAGTTCTCTAATTTTTCTAATGTGCGTTCTGAAGCTCCAAGAAGGACATATAGTATGTAGCATTTTTATATCTAATTAAGAGTATGTTCTGGTGCGAGGTATAAATTGCCTGACTACGGAAGTCCAAACAAATAAAGATTTCTTCATCTTACGTAGTGAGAACTCAGGAGGTAAGTGGTTGCTGACCTATGTTCAGTGCAGCGTGGAGGCTGATGACCCTGCAATTCATTTAGCCCATCCTTCAAAATTGCAAATTATCTACCACGGTTCCTGCTTTGAGTTCGTGTTGAAAGCAGTAAGAAAAGCGAAGGGTCAACAGACTTCAGTTATGCCTTGTTGGTCAGAATTGTATCATATGTTCACTCTGTCTGGAAGTATGATCAGGAGAAAGAATATTTATTTTTATGATCTCTGTAGAATGTGCAGGCAAAGGAGAAATGTTTGCCAGGGTTCTTGATTGTTTTTCAATGTGGTCTTGTGGGAACAGTGTTCCATAAAACACACGTTGGTAAGCTATAAATAATGGATCATCAGTGACAATTTTAAATATGGGCTTAATTGCTCAAGTAGTAGCCTGAAGAACTCACACAATTAGGAGATCAAAAGAAGAAAAGCTTTTAAAGGAGAAAAAAAATGATTCCACAGAGAAGTGGGAGGGGAGCTAAACAAATTATGGCGTCAAACCTCAGTATGATAGTTTTTCAATGCAGAAGGAGTGATTTTAAAAATTTAAAATGCCATAAAATAATGGAAGAGAAGTTCTAATGAAATATCTTCGGACTTAGTGATAATGCTATTTGTGTTATTAAATCCGTTTCAGTGGAATGGTAGGGAGCTCTAGGCCAGGAAATAAAAGCAGTTAGAGAGAATAGATTGGGGCCTGGAGCAGTGGCTCACGCTTGTAATCCCAACACTTTGGGAAGCCTAGGTGGGTGGATCACTTGAGGTCAGGAGTTTGAGACCAGCCTGGTCAACATGGTGAAACCCAATCTCTACTAAAAATACAAAAATTAGCTGGGCATCATGATGCATACCTGTAGTCCCAGCTACTCGGGAGGCTGAGGCAGAAGAATCGCTTGAACTGGGGAGGTGGAGGTTGCAGGGAGCCGAGACTGTGCCACTACACTCCAGCCTGGGCGACAGAGTGAGAGACTCATCCAAAAAATAAAAAAGAGAGAGAATAGAGATTGGTCATTTGAGGAGTTTGGATGTAAAATAGGGAAACTGGACTGATTTTTTCTGAATTAGGAAGACCCCAGCCTAAAATAAATGTCTCTGAAATTTCACCATTAGTGAGCTATTTATTAGACTTTATCACTTTTTGAAATGCAAAATGCTTTTAATTTGTATCAGCTGATTCCACTTTAAGGTCAACAAACTCGTGAGTGTTTTGAATTTTTTTTTTTTTGATAGAGCAAAGTGTAGAGAAAGTGCAAGAAGCATGAACAGAGAATCCACTGGATTAGAAACTCTTTATTTTAGAGGCTGCATTCATCTTGTTGACAGTTTTATCTCCAGCTCTCCGCACAGTGTCTGACACATGACAGGATCTCGAATGTTCGTTGACTGACTGATTGAGGAAATAAGTAAAAAAAGAAACCATATAATGAATGTAAAGTGTATAGTTCATAGAAGAGTGCTACTTCATTTGATATTACAGAACTTATGGCCACTGGTTATTTCTATGAATATCAAAATATTGGATCCTACAAAATCAGTGTCTAAAAATAGTATCAAATTTAAGATCCCAGATACTTACTTTTGCTTTTTCTTTCCTCATTGCTAGTAAAGAATTTACAAGGGCCAGGCGCAGTGGCTCACGCCTGTAATCCCAGTACTTTGGGAGGCCAAGGCGGTCGGATCACCTGAGGTCAGGAGTTCGAGACCAGCCTGGTCAACATGGTGAAACCCCGTCTCTACTAAAAATACAAAAATTAGCCCGGTGTGGTGGCACACGCTTGTAATCCCAGCTGCTCGGGGGGCTGAGGCAGGAGAATCACTTGAACCCGGGAGGTGGAGGTTGCAGTGAGCCGAGATTGTGCCATTGCACTCCAGCTTGGGTGACAGCGTAAGACTCTACCTCAAAAAAAAAAAAAAAAAGAAAAAAAGAATTGACACATGAAGATATCCTATATAATCTTATGCACATAGCAAAGTTTTTGTTGGTATTTTATCAGGACTATGAAAAGTAAGTTATATCCTCATTGATACTTAAAAAAGATATACATATCTCATATATATGTGGAAAAAATCTGCATTTTATGTGATAGTGGTTACCTCAGGGGACTGGGCTTGGAGACGCAATGAAAGGACACTCCTTTTTATATTTCCTACCATTTAATGTTGTGAAATGTTTTATCATATGTGCATAGTACATATTTAAGAATAATACTTTTTATATAAACAAAGTGAATAAAATAGGTTGTTCGTCCTAAAGAAACAAATCAAATAACATTAAGGACATGAGTGTATCTGGTATATTACATGTAGGTTTGGCAATTTAGTTCATTTCAAAAACAAAAACAAAAGTCCTGAAGCTAAATTGCTATCAAGCTGCGCTGTGAATACAGCAGCCACCAATCACATGTGACTCCTGCTTACTTGAAATAAGGCTAGTCCTTATTCAGATGAGCTATAAGTATAAAATACACAATGGATTTTGAAGACATAGTATCCCAGAAAAAGAGAAAATACCTCCACAAATAAGAATAATTTTTATGTTGATTACATTGTTAAATAATACTTTGGATGGATGAGGCTAAATAAAATATATTACTAAAACTAATTAGATCTCTGTATTTGTACTTTTTAAATGCCATTATTAGACACTTTACAATTATATATATTGGCCAGACGCGGTGGCTCATGCCTGTAAACTCAACACTTTGGGAGGCCGAGGTAGCCGGACCACTTGAGGTCAGGAGTTTGAGACCAGCCTGGTCAACATAGCAAAAACCCGTCTGTACTAAAAACACAAAAATTAGCAGGGTGTGGTGGGGCACACCTATAACTCTGAGACCCTGAGGCATGAGAATCGCTTGAACCTGGGAGGTGGAGGTTGCAGTGGGCTGAGACCATGCCATTGCACACCAGCCTGAATGACAGAGCAAGACAGCCTCAAAAAAAAAAGAAAAGAAAAAAAAGAAAGACAGAAATTTTAAAATTACATATATTGCTCTCATTACCAGCTTGTCTTATATTTTTATTTGAACAGTAATGCCAAAGAATTTTCATCTAACCTGTATACAGCGTGCCTACAATCTGCATAGATAGTATATGTCTGTTTAGATGTGACTATTGAGTGAATTAATGTTTTTAAAAAACTAGATATACTTTTCTTTTTAAAAAATATATCCAGGCTGGGTGCAGTGGCTCACGCCTGTAATCCCAGCATTTTGGGAGGCTGACACAGCTGGATCACCTGAGGTCAGGAGTTCTAAACCAGCCTGGCCAACATGGCAAAACCCCGTCTCCACTAAAAATACAAAAATTAGCTAGGCGTGGTGGCGGGTGCCTGTAATCCCAGCTTCTTGGGAGGCTAAGGCAGGAGAATCTCTTGCATCTGGGAGGCGGAGGTTGCGGTGAGCCGAGCCGCCATTGCACTCCAGCCTAGGCGAGAGGAGTGAAACTCCATCTCAAAAAAAAAAAAAAAAAAAAAAAAATCCGCTCCAACAGTTAAAAAAGTAAACCATTTATCAAACACAGTGCTAAGTGTTGCAAATACAGCATACATAAACATGGTTTGCCTTTGAAGAACTTACACCCTACAGGGGAGATGTTTCCTTTTTAAAATGCCATTTATAGAACAATACTGAGGCTATTGTAAGCCCCAGATGTCGCTACAAAGAGGGACAGCTATTGTAAAATCATGTCAAAATAGATTTACCCGGCTTATTAGAAAAAGGCTAGATATTCTTTCGTCTTTCATTCATTCTCTTGTAAGGGGTTCCAAAGAGATTTTTTTCAACTTTTATTTTAGCTTCTGGGGGTACACATGCAGGTTTGTTACATGGGTAAATTGCATGTCACTGAGGGTTGGTGTATGAATGGTCCCATTACCCAGGTAGTGAGAAGAGTACCTAATATGTAGTTTTCCAACCCTCCCTCCTCTAGTAGCCACCACTGTCTAACTTTGCCATCTTTATGTCCATGTATATTCAATGTGTGCAGCTCCCACTTATAAATGAGGATACGTGGTATTTGGTTTTCTGTTCCTGCTTTAATTTGCTTAGGACAATGGCCTCCAGCTGCATCCACATTGCTGCAAATGACATAATTTCATTCCTTTTTATGGCTGTGTAGTATTCCATAGTGTACATGTACCAATTTTCTTTACATAGTCTATCGTTGATGGGCATCCAGGTTGGTTCCATATCTTTGCTATTGTGAATGGTGCTGTGATGAATATATGAGTGCCTGTGTCTTTTTTGTAGAATGATTTATTTTCCTTTGGATATATACCCAGCAGTGGGATTACTGGGTTGAATGGTAGTTATATTTCAAGTTCTTTAAGAAATCTCCAAACTGTAGGCTAGGCACAGTGAGTGACTCACACCTGTAATCTCAGCACTTTGGAAGGCTGAGGCGAGTGAATCACCTGAGATCAGGAATTCAAGACTAGCCTGGCCAACATGATGAAACCCCATTTCCACTAAAATACAAAAATTAGCCAAGTGTGGTAATCTCAGTTACTCAGGAGGCTGAGGCAAGATAATTGCTTGAACCCAGGAGGCGGAGATTGCAGTGAACCGAGATCATGCCACTGCACTCCAGCCTGGGCAACAGAGTAAGACTCTGTCTCAAAAAAAAAAAAAGGGAAAAGAAATAAATATCCAAACTTCTTACTGTTATCCACAGTGGATTAACTAATTTATATTCCTACCAAAATTGTATAAGTGCTCCCTTTTCTCCACAGCCTCATCAACATCCGTTGTGTTTTAGATATATACATACACACACACACACACACACTATATATATATACGTATATATATATACGTATATATATACATATATATACGTATATATATACACGTATATATATGTATATATATACGTATATATATATACGTATATATATATATATACGTATATATATACGTATATATATGTACATATATATACGTATATATATATACACAATGCAATAGCTTTTGGGGTACAAGTGGTTTTTGGTTGCACGGATGAATTGCATAGTGCTGAATTCTGAGTTTTAGTGCGGCCATCACCTGAGTAGTGTACGTTGTGTCCAATATCCCTCAATCCCCTTTCACTCTCCCCACTTCTGAGTCTCCAAGGGCCATTATACCACCCTATGTCCCTTTGCCTACCTATAGCTTAGCTCCTACTTATAACCAAGAGTATATGGTATTTGGTTTTCCATTCCCGAGTTACTTCACTTGGAATACTAGCCTCCAGCTCCATCCAAGTTGCCATAAAAGATATTACTTCTTTCTTTTTTATGGCCAGGTAGTGTGAGTAGTATTCCACAGTGTATATATGCCACATTTTCTTTATCTACTCATCAATTGATGGGCACTTAGCTTGGTTCCATATCTTTGCAACTATGCATTGTGCTGTGATAACCATACGTATGTAATTATCTTTTCGATATAATGAACATCTGTTTTTTTAAATCTTTTTAACAATAGTCATCCTGACTAATGTCAGATGATATCTCATTGTGGTTTTGATTTGCATTTCTCTGATGATTAGTGATGTTGAGGATTTGTTCATATATTTGTTGGCTGCATGTATGTCTTTCTTTCTTTTTTTTTTTTTTTTTTAAGACGGAGTCTCGCTCTGTCACCCAGGCTGGAGTGCAGTGGCGTGCTCTCAGCTCACTGCAAGCTCCGCCTCCCGGGTTTATGCCATTCTTCCGCCTCAGCCTCTCCCAGTAGCTGGGACTACAGGCGCCCACCACCAAGCCCGGCTAATTTTTTTAAAAAATATTTTTAGTAGAGACAGGGTTTCACCATGGTCTCGATCTCCTGACCTCGTGATCCACCCACCCCAGCCTGCCAAAGTGCTGGGACTACAAGCGTGAGTCACCACGCCCAGCTGCGTATGTCTTTCAAAAGAGATTTTTGAATGGTGGCTTCTAACCTCATCATACACATGTTCCTTAAAATTTGCAGACACACACACACATTCACACATAGACCAGCTTGGTTTTGACAAGTCCTAGTGGCTATGGATTAGTGAAATTATATGTTTCTGGTTGTGCATGCATGGCTTGTTTGTATTCATTTCTTTTTATGTAGGTTTGAATACAGTCTAGAAGAATTCTATGTTGGGCACGCCTTGTGCCATAAGACTATGCGATTTGCTCACACATTACAGTATGTGCCAATCATCAAACTCTATAGAAGGAACTGATATGATAGAAATAAAAAACAGATAGGAAACAATAATTTTATTTACTTATTTATTTATTTATTTAGAGACAGGGTCTTGTTTTGTTGCCCAGGTTGGAGCGCCAGTGGTACAATCATAGCTCACCGCAGCCTCAAAGTCCTGGGGTTCAGTGATCCTCCCACCTCAGCCTCCTGAGTAGCTGGGACTACAGGTGTGTGGCATCACATCTGGCTATGAGAACATAATTTTGGATGGAGATTCAGTTATTGTTTTTCCAGTTACTAAGCCCTAGAGACTATTCCAACTTTAAAAATGAGAATTGTTTTTATTATTAATTTTTTATCATTTGTAAATTTTTTAAATAAATATGTTTGTTGCTTTTTAGTTTTCTAATAGGATAAATGGTCTACTTCTGATACTATCGAAAGTTTCTCAGGTGCTGAAGATCAGCATTCATAGCCCAACAAACAACTTGAATTTGGAATGATCACTTCTCTGAAAGTTAGTTTCCTCATCTGTCAAGTGTGGACATTAAAACTGGCTGGAAAAAGTTGTTATGTGAGTTGAATTATGAGATACAGTGAAAAAGCATCTAGCACTGTGTCTGGCAACATAGTAGGTCATATTTAATCTGACTGAAGAGAGATAAATGAAATTATAAGCAACAATTATGCATTTAATATGTTCACGAGCCCAGATATTTACCTCACCACCCAAATTCAAAAATTTTTTGTTTGTTTTTTGAGACAGAGTCTTGCTCTGTTGTCCAGGCTGCAGTGCAGTGGTATGATCTCAGCTCATTGCAACCTCCGCCTCCTGGGTTCAGGCAATTCTCCTGTCTCAGCCTCCTGAGTAGCTGGGACTACAGGCACATGCCACCCCGCCTGGCTAATTTTTTGTATTTTTAGTAGAGATGGGGTTTCACCATGTTGGCCAGGCTGGTCTTGAACTCTTGACCTCAAGTGATCTGCCCACCTTGGACTCCCAAAGTGCTGGGATAACAGGTGTGAGCCACCACGCCCAGCCAAAAACTTCCAATATTAGCAGAAACAATTGTAGAATAAAATAAGAGTAACATGGACATCATATCAATTCTTATTTCAATAAATGCATCTTCTTAACTCCTGATACTTGGGGAACTGACTGTGTGTACGTGATACACTATGTGACACACAGTGGCATGCAATTTGCCTCTAGGAATTAAACAACCAAGTTTGCTCCTCTAAAGGTTTTTTTTAATTTCATATGAGTTTCCTAAATCTAACCTAACTGATCTTGTGATACCAGATGGCTGCTCTTTAATAACACTTAAAAAAAACCACAGTTTATTTTTCATCTGATCACGACATGTTCTTGTAGAAAAATTTAAAATGCAGAAATGTTTAAGGGGGGGAAAGCAAAAACTACTCATCAACCAGAGCTAACCCATGTTACCCTTTGGAGATTATTCTTCGGTTTTTTTCTTTTGCTTTGCTAACAATAGTTAGGGAAATGCATTTAATACGTACATTAAATACATTTAATCCTATGTAATGTAGGATTGTATTTTCCTTCTTTTACTTAATGCAGTACTGTGATTTAACTATATCTACAAGTTATTAAAATATATTTTCATACATAATTTTGAAGTTTCTATAAAATATTATCATAAAGGGTGTGAACCCGGGAGGCGGAGCTTACAGTGAGCTGAGATCGCGCCACTGCACTCCAGCCTGGGCGACAAAGCGAGACTCTGTCTCAAAAAAAAAAAAAAAAAATTATCATAAGGTTCTTCTTCTGATTGTTGACCATTCAAAAATCTTTTAATTATTTTTTAAATATTTAGGCTATTTCCAATTATTTGTTATAACAATGTTGTAATAAATATATTTCTACACAATAATTTTATTTATTTTGTTTTCTGAATTATTTATAAGATAAACTTGCAGAAGTGGAATTGCTGAATACCTTTCCCAAATGTTGTGTCAATTTGACTTTCTTGGGCGGAATAAGAATTTAGGCTTGGCCACCAAAGTAGCCTCATCCCAAATGTTCAAAGATTAGTGTTTTCTTTTAGAAATTACTTTTCAAATTTTTTCATCATTTTAAACTGTATTCAACCATAACTCTAATTTATTTAATATTTTACTCTTTTGAATAACCATAGGCAAATTGTTTTATCCTTTGAAGGAAACATGCTGCCAGTTTGATAATTTAACAATTATTAAGAACTACTCTGTGTGCAAGTATTGTTTTCATATGATGACTTCTTTTCCTCTGGGCAGATACCCAGTATTAATCCACACAGCTACTATCAATCCCAGGAGTGTGATTGCTATCAATGAGTGGATAAAGAAATTGTGGTATATATATATATATATATATATATATATATATATACATATACCATGGAATACTATTCAGCCATAAAAAGGAATGAAATAGGCCGGGCGTGGTGGCTCACGCCTGTAATCCCAGCACTTTGGGAGGCCGAGGCAGGCGGATCATGAGGTCAGGAGATCGAGGCCATCCTGGCTAACAGTGAAACCCTGTCTCTACTAAAAATAAAAAAATTACCCGGGCGTGGTGGCGGGCCCCTGTAGTCCCAGCTACTCGGGAGGCTGAGGCAGGAGAATGGTGTGAACCCGGGAAGCGGAGCTTGCAGTGAGCCGAGATCATGCCACTGCACTCCAGCGTGGGTGACAGAGCAAGACTCCGTCTCAAAAAAAAAAAAAAAAAAAAAAAAGGAATGAAATAACGGCATTTGCAGCAACCTGGATGGAAATGGAGACCATTAGTCTAAGTGAAATAACTCAGGAATGGAAAACCAAACATAGTATGTTCTCACTCATAACTGGGAGCTAAGGTATGAGGATGCAAAGGCGTTAAGAATGATACAATGGACTTTGGGGACTTGAGAAAAAGGGTAGAAGGGGGAATGAGGGATAAAAGACTACACATCGGATATAGTGTATATTGCTTGGGTGATGGGTGCACCAAAATCTCACAAATCACAACTAAAGAGCTTACTCATGTAACCAAACACCACCTGTTCCCCCAAACCCTATGGGGAAAAAAAGAAGAACTACTGTGTGTTAGGTGCTGTGTGAGGTCACAGTGATGTAGCCGTGAGCATAACAGAGTTCCTCCTCTCAAGAAACCGACAGGTCTGGTTTTGGAGAAAGACAAGTAAACACATAGGCAGTTACTCTATACTGAGTGATAAACAAGATGATCTTGGGTTTTGCTATTGCCCAAGAAGATTTGAGTCAAGCTCTTTGGGGTTTACCTTTTGTCTTCACCATTTCCTAGGTGGTCAATTCTTTTACATCTCTGTGTTGAATATTCTCATCTCTAAAATATGAATAATATTATAACTATCCCATGGTAGTGTTGAGAGGATTAAATGAGATAATACCATGCTTGGCACATAAGTATTTCATAAATATTTGCTATGATGATGATAGAGAAGAAGATAACAAAGGAATTTGAAATGGTAAATTGGAGTGCTGTGTGACTTTCACCAATAGTTGAACTTGTAAGACGAGACGAGATGGTCAGAGAAGGTTTTCCAGAGGAGATAGCATATGAAATAAATTGTCAGTCTGCATAAACTATATCTTCCAGAAGAGCCCAGCAGTGCAGGTTTTTAATGTTGCTGGTATTTAGAATACTCAAAAAATGAGGTATTAAAAATTGGTTTAGACATGGTATGGTCCAGTGGGCTCAGGGGAGCCTTAGATTCTGACAACATTCCTCAGGGTTATTACAAACTCAAGGAAAATCTTTCCCTTTTTCCTTTTATTCAGCACAGCTCAGTTTTTAACCTATGTTACGTTGTTCTTGTTTTGTTGTTGTTGTTTATTTGAGATAGAGTCTTGCTCTGTTCCCCAAGCTGGAGTGCAGTGCCGTGATCTCAGCTCACTGCAACCTCCAGCTCCCGGGTTCAAGCAATTCTCCTGTCTCAGTCTCCCAAGTAGATGGGGCTACAGGCGCACGCCACCACGCCTGTGTAATTTTTGTAATTTTAGGAGAGACAGGGTTTCACCGTATTGGTCAGCCTGGTCTCGAACTCCTGACCTCAGGTGATCCACCCAAAGTGCTGCAATTACAGGTGTGAGCCACCGCGCCCAGCCTGTTTTATGTATTTTGATTCCACATAACACTTTGCAGTTTGTTTATGAAAAAAGAAAGCCTTTTAATCTCTAAAAGAAGGTTAGATCTCTTCTTCATTTTATAGCTCAAGAACATTTCTGGCCAGGTGTGGTGGCTCACACCTGTAAGCCCAGTGCTTTTGTGAGGCCAGGGAAGGAGGACAGCTTGAGGCAAGGAGTTTGATGCCAGCCTGGCCAACAAAGCAAGAACCCCATTTCTACAAAAACAATAAAAAAAAAATTAGCTGGATATGGTGGTGTGCATCTGTAGTCCTGAGAGTACTTGAGAGGCCGAAGAAGGAGGATCACTTGAGCCCAGGAGTTTGAGGCTGCAGCGAGCTATGATTGTTCCACCACATGTCAGCCTGGGCAAGAGAGTGAGACCCTGTCTCCAAAAAAAAAAAAAAAAAAAAAAAAAAAAAAAAAAAAAATCTGCATTTTTTTCAGATGACAGGTGTTTCTGGTAATGGAATTTCTTGGTCTCTTGACTCAGAACAATTAACAAGCGTTGTAAACCCAAGACTGTATCCTGTGTTCTAATAAATGTCAGCACTTCATTCAAAACACTGCCTGAAAAAGCACATACACCCGGTAAAAACTATGTTGCTTGGTTGGCAAGTCCAAGACAAGCTTCAACCTTTCGAAGAGGATAAGAGCGAATTAAGTATTCCATCATAGCAAGCTGACTGAGTCTCGGGAGAAAATGACACAAGGTATTGTCTCCTTAACTCCCGCGGTGTTGGCACGACTTTCAGTTTCTAGGCCTTTCTAATTATAGATGTGCTGTGCAGCACTGCCTCCACCTGTATCTATAATAATAACAATATTCAGCACTTAACATTATCAAAGACCTTTCCAGCTTGAACTAATTAATTCATACAATTCCAACCATCTGGGACAGACAGTATTATTATCCAGGTTTTACAGACACAGAAACACTTCAAAAGACATTTCTCCAAGGTCATACAGTAATTGGAATGGGGCCAGGAGCATATCTTAGAAGAACTAGAATTTTACGTTTATTAGAAGATGATAACCTTACCCAGACTGTCTAGATGTGGGGGTAATTTGATATTTTTCTTCAGGGTGCCACACAGATGCCCCTTTGTTGCATACTACGTCACTGTTTGCTTTCTGCAGCAGCTTCTCTCCCAGAGAGAATGATCACGCACGTCATAATTTTCTAGAATACCGGGTAATTTTGGAGCTCTTAAAGCTGGCTAACATATGCCAGCTGTTTCATCTCTTTTATTTCCCTGCTTTATTCCACCTACAGCATCTCTTGACAGTTGAGTGGTATTAGAACACAGAGCTCCTGAATTGTAAAATGAAACCTTAGAAAAGTCTGCTAGCTATAAAGCCTTCCCTGTCCTTTCTGGTGACCAACTAATTGAGATTCTTAGGAATCACATGCTCTTCAAAGAAAATCCTTTATAGAGAATACTAGCTTTTTAATCACTATTTAAAAAAAAAAAGAAAGCTTAAAAATAGCTCATGCTTCCCTAGTTACAGGAAAGTTACATTTGAAACTACAGGAAGTCGCTTTGGGGTGGAAAATCACCAATCCCTTTCAACTTGTGTAATATGCTAATAATTGTGTTCGAAAGAATCTTAATGTCCTCATACATTTACTCATGTTGAACAGATAGGAAATAAATAACACTTTCTATAAAATTATCTCTTTCTGAAAAGTCAGAAGCAGATAGACTTTTACTTAGACAATGATTACGCAAAATAAAGCAATGCCAAATTAAAATAAAATTTTAACAAGGGCGCTCCATGTTGACTCAGAGATCAGCAGGATTGGGAAAAAGAAAACTCTGAGAACTTTTGGAGTCTATTAGGAATATGGTGAATGTGATTGAGAATTCTTTCTGAATACGGATCTTTTGAAATCCAGGTTCAAAGAACATCTGTATATTGTTTGTATGTGAGTCACCACGCGGTAGGATAAGTAACGCAGAGGAACTAGGAGTTTGGAGGAACTGGGTATTTTACTCTCAAGGCTGGTTTTCATACCAAGTTTTAAGCCTGGGCTGCTTCATTTTTAAAAAGTTCCATAAATAAATCTGATTCACCGCAAAGTTTAAAGATCATTTCTCAATACTTCCCATTCAGAGAAGCTGAGCAGTTTTGATGTGTTCATTTCAGTTCAAGGACAATCTTTCTGAACAAACCTAAAAGCGATAAAAGTTTATGTGAAAAGTTTGGATTTATATTCTCATACAGTTTTCTGAAACAGAGCAAGAAAAGAGTAATTCAATAAAGCTGTGTGCAGATTTATCTATCAGGTGTGCTCCCTAAATTCTTCAACAGCCTGATAAGTATCATTTACCTGGAACCAAGACGCTTAGACAGCTGGTAAGTTCCCCACTCTCATTCCTCCAGTCAGCAAGCCCAGGCTGGACTACCTGCCAAGAGGCCATGAATGCCAGCTGCTTCATGATTTAATTAAAAATGAATCCCTGGAGCTCATTGATCACTTTAATTTGTTTCACAGGAAAATAATGTTAATCAAAGCACAAGTGCCTGGGCGCAGCGGCTCATGCCTGTAATCCCAGCACTTTGAGAGGCCCAGGTGGGCGGATCACTTGAGGTCAGGAGTTCGAGACCAGCCTGGCCAACATGATGAAACCCCATCTCAACTAAAACTACAAAAATTAGCCGGGCATGGTGGTGGGTGCCTGTAATCCCAGTTACTCAGGAGTCTGAGGCAAAAGAATCGCTTGAACCCAAGAGGTGGAGGTTGCAGTGAGCCAAGAAAGCACAACTGCACTCCAGCCTGAGCAACAGAGTGAGACTCTGTCTCAAAAAAAAAAGCTCAAGTTAGGGTGGTACACTACTTTTCTTTACACCATCTTCATCAGCATACAAATCTTCCTGAAAGAGTCTATTTAGAAGCTAAAACTTTTCCATGCTGGTCTCAGGCCCAGAGCAAAAAGAAAATAAAAGAAAGAAATTGGTAAATTGTGGGGCAGTCTATTCAACCATTTTCATTTTCAGTTACTCCTTTTTTTTTTCTATAACCATAAATAAAACCTGCCAAAACACAGAGCCTTCAATACCAAGATCTGATGAGTCTCCCATTAAGAGTACTTTCTGGGCCTGAGTGTATTTTGACATGCAAATATTTAAAAATAAATATTTGTATATTTTACCTGAAAAAAATATTTTGTTCAAATTTCCTAAAGTAAGAGAAAAAAAATATAAGAAGTCTTCCTCTGCATGAGGGGGAAAGTTTATGAAGTGGTTCATCCAAGAAAGTTCCAACAGGGGTGGGAGAGGAAGATACATTGTCAGCTTTTTCCAGCTTGGGTGTTTATGAGTTTGGCAAGAAGGCGGTGGCGAGGGGGTGGGTGCCAGACCCGAGGCCCTTTAGAGGGTGGCTGTGACCTCTGTTCTGTCATCTTGGTAGGACACTGTGGCCACTGTTTGCAGAATCAGCTGCAGTTATGTCTCTTTTCCCTGTCTGCACAGTGGGGTCTTACAGAGTGACTGAGTCTACCTCAGGCAGGATGTTACTGGAAATTTATAGCATGCATTTGTTTTCCCTCCAAAGCTATATTTGCAAAGGATGCCGCTCATAAACAACACTCCTCACAGATCAAATTGTAGGTGAATCTAGGCTTCTTTTCCTTCCTTTACCCCTTCCTCCCTAAGATGCTGGCCAGCGCACTGGAACACCCTTGAGCTTGGTCTGGAACCTTTGCATCCGCCCCTCCAGTACTTGGCATTCTCTGCATCAGGCTGTTCAGTGTCTTCGGGAGGCTTCATAGGTGGGCCTGGGGCCAAGTTCAGCCACTGCCCGCTCTCGCTCTGAGCACTGATTGTCTGGGACTTGTACATTTTCAGGTATTGATTCACGAGTGCCTCCTACGGTGCTAATAAGGGTGAGCTAGAACGTCTTCCCTTCCTTCTCAGGTAGTGGAAATGCCCTTTAATAATAGTTTATAAAAAACAGCTTTATTGATTTTGGGCCTAAGTTCACTGATGGGAATTACTGGGCAGAAAGGAAGGAGACTGTAGTTGGATGCACCTTGGAAAGCATATCAAAGACATGGCCACCTACTTTTTCAGTATGTTCTACAAAACCTAGGCACACAGGACCTCATTGTCAGGAGAACTTGTTGCGACATTTCCTGTTCCTTATCATTTGGAAATATTACTATCAAAGCTGAGCTGGAAATTGACTATCGGGTTTGCAAAATCCAGAAGAATGAAGGTCTAGAGGTGTGTCTGTTCCTCTGTGTTCAATACAGCAACTGTTAGCCAGGAATATGTATTAACCAAAGACCACTTAAGGGAGGATACGCAGCATATGTAAAACACAAACAACATAAACAGAACCATAATCTCCTAGGCCCCTAGTTTTCAGTTTAAGATCGGACTCACTGCGAGCTCCTAAAAGGCATGTTTGTTCTCTAAATAAGTTTTCCTGTTCCAGGCTGCCAGATGAGATGTCACTGCCAAGGCAGCCGAATTCACTGCAAGTTTCCAGGATCAGGTTTCCTTGGAACAGGCTCGCACATGGCCTCTGTCTTCTAAAGCTGATTGCTTTGCCATGGTGAGTGCTGACTGCAAAGTGATCTAGCCACACTCTTGCATAATACTTCCAATGGTTGTATAGTTAGAGGCGTACATAGGGCATGCACTTGACTAAGCTACTGGGTTTAATAATCCCCTTTCCTGAAGTCCATTAGACCTCAGTTCTACAAACCTTTAGCTGGATGGTTTAGGTATAAGTAGGACTCTAGAAAAGGAGATGGGGCTATCAATCTCTGTGGGCCTCTGATATCAAAATTTTCATATGACATTATGGTGCAGTGGTCTTTGTTAACTAGTTACCTTAAAATGCTCTATCAAGGGATTAGTTCAACATTTATTTGACAAACATATTTTGAGTAACAGATGGGTTATTAGCCACTACAACAAAATAATGAAAAATTTACCTATGCAGAGTTCATAGTCAAATGCAAGAACACAATAAAATAGTTAGAATAGAAACACAATATTATAATATACAGTCATGTATCACTTAACAACAGGGATACATTCTAGGAAATGCATCTTTAGGTGATTTTGCTGTTGTGTGAACATCGTAGAGTATACTTACACAAATCTAGATGGCTACAAACCTGTATAACATTTACTGTACGGAATACTGCAGGAAATTGTAACACAATGATAAGTATTTGTGAATCTAAATATATCCAAACATAGAAAGAGTACAGTAAAAATATAGTATTATAATCTTATGGGACCACCATTGTCTATGCGGTCCACCATTGACCAAGATGTTCTGATGCAGTGTATAACTGTAGATAAATTTTTTGGTTTTGTTTTACAATAGCAATCCATACAAAATGCTGTGGAAACTCCAAAGAATAAGCTGCTGGTTAGGTCTGTCTTAGGGCACGGAAAAAGTCATTTGGACAAAATTAATACAATATTTTTCACAAATATGACGTAGCTACCAAAAATAAGCTAATATGATCTTGGAGTTCACTAATAGAAGTATAACCATCTAGAAGCTAGAATAGTAGACACAGGTAGTAACTACTTTGAGCTTACCCAACTATATATGGAGTATTGGGTTCAATTTGGGACCAGCATTAAAAGGATATTAAGAAATCATAGCTCATTCAGAACAGACCATCCACATTGGAGAAGATGAGTAATATTTAGCTCGACTGGAATATCCAGAGAGGACTCCAGAAGAAACATGCTAGCAGTCAGCAAATATCTGGAGGGCTTTTAATGGAAAGATGCATAACATTTATTCCATAAGACTTCAAGAGTAAATTAATAAAAGAAAATACATAATAGATGGAAACTGTGAGTATATTAATTTTGACTAAAGTTAGAAAGATCCTCCAAAGAATCCGAGCCATCTAAAAGATAAACTGCTTCTTGAGTTGATAAGAGTATCACCATACTTAACTGAGGCTGAACCTTCCATACAGAATATTGCAAATACACACAAGCATCACTTGGGTGGTTAGGCTGAGTGATTTTCGGTCTCTTCCAAACCTTAGGCTTTATGATTTGGAGTTGTGGTTTTAATATTATACATTATTTCCAAAACATAGCAATTAAAGTAGATGGCTGTTCTTTTCATCTGTCCCTTCCAATTGTCTTATGACTAGTGCGTGACAGTATTGGGTAATGAATGAGTCACTTGGCAAGTGACAGTCTTAACGTACTACACCAAGGTCTTTGGAGGCATGTAATGAAGGTCAATAATAATCTCCTCCTTCTCCACCACCCAGATTTTAGGATTCAAAACTTTTGAATAAACTATACCAAGAAATAAACAAAGTTGGCACGCTGATGTAGAGCAAACCATGGAGTTAAGACTGGGAAAGAAAGAGCATCAGGAAGAGCCAAGCCATGCAGTGAAAGATACAGGGGAGTCCCTCAACAAGAACAGAGATAAAGTTGATCCTTAATGCAGTGTTTACTGCGTGCCAGACACTGTGCTAGGAGCTTTATCTCTACTTACTCATTCATCCTACCAGTGACCCCGTGACTAGGTTTTATAATAATCACCCCCACCTTGTGACGGATGAAGAAACAGTCAGATAGAGGTTAAGTAATAATGCCTAAGATCATGCAGCTAGTAGGCTGGGATTTGAATTCGGTTACCTTGGCTCTAGAATCCGCACACTTAACACCTAATCACACTTTACAAAGTATCTCTAAGCTGAAGAGAAAGAAATGAGTCATGGAGGAAAGAAATCAAGGCAATTGTAAAGAAAATTGACTAAGGAATCACACACTAGCAATTTCAATTCTCGAAATTCTACTTTTCAAAGACAGGTAAATGACTACCAACATGAAGGTTTTGTGTAAACCCAGTAAAAAAAAATTTCTTAGCACAATTTTAATTCTCTCTTAGAATCATTTTAATAAATTCACTTTAGAATGTCCTTTAGCCAACTTGACATTCCTGCCTCATGGATCTGACCTGACACCCCGATGATAAAATCCTGAAAAGATTCATTTTGCAACCGTCTGCAGGGACAAAGAGAAGAAAGTACTTCTTATCATCATTGTCTCTGTACCAAAACCCCAGCTCGGATGGATGAATGAGGACTCAGGAGCCCACAGACTCAGAGCAATTAGAAACTATTACGTCCTGCACATGGCTGGGTGAGCAGTGGGAGAATATTTACAATCTCAGAATGACGTTTCACCACGTAAGCCCTTAGCCCTAATCTGCATCTGATACTGTACATCAAGATAACATAAGGCTCCATCTTCTCCAGATCCTAGATATTTTACTCCTCCTAATCTGGTGTAGTCAGTGGTAAGTGAAGAAAGAGCTTGCAAACATTCGTTATCATTTCTAGTGTGCTGTCTTTGCAGAAACCTTAAGTCAAGCTGCTATGCAGAAATTTCAGCCTCTCTTTTCTGCCTAGCCAGCAGGATGTATCCTTGAACTTGAAGGTAGGAGCTGACTGAATTCTACCTTTACCAATTATATTTGATATGTTCCAGTTAAGTTTTACAGAATGCAGCATATGATATACCAACGGATTATTAACATGCATTAGGGACATCATACAAAATTTATTTTGGTGGATGTGACATTTCCAACAATTTCTAAAATTCGTTTACTGAAATCCTATGGGCTAATCCTAATCAAATCCTACCTAGAGCCACTGGGACAATAGACAAATGAAAGTCCAAAGTAAAATTCCAACTATTGACTGTGAATTCAAGCCCAAACACCAGGAAGGTGGAGAACTGGCCCACAGGGAAGTTTGAGAAACATCTAAAGGCATCTGCAAGCCCTAAGCATGTGTCATTTATTTATACAATGTGTGTTTTAGAACGCGGAAAACCATAAAATTGGACAGAAAACCTCTAATAAGAATCAAAGCGAAAGATCTGTGGTCAGTAGGGGTGCCAAGGGGAGAAGGGTGGGGAATGGTTCCACCCCCTCTTCCTCCAATTTCTGACTCACAAATTTAAAGCAATTAGAAGCAAGCGTCTCTTAACAAAAAGCATATTCACTGGGTGAAAGTTATTCAATAATATTTTCCTCCAAGTGTCCCACTGATGGAATCATTGCACACCACTGCATGGGTAAAGTGTAATTTTACCAAGCCAATTCCATATTTAGCAAAGGCAGTCAGACCCTTCTGCCTAGATTAATACTCAGTACTTTTTCAGTCTTTTAATCTTTCAAAGCTGTAAACGTAATATTTAGCGTGGAAATACGTATTTTATTATATTAAACAGAATGACTTTGTTTTCTTTTTTATTCAGGTGTAAAGTGCGTGAATCTTAACCCGATGAATTTTCATGTGTATTCATTGGTGCAGAACTACTTAAATCAAGATATAGAACATTCCAGCATCCCAAAGGCTCTGTCACATCTCTTCCCCGTTACTGTTCCCTGTCCTTGAACTTTGAAGCAATTACTGTTATACTATTCTAAATTTCATCACCATCATTTTGCCTGTATTTGAACTTTACACACACACACACACACACACCCACACACACACGCACGCACACACACGAGTAGGTACTTTTGTGCCTGGCCTCTTTTGCTAAACATTTTTCAGTGAGATTCACACATTTTCTAACATGCAACAATTGTTTGTTTCTTCCTGTTGCTTGTAGTAGAATCCATTGTATGAATATACCCGAACTCATTTACCAATTCTACTATTGTTGAGCTTTTGGGCTGTTTTCAGGTTTGGTTTATGATGAATATAGTTGCGATGAACATTCTTGGAACATTCTTGCATATTCCTTTTGGTGGACGAAAGCATTTGCTTCTCTTCTATATGTACCTTGTGTGAGGTATACAGATGTTTAGCTTTAGTTTAATCCTGCAAAACTATTTTTCAAAGTTATCTTTCCAACTTATACCCCCACCAGCAACGTATGAGACTTCTAGTCGCTCCACATTGTTTCCAACAGTGTGTATTTTCAGGCTTTTTGTTTTGTTTTGTTTTGTTTTTAACTCATCATCTTGATGGGTACATCATGGCATCTCAATAATAGGCATTTCCCTGATAACTAAGAGACTGAGCACTTTTTCATATACTCATTCCATTACGCCCATTGGGTAACTTCTTTTGGGAAGGATCTATTCGAGTCTTTTGGCCCATCTTAAAATTCAGTTGTTTGTCTTTTTCTAAGGGTTTGTAGGTTTCCTTTATATACGGATATAAGCTCTGCAAATATATTCTCCGTGGCTGTGGCTTGCCTTCTCATTCTCTTTTGATGGGTAGTTCTTGCGTATTTATTAGTTTTGTTTTTGTGGTTAGTGTTTTTAAACAGCAGTTTAAGAAATCTTTACCTAAGCATAGAAGAGGACGAATTAAGTACAAGACACATGAAGGCTTATCCTATCATTCTGAAGTTATACTGCTTGATAGACTTGTCTGACATTCTTGATAATTAGTTTCATGTCTATACTAAGCAAACATTCTTAACCATACTATATTATTTAGATGAAAATATTTCTTCCTCCCTATATATTATTTGTATAAGAAAAACATATTAAAAATTACTTGGTTATGGCCAAGAGCAATGGCTCATGCCTGTAATCCCACCACTTTGAGAGGCCAAGGTGGGCAGATCACCTGAGGTCAGGAGTTCGAGACCAACTTGACCAACATGGTGAAACCCCATCTGTCTGTACTAAAAAATACAAAAATTAGCCAGGTGTCATGGCGGGCACCAGTAATTCCAGCTGCTCAGGAGGCTGAGGCATGAGAATCTCTTGCTCTGGATGCGGAGGTTGCAGTGAGCTGAGATTGTGCCACTGCACGCCACCCTGAATGACAGAGTGAGACTTTCTCTAAAAAAAAAAAAAAAAGAAAAAGAAAAAATATTACTGGGTTATGTGGGGAGAGGGGGTGAATAGGCAGAGCCCAAGGATTTTTAGGGCAGTGAAATTATTCTGTATACTACAATGGAGGATATATGTCACTATGCATTTGTCAAAACTTATACAATATACCATATCGAGAGTGAATCCTAAATATGGGCTTTGGGTGATAATGATGTGTCAACATAGATTCATTGATTGTTAACAAATGTACCACTTGAGGGTGGAATGTTGATTATGGGAGAGATTATGTACGCGTGAAGGTGGGAGACATATCGTAACTCTCTGTACTTTCTGCTTAATTTTGTTGTAAACTTAAAACTGCCCTAAAAAATAAAGTCTACTTTTATCGATTTTGTTTATCGTTTCAAAGAACCAATTTTTCCTTTCACCAGTCCTTTTTGTTGATTTTTTTCTCTATTTCATTTAGTTCTGCTCTGATCTTTATTTATCTATTTTCTTCTACTAATTTTGGGTTTGGTTTGTTCTTGCTTTTTCAGCTCTTCTAGGTGCATTGCTGGATTGCTAATTTGTAACATTTCCACTTTTTTGACATAGGCATTTATTGATATAAACTTTCCTCTTAGCACTATTTTTGCTGAATCCTATAGGTTTTGATATGTTCTTTCCATTATTTGTTTCTAGAAATTTTTTTTATTCCCACCTTAATTTCTTTGTTGACCCAGTGGTCATTCAGGAGCATGTTGGTTAATTTCCATATATTTACATATTTTCCAGAGTTCCTCTTGGTGTTTTGTTTCGTTGAATCGGAGTTTCACTCTGTTGCCCAGACTGGACTGCAGTGATGCGATCACGGTTCATTGCAGCGTTGAATTTTTGGGCTCAAGCAATCCTCCCACCTCAGCCTTCCTAGTAACTGGGACTACAGGTATGTGCCATCACACTCACACCCAGCTAACTTTTTTGTTTTTTGTAGAGATGGGTTCTCACTATATTGCCCAGGCTGATTGTGAACTCCAGGGTTCAAGTGATTCTCCTGCCTTGGACTCCCAAAGTGTTGGGATTGATAGGCATTTTGGTATTGATTTTTGGTTTTATTTATTTATTTATTTATTTTTTTGAGACACAGTCTCAACCGATTCTTCTGCCTCAGCCTCCCAAGTAGCTGGGATTACAGGTGCCCACCACCATGCCCAGCTACTTTTTGTATTTTTAGTAGAGAAGGGGTTTCACTATGTTGGCCAGGCTGGTCTCAAACTCCTGACCTCAGATGATCCACCCACTTCAGCCTCCCAAAGTGCTGGGATTACAGGCTTGAGCCACCGCGCCCAGCCAAGATATTACCTGAACTTAACAGACTTATATGCAATGGTCTCACAGAGCACTACCTTGTGCGCACACAAAAAACCATATCATACAATCAGGTAAGTACATGTGTTTTCTCCACATTTATAGAAACTTACCAGGGCAATATGTTTTTAAAAGTACAAAGGCCCCTTTATATGACCCACTAAAGATAGCTAAGGTGTTTGAGGTGAAAAAAGGTCTACCTTCATCTCCAACTTTTAAGAAAAGCAGCAAGCATGGTGATTACGGAAGGGACCAGTATTCGAATCCTGGCTCTATTACTTACTGGCCAACTAACCTTGGACATGTTTCTTAAACCTCTCTGAGCTTCTGTTTTCTTATCTGGAAAATGATAATAATAGTACCTATCTTATAGGGTTGTTGGGAAGAGTGAATGAATTAATGCATGTAAATTATTAGTAAATGTTCAATAAATGTTAGATTTTATTATTATTGTCATAGAGTATCACATTTGGTATAGTTAAAATTATACTCAGTTTTAGATGAAGAAACAGTATAAGAAAAGTTAAGCTTACATAACATTAGCAGTAGAACTTGTCCTTCAACCCACATCTATTTTTTGTTTTGTTTTGTTATTTTTGAGACAAGTCACCCAGGCTGGAGTGTAGTGGCACAATCACAGCTGACTGCAGCCTTGACCTCCTGGGCTCAAGTGATCCCTCCACCTCAGCCTCCCAAGTAGCTGGAACTACAGGCGCACCCACCTGGCTAATTTTTGTATTTTTAGTAGAGATAGGGTTTTGCCATGTTGCCCGGGCTGGTCTCAAACTCCTGGGTTCAAGCGATCCACCCGCCTTGGTCTCCCAAAGTGCTGGGATTGCAGGTGTGAGCCACTGCGCCCGGCCCACATCTGTATTTTCATGGGCTTTCAATTCACCATGTGCAAATTGCAAATTATTTACTCTTCACCAGCATTGACAGGTCTGAATTTGGGTAAAAGTTAATGAGAAATAAATACAAGAGATACTAAAACTTTTCACGAAACTTCTTGAGTTACACCTTCTATGTAATTCAGTATTAAAACAAACATTTAAATGGATCATGTCTCAAAAGGGGACTCATTGGTTTAAACTAGATTCAAAGCTCCTTGATGGCAGAGGGGTATCTTCTATGTCATTAGAGTAATCATAACAGTAGAGTGCTGGGCATGGCATTGATTTACCGATCACAGAGAAGACTTTTTAAAGCAATTTATCTAGAGATGCTACCTTCAAAACGGGTTACATTTTAGATTTATAAAGTTTTGAAGTTTTGCTTACGTTCTCTAGAGCCTGGTGACTTTTTTTATTTTTTTAGGTGGAGTTTCACTCTTGTTGTCCAGGCTGGAGTGCAGTGGCGTGATCTTGGCTCACTGCAACCTCCGCCTCCCTGGTTCAAGCGATTCTTGTGCCTCAGCTTCCCGAGAAGCTGGGATTACAGGCGCCCACCACCACGCCTGGCTAATTTTTGTATTTTTAGTAAAGACGGGGTTTCACCATGTTGGCCAGGCTGGTCTCAAACTCCTGATCTCAGGTGATCCGCCCACCTCGGCCTCCCAAAGTGCTGGGATTACAGGCATGAGCCACCGCACCCAGCAGACTTCTAATTCATATACATTTTTATTTCTGCTATGGAATGTGAAGCGTTTTACAGCACCAGTGACTCATTGCTGATGTTACTGCTAGAACAGTGGTTCTTGGCCGGGCACGGTGGCTCATGCATGTAATCCCAGCACTTTGGGAGGCTGAGGTGAGTGGATCACCTGAGGTCTTGAGTTCAAGACCAGCCTGGCCAACACGGCAAATCCCCTTCTCTACCAAAAATACAAAAATTAGCTGCGCATAGTGGCACATGCCTGTAATCCCACCTACGAGGGGCGCTGAGGCAGGAGGATTGCTTGAACCTGGGAGGCAGAGGTTGCAGTGAGCCGAGGTCATGCCACTGCACTCCAGCCTGGTCAACAGAGCAAGAAGACTCTCTCAAAAAAACAAACAACAACAACAACACAAAAACGTGGTTCTCAAATTTTGGTCCCCAGACAACCAGCAGCAGCAGCACCTGGGAACTTGTTGAAATGAGAATTCCTGGGACTTGCCCCAGCCAGTCTGAGTCAGAGAATCTGGGGGATGAGGCCAAGCAATCTGTTTTGAACAGTCCCCAGGTGATTCTGATGCACACTAAAGAAGCTTGGAAAGAATGTGCTGGAGAAAAAGGATTATCATCTTACCCATCTGAGTACGTAGGGTAAGTTGACTTATTTATTAATAAAGTGAACTTCAAACTCTAGAAACCATATCAAAGATAATCATTTTATTTGAGGTCATTTGATTTGTTTATCTGTTTATTGGACTACAAAATATACGATTCAAACTTTAAAAATCCAAAATGATATACAAAGAAATTTCTCGGCCAGGCGGGGCGGCTCACTCCTGTAATCCCAGCACTTTGAGAGGCCGAGGCGGGCAGATCACTTGTGGTCAGGAGTTCAAGATCAGCCTGGCCAACACGGTGAAACCCTGTCTCTACAAAAATATAGAAATTAGCTGGGCGTGGTGGCAGGCGCCTATAATCCCAGCTACTCGGGAGGTTGAGACATGAGAATCGCTTGAACCCGGGAGGAAGAGGTTGCAGTGAGCCAGCATCGCACCACTGCCCTTCAGCCTGGGTGACAGAGCAAGACTCTGTCTCAAAAACGAAAAAAAAAAAACCTAAGAAATTTCTCCCTTTCACTCCTATGTCCTAGTGGCAAACCAAGATGATAGGTTAGTTTTGTATATTTCCAGGGTTATTTTATTAACATAGTAACAAGTAGATGTATTCTTTCTTTTCTACACAAATTATAGCACAATATGCAGTGTTCAAATGCAGCCATCTTTAAGAGCACTCAAAGGTATATGGTTTCAACACTGGTGGGCTTTTCCACATTTTGCAAAAGAGATGTGCTTTCTGGAAACTTCTTAAAATAAAGATTTGTTTTGCACTTACGTTCTTCCATTAAACAAATGCTAATACTGTATACTAACAATGTATTTTCTTTTTAGTTGACTTTCAAAAATCTCATTTAAACAATTGAATATATAGAGTTATCACCAACACCAGGTACTATTTCCTCTATATTATTTTCCAAAAACTCATTCTTCTACCAATGCCACACTTTCATCTTAGAGAGCTGGTTGAGCTTTTGGATTAAAATTTAAGCCATGTGTTGTTCATCCAATAATGCTAGAATTTATTCCAAATTACGCTGAAGGCCATTTGCTTTTTGCCTCCAAGCATCAAGAGTTATATTGAAACTCCTTTCAAATTTACTTCTATTCTGTTTGCCCACATCTGGCATAATGCCAGTTCATTTTTAACTCAAAAAAACAACCATGTTCTCTTCTTTCCTCTTTTAGCAATATTACCATCCTGACACTTGATCCCTGCAAGCAATTATCTGATTTCTTCACGTGTCCCTTTAATATTCTTTAAAGGAGTCAAAGCATTTAAAATAGCCCTTTTGTCTGTGCCAAATGTTCCCAGCTGTCTCAAAATATGAACCAAATTATGTACCAAGGGATTTATCTTTTGAAAATGACATCTACAGTAGTGATTCTAAATTTCCTAACTTAGAATTCAAGGCCCACAATATCCTGCTTTTTCAGAGCTATCTCACTTGATTGAGCTTTCCACCCCATAAAGATTGTCATTTTTAGTTTCCTGTATCTTTGTGGTATATTTCTTTTTCTGTGTCTTCATGAAGGCCGTTCTGCTATGCTCGTCTATCAACTTGTTTCCTACTCCATCTCAAGGTTTTGCCATGTGATCGAAACCCTCCGAGAATAAGATGCTTTCTAATTTGTATGTAGGTACATTTCATCTTATTGACCTCTATAGCCATCCTGTGATATAAAAGCATAAGCATGGTTACCCATGTTTCAGGTGAGGAAATTGAGGCCTAGAGGGCTCAGTCATCCTGGATTCTTCTGCATTAACAAGCTGCTCTACTCACTTGGCAGTCTGTACTGCCTCACAATATTACCTTTGTACATATGCATGACTTGTCATCATAACTGCATCTCCAAGGCAGTTCATCTCATTGTTCCTTGTATTCTCCCCTGTGACTTGAACATAAAAGGAATTCAGTAAATATTAGCTGTTCGACTTGTTAGAAGCCAAGAGTCATAAAACTTTTGGCTCAAAGAGAGCCTTTGTGATTATTTAATGAATCCTTGAGTTTGTCAAACTGGTTTGAAGTCTGTATAGCACTGGAGGTAATAGGTACAATGCCATTCCTTTTGTTAGAAGACATGAGATAAAATTATTTTAATTTTAAATAAATACTGACATATAATGGTATGGAATATTAACATTAAAGTTGTAAAATGAATCATAAAACAAGTTTTTTAGACAAAACATGAAACTTCAAAGAAACTCCAGAGAAATATCAGAACTGTAATTAGCTGTTTCAGGCTATCCCAGGCTTCTGGAGGTGGGAGGAGGGGGTAAATATTGAAGTCTGGAGAGGTTAAGCAAATTGCCCTAAATCACACATTAATTCAATCAATATTGATTCAGCCCCCACTACTAATTGTGTAAACACCAAGGTTGCAATGACAAGCAAAACAAGACATTGACCACATAAAGTTTGTATGTAAGTGGAGGTGAGAGGAGGACAGCGTTGTTAAATTAATATTCAATATGCATAAACTATATAAAGCAGCCCCTCTCTTGGTCAGTCCAGCAGAAAAAAACTTTATTGCAACTCTTCAGAAAATACCCAAGAGAGTCCATCTTATTGCAAAACAGAAAAGCTTTAACATCTTTTCCTGTGTCTTACATTCTCAGTGTTTCTCTTTCCAGTTACTCACTGATAAAAATGAATTTTCCTAAGTTCTTCCTGACCGTTGGCCCGAGAAGTTCTTAGCTCTTTGACCTCTTACTCCTATCTTTTCCTCTTCTTCCATCTGTTCTATCCTCAATGCAAATGAAGCTACCTCCTGGCGAGAGTTTTCTTTAGTGATTGTGGTGGTGGAAAAAAATATGAAATCTTATGAATTGGTTTTTTGTTCCTGTTATATTT
Organism: Homo sapiens; assembly: GCF_000001405.40. Classification (NCBI taxonomy): domain Eukaryota; kingdom Metazoa; phylum Chordata; class Mammalia; order Primates; family Hominidae; genus Homo; species Homo sapiens. The sequence goes on along the minus strand of NC_000008.11, from coordinate 17,835,814 downwards.
TTTAGTGACACAGTACAGTAGATGTAAAAATGCAGAGAATTTGACTTAGGCTGGGGTTAGGGAAGAATCCTTTGATGAAATAATCTTTTAAGGGAGGCTTGGACAGTTAAATGAGAACCATATTAACAAAGAAAATGACGTAAGAAGATTTCAGGCATAGGGATCTTAGTCAAGGAGACTCCAAGGTAGGAAGACACAGGGAAATGACAAAAGGCCATTATGGCTAGAATACAAGGCAAGAAGCTGCCACGAAGAACCTGGAGAGGGAGAAAGGAGTCCAACGATCCAAAGCCTCGTGGACCACATTTAGGATTTGATCTCCTTCTCTGAGAGCGTTGAGAAGCCATCGAAATGAAGCAGGGCCGGGCGCAGTGGCTCTTGACTGTAATCCCAGCATTTTGGGAGGCAAAGGCAGGCGGATCACTTGAGGTCAGGAGTTCGAGACCAGCCTACCCAACATGGCAAACCCCATCTCTACTAGAAATGCAAAAAGTAGCTGGGCATGGTGGCACACGCCTGTAGTCCCAGCTACTTGGGAGGCCCAAGAATCGCTTGAACCTGGGAGAGAGAGATTGCGGTGAGCCGAGATCATGCCACTGCACTCTAGCCTGGGTGATAGAGTGAGACTCTGTCTCAAAAAAAGGAAAGCAGGGCAGTGACATGACCAGATTTGCATTCTGATGCAAAGGATTGGTGGGGACTAGAAATTTGGGGAGAACAATTGATAGGTTTCTGTTGAATTGAGATCATGTCAGGGGAGATGGAAAGCAGAAAACTTCCGAAGTTCTTTGGGAAGAACTGGTCAGGACTTAGTGATAGATTGGATATGGATGTGAAAGACAGAGAGGTCAAGGACAACTTCTAAAACCTCTGGCTTCAGTAACTGCATGGATGATGGTGACACACATGAAGAGAGGAAAGTTAGAAGAGCACCAGAGTTTGCAGGGTAATTTTGAAAGTCAGATGGCTTAAAAATGAGACAGAAAGGAAAAAAACAAAGGCAATAGTGATTTTGCCCCAGCAAGTCATGAAGCTTCCATTTTTTCTTGAAATTCTTGCTTGAATGATTTATTTATTTATTTATTTATTTATTTATTTATTTATTTATTTGCGACAGAGTCTCACTCTGTTGCCCAGGCTGGAGTGCAGTAGCACGATCTCGGCTCACTGCAAGCTCTGCCTCCCGGGTTCACGCCATTCTGCCTCAGCCTCCCGAGTAGCTGGGACTACAGGTGCCCGCCACCACGCCCAGCTAATTTTTTGTATTTTTAGTAGAGACAGGGTTTCACCATGTTGGTCAGGCTGGTCTCGAACTCCTGACCTCATGATCTGCCCGCCTCGGCCTCCCAAAGTGCTGGGATTACAGGCGTGAGCCACCGTGACCGGCTTGAATGATTTTTTATATCCATTTATCTCCTCAATAACAATCTAAAAGGCACATAGAAAGCACTTTGAATTTAATTTGTTATTTTTTCATTGACATTGAAAGAATGACATATACATGGTATCATTTAGTTTAATAAAATAGGTAGGAAGTGAGCTCATTCTCAATTTTATATATTATATTATGAAATGTAAGTTTCGTGTATGTTCATAAAATGAGTAGGTAAGAGATATTCAGGGTATCTGTCACCATATAACAAATCACTCCAAAACGTAGCAGCTTAGGAAAAACTATATTATTGTATTACTATTTCTCATGATTTTGGGGTTCAACTGAAATAATGGAGTTATTCTCTAAAGCTTCCATAGTCACATATCTGGCTGGTGAGTTGATGCTACTGAACTTTTGCCTGGGACACCCACGTGATGGAACACAGTCACCTCTCCATGTGGCCTCAGTCTCCTCACAGTGTGGGAGTTGGGTTCCAAGACTGATCGTCCTAAGAGAGCCAGGCAGAATCTGTGTTAACTTGTAGGACCTAACCTTAGAAGTCGCATGGCTAAACTGCTATATCACAGGCCTGTCTGGATTCGAAGAAAGGGAATATAGTCCCCATCTCTCAAAGTGAAGAGTGACAACTTGCATGATAAGATGAGCAGGTAGAACGGGAGGTGTTGTTATAACCATCTTGGCAAAAACAATCTGCCATAACAGAGAAGAGCAAATGGAAGTACACTCTTCTTTGCTGGACAGTATCTATAATAGCACTTGGGACCAAGTAAGTATTTGTTCAATGAATGACTAAGCAACTAGAATAGGATACACTATCTTCCAACTCTGATTCTTGTTTATTACTTTTCATAGTTACTCTTTGGCTAGAATCTTAAGTATAAAGAGAACTAAACTAACGGAAAAAACTTCAGATTGAATAGTCTTATGAAGTTCAGATTTATTATTAATATATTATATATTTATTTATAAATGATATATAAATAGTATATTCAGTGGCTCATGCCTGTAATCCCAGCACTTTGGGAGGCTGATGCGGGAGGATCGCTTGAGCCCAGGAGTTCAAGACCAACCTGTGCAATATAGCGAGACTGCATCTGCAGGAAAAATAAAAAAAAATTAGCTGGTCATGGTGGCATGCACCTGTCGTCCCAGTTTCTCAGGAGGCTGAGGTAGGAGAATTGTTCAAGCCCAAAAGGTAGAGGCTGCAGTGAGTAGTGATTGAACCACTGCACTCTAGCCTGGGAGACAGAGCAAGACCCTGTCTCAAAAAAAAAAAGTATGTCTAATTACTTATTAAGTATAAGTTTAGTCTTCATATTTTTAAATATTCTAATTCATCTGAAATAAAGTATTGTAAATTCACCTTAAGAGTAAAATAATAAAAATATAAATTATTATAATGACAAATATTTCATTTCAGTGGTCTGGTGGACAGAGACTAAATAGTTAGAATAATCAATGTGGTGGGCTTAATAATGGCCTCTTAAAATGTCCATGTTCTAATGCCCAGAACCCATGAGTGTGCCCTTATACGGCAAAGGAATGTCACAGGTGTGACGAAGTTAAAGACTTGGGGATGAGAAGATTATACTGAATTAGCCCCATGGGTCCTAAATATAATCACAGGTTTTCTTCAAAGAAAGAAACAGAGGGACAAATTGGACTCTGTTAGAGCAGAAGGCAAAGCCAAAGACATATTGGAGAGAGGGAATGGGAAAGGGAAAGAAAGAATTCTCTCCTGGAACCTCTCGATGGAACCAGTCCTGCTAATAGCTTGATTCCAGCCCTTTAAGACTCATGTTAGCCTCTGACCTCCAGCATGGTGACAGAATAAATTTGCGTTGTTTTAAGACACTAAATCTGTGGTATTTTGTTACAACAGCCATAGAAAACCAATACAGCCAACAAAATGATAAAATGGGGAAAAAAATTTGCATTTGAAATAATTCAAAGCCACATGTTCTTCAGCTGGCATAAATAGGAAATAGATACAGTTAATTTAAAATGCTGAATAAAGATTATAGGTATTAAAATGAGTGTATATGATTGCAAAACCCTATGCAATCTATGTTAACATTTTTCCTTTTGAGGCTGGTAGTGTAGTAAACAACCTTCCTCCTTCCGTTCCTTCTGTCCTTCCCTCCCTCCCTCCTCCCTTCCTCCCGCCATCCCTCCTGATATAGTTTGGATGTTAGTCCCTTCCGACGCTCGTGTTGAAATGTAATCTCCAGCGTTGGAGGTGAAACCTGGTGAGAGGCAACTGGATTACAGGAGTGGATCCCTCATGAATGGCTCAGCGCCATCTCCTTGGTGATGAATGAGTTCTTGCTCTGAGTTCACTCGAGATTTGGTTGTTTAAAAGTGTGTGGAACTGGAGATCCTTATGTTAAGTGAAATAAGCCAGGCACAGAAAGACAAACATCACGTGTTCTTACTTATGTGTGGGATCTAAAACTCAAAACAATTGAACTCATGGACGTAGAGAGTAGAAGGATGGTTACCAGAGGCTGGAAAGGGTAGGGCTGGGAGGAGGGCAGCGGTGGAGGGAAGGTGGGGATGGTTAATGGGTACAAAAAAAATAGAAAAAATGAGTAAGACCTACTATTTGATAGCACAACAGGGTGACTACAGTCAATAATAACTTAATTGTACATATAACTAAATAACTAAAAGGGAGTATTTAGATTTTGTGTAACAAAGGATAAATGCTTGAGGGGATGGATACCTCATTCTCCATGATGTGATTATTACGTATTGCATGCCTGTATCAAAACATCTCATGTACCCTATAAATATATACACCTACTATGTACCCACAAACATCAAACATTTAAACATTTAAAAATAAATTTTAAAAAATTAAAATGAGAGTATGTGGCACCTCCCCCATCTCTCTCTTGCTTCCCCTCTCGCCATGTGAGACACCTGTTCCCCCTTTGCCTTCTGTTATGACTGGAAGCTTCCTGGGGCCCTCATCATAAGCAGATTCGAGCATCACACTTCTTTTTTTATTTTTTTTTTTGAGATGGAGTCTCACTCTGTTGCACAGGCTGGAGTGCAGTGGCATGATCTTGGGTCACTGCAACCTCCTCCTCCTGGGTTGAAGCAATTATCTTGCCTCAGCCTCCCAAGTAGCTGAGACTACAGGCATGTGCCACCAAACCTGGCTAATTTTCGTATTTTTGTTAGAGACACGATTTCACTATGTTGGTCAGGCTGGTCTTGAACTCCTGACCTCAGGTGATCTGCCCGCCTCAGCCTCCCAAAGTGCTGGGATTACAGGCATGAGCCACCGTGCCCCGCCCAGCACCACACTTCTTGTACTGTCTGCAGAACCATGAGCCAATTAAACCTCTTTTCTTTATAAATTATCCAGTTTCAGGTATTCCTTTACAGCAATGCAAAAACGGTCTAACCCACTTCCCTCCCTCCTTTCTTTCTTTTTATTCATATCAGTATGGACTCATACATTCTAACTTTACTCAATAGATTTTAACCCAGTATTACTATTATTTATATTAATGTGCAATTTTGCCAGTTTGGATTAGTGGGAACCACTTCAAGCCAACCCGTGTCCTTTTGATATGTGGCTATCATATTTTGAGCCTATCCTTACAGATACAATAAGATGTTCCTGATTCATCTTCCACTTTTCCTGCTCTAGTTTTGGGATCAGCATTTCTTCAAGGTTCCATTTATTAGAGTAAAGATATTTACAGACAATGATCTGGGTAGCAGCTGTGTTCTTTGCTGAAGGCCCTTCTAGGTCCAATGAGTGGATAGATTTAGGAATCACATACACTTACATAGACACATCTAAATACATGTATATACACATCTATGTATTTCCATAACTATTGCTACCTCTATCTACAAATCTATATCTAGATACTAAAAAGCATTATTTCATATTTGTACCTCTGATTCCAATCTACAGCTTGGTTTCCCTTTTCAATGTTTCTAACTTTCTCCGTGAACAATTAAAAACCTGGCTTTCATTATCCTCAATAAATTCATACATTTGTTCCAACCTAGAATACACAAAAACTCCTGTTGGAATTGCTAATCCACTGAGAAAAGCAAATCTACTAGAGCTGATACTTGTTTTCGGTTCTTTGTCTTCGAGGTAACATTTAAATATCATGAAATTCACAAATCTTAAGTGTGCAATTTGATGACTTTTGACACATGTGTATTCTGTATAACACTCTATCAAAATTTAGGGCTTTTTTTTTCACCCTAAACGTTCCCTAATGCCTCTTCCTAATTAACACCCCTGGCAGAGGCAAACTCTTCTTTTTTTTCCATTCCAGATTATTTTTCCACCATAGATTTTCAACACATATTTTCTAACCTCTTTGAGAAATTTATGTAAGTGGAATCATGGAACATACTCTTTGTATCCAGCTTCCTTTACTCAGCACATCTGAGAGATTCATCCATATTTTGGATATATCAAGAGTTCTTTCCTGTGGATAGTTTGTCATTGTTTGAGTGTACAATATCACAATCTGTTTATCCGTTCACCTATTAATGAGCAATTCGGTTGTTTTCAGTTTTCGGTGACCATGAATGTCCTCATTCATGACTTTTTGGACCTGTGTTTTAATCCCTCTTTGGTAAACATTTAGAAGTAGAATTTCTGGGTCATAGAGCAGGTATATGCTTAACTTTATAAGAAATTACGAATCTTTTTTGTTTTTGATTCCCATTAGCAATGTATAATAGTTCCACTTGCTTCACATCTTGGTCAATATTTGGTGTCTTCAGTACTTTTAATTTTAGCCATTTTAGTTGGGTGTAAGCTAGTATTTCACTGAAGATTTAATTTGCATTTTTCCAATGACTAAGAAAGAACTTGATCATGTGCTTATTGGACATGCATAATATTTCCTTTGTTGTGTGTCTATTACAGATTTTATTTACTTTATTTCTTGCATTGGTGTCATTACTAATGAATTGCTGCAGTTATTTATATATTCTCAATACAAGTCTTTTGTCAGATATGTACATTACATTTTCTCCCAGTCTGTGGCTTTCTGTTCATTTTTAAAGTGTCTTTTAATGAGAAGGCTTAACTTTTGATAAAGTTTAATTTATCTTTTAAAACAATTCTGTGGTTGTTTTCTGTTTTAAGAAATCTTCACTTACCTGAGGTTTTCACTGTAGACTTAGGTTTTTTTTTTAAAGACCATCTATAGTTTTAGCTTTTATATTTAGGTCCCTGGATGAATGAGGTAGAAGTTATGGTTGTTTTGTTTCCACATAGATATCTCGTTTTCCCACATAATTTATTAAACACTTTCCTTTCCTCACTGAATTGTCTTGCCACCTTTCTTCAGAATGAAATAACCAGATAGGTGTTGGTCTGTTTATGCCTCGTACTTTGTTTCATTGATCTATGTGTCTATCCTGTTGCCAGTATTACACATCTTATCATAATTTATGTTAAGTTTTGAAGTTAAATAATATAAATCCTCCAGCTTTGTTCCTTTATTTCAAGATTGTTTTGGCTATTCCAGGCCCTTTACATTTCCAATAAGTCTTAGACTCAGATTGTCACCTGTACTAAAATGCCTGCTAGGATTATAGTTAAAATCATTGTGGGGAAAATTGACATCTTAATAATATTGAGTCTAGCAACATTTGGACGTGGGGTATCTCTATATGTGTTATTTAATTGCACTGATTAGTATTTGTAGCTTTGAACATTGAGGTTTTACAGATCTTTTGCTGAATTTGTTTCTAAGTATTTTATGTCTTAAAGCTATTGTTAAAGTAATAACCTTAATTTGATTTAAAAATGTGTTTACTGTTAGTATTTAGAAATGCAATTGATTTTATATTGAACTTGAATCTTGAAGTGTTGCTAAATTCACATTAGTTCCAGTAACTTTTTGTAGATTCCTTAAGATTTTCTATATAAAGAATTATATTATCTGCAAATAGGAATCAGTTCCTTCTTCTATCCAATTGTTCTGGTTTTTATTTCCATTTTTTGACTTATCAAACTGGTTCAGAAGTTTATAGAATAGAATAGAACTTAAAGGAGAAGAGGCATCTTTGCCTGGTTTCCAATCACGTAAGAGGAGTTGCCTCTTTAACTGTCAAGTGTGATATTGACTGATGCTGTATATCAGGTTGAGGAAGTTTCTTTTTTTTTCTTTTTTTTTTTTTTTGAGACAGAGTTTCGCTCTTGTTGCCCAGGCTGGAGTGCAATGGTGTGATCTCTGCTCACTGCAACCTCCGCCTCCTGGGTTCAAGCAATTCCCCTGCCTCAGCCTCCCTTGTAGCTGGGATTACAGGCATGTGCCACCATGCCTGGCTAATTTTTTATTTTTAGTAGAGACAGGGTTTCTCCATGTTGGTCAGGCTGGTCTCGAACTCCCGACCTCAGGTGATCTGCCCGCCTCAGCCTCCCAGAGTGCTGGGATTACAGGCATGAGCCACCACCCCTGACCTGGAAGTTTCTTTTTATTCCTAGTTTGTTGAGAGTTTTTATCACAAGTGCATCTATTGAAATTATCATGTGTTTTTTTTTCTTTATTCTGTTAATATGGTGAATTACACTAATTTTCAAATGTTGACCAACTTTGCATTCCTGGAAGAAACCCCACTTGGTCATGATATAATATCTTTTTAATATATTATTGAATAAGTTGGTTAATATTTTGTTAATGATTATTGTGCTTGTATTAGGAACATTGGTCTCTAATTTCCTTTGTTCATGTCTTTGTTAGAGTTATGCTGCCAAAGTCAGATAACAGTATTTTGATGGCCTTGTAAAATGAGTTGACACGTATTTATTTTTCCCGTTTTCTGAAAGAGCTTATGTAATAGATGTAGTTATTCAAATTTTCTATTTTATCTTGTATCAAGTGTGATAAGTGGCCTTCTGAGTAATTTTTCATTTCACCTAAGTTGTCACATTTATTGACATAAAGTCGATTATAATATTCTCCTATTACCTCTTATTCCTCACATAGGTAATGTGTGTTCTTTCTCTTATGGTCTCCTGTCCCACTCCTCCATTTTTTCAGTCTCACCAGAATATACCCATTTTATTTATCTTTGCAAACCCATTTTATTTATCTTTGCAAAGAATCAACTTTGACTTTGTTAAGTTTCTCTATTGTGTCTGCTTTCTGTGTTGTTGGTTTTTAGTCTTATTTATTTTCCTCTCTTTTACTTACTATAGTTTTCATTTCTCCTCTTTTTTCTAGCTTTTTAAGTAGAAAGATCATTGATTTGAAAGTTTTATCTTATTTGATATAGCCATTTAAAACTCTAAATTGTCTTCTAAACCATGCTTTAGATGAGTCTCACAAACTTCTATTTGGGAATTTAGATTTTTGGAAGGAATGTACTTTTGTGATCATTCAGTTCCATTTTTTCCTAATTTTTCTTAGGATTTCTTCTTCAACACATTTAAAAGCATACTGTTTAATTTCTAACTATCTGGAAGTTCTTTTCGATATTTACTTATAATCTAATTATAATCCGAGAATATATTCTGTAAGACTTCAACCTTTTGAAATTTACTGAGACTTATTTCATGTCCTAACTTATGTTCTATCTTGATGAATGTTCTACACGCAAATATGTCCTGAAGTTGTTAGGTATAGTGCTCTATACACGTCAATTAGGCCAAGCTGTTTGATAATGTTTTTCAGATATTCTAAATCCTTACTGATTTTTTGTTACCTTATTGTTTACTGAGACGGCTATGTTAAAGTCTCACTCAAAATTGTGAACTTGTCTATTTCTCCCTTTAGTTCTGTCAATTTGGGCTTATTATATTTTGATGGTCTATTACTAGGTACAAATACTTTCATGATAGTATCTTCCTGATTAATGACCCTTTTATATTATTATACAACATCTTTATTTCTGGTAAAACTCTTTCTCTTAAAGTGTATTTTTTTTAATTGTTAAAAAAAGCCTTTCCAGCTTTTTTATGGTTTCTGTTTACATGGTATATACTTTCTATTCATTTACTTTCAAACTATTTGTGTTTTACAATTAAAGTGCATCTCTTGTAGACAGCATATCTTTGATTCTTGCTTTTTTAAATTCATTCTGACAATCTCTACATTTTAACTTACATATAATATAATTATAAATACTTTTGGATATAGGGCTATCATTTTGTTATTTGTTTCTTATTTGTCCAGTCTGATATTTGTTTCTCTGCTCCTCTTTTTGTGGCTTCTTTTGTGTTAATACAATATTTTAGTATTTCATTTCAATTCTCTATTGGTTTTTTTTTCTTTAGAGTCTAACTCTGTCACCCAGCCCAGGCTGGAGTGTAGTGGTGCAATGAAAGATAGCTCACTGTAGCCTTGAAGTCATGGGCTCAAGTGATCCTCCTGTCTCAGCCTCCTAAGCAACTAAGACTACAGGTACACGCCACTGCACCCAACTATTTTTTTTTAATTTTTAATTTTTGTAGAGATGGAGTCTTTCTTCATTGCCTAGGCTGGTGTTGAACTCTTGACCTCCAGTGATCCTTCCACCTCGGCCTCCCAAAGTACTGAGATAATAGGTATAAGCCACCATACCTGGCCCCTGAATTTTTAGTTCTACTACTTTACATCATTTTTTAGTGGTGATTCTAGAGATTGCAGTATACATCCTTAATTTTAGTACAATCTGCTTAGTTAATATTACATCATTACATGTAAAATATGTCTTGCAACTGCATAATTTTATTTGCCCAATTTTTGTGCTATTTTATCATATATATTACTTCTGCTTATTTTGTAAACTTTACAATACAGTGTGATAATTTTTACTTTAACCCTTCATATGTCCTTTAAATAAGAGAAGAAAAAATGTACCCATTTATATATATATATCCATATATTTACCATTTCTGGTGGTCTTTATTCATTCTTGCAGATCCAAGTTACCATCTGCTATTATTTCGTTTGTCACCTTAAGAATCTTCTATAGCATTTCTTGTAGTGTGTGTTGGTTGGTGATTCATTCTCTCACTTTCATTATTTGAGAATGTGTTTACTTCTCTTTCGTTTTTTTTTTTTCTTTCTTTTCTGAGATGGAGTCTGGCTCTGTCGCCCAGGCTGGAGTGCAGTGGCATGATCTCGGCTCACTGCAAGCTCCACCTCCTGGGTTCATGCCATTCTCCTGCCTCCGCCTCCCGAGTAGCAGGGACTGTGGGCGCCCGCCACCACGCCCGGCTAATTTTTTTTTGTATTTTTAGTAGAGACGGGGTTTCACCGTGGTCTCAATCTCCTGTCCTCGTGATCCGCTGGCCTTGGACTCCCAAAGTGCTGGGATTACAAGCATGATCCACTGCGACCGGCCCTTCTCTTTCATTTTTGAGGGACATTTTCATTGGATGTGGAATTGGGTGGACAGTCTTTTCTTTCAGCACCTGAGAGATGTAATTCCATTGTCTCCTGGAATCTATTATTTCTCTTGACTTGTCAAAATTTGATTAATCAGTCCCCTTTTTCTCATGTGTAGTTTACCTATGGACATTTTCAAGATTTTCTGTTTATCTTTTTTAAAAAATTATTTTACTATGATGTATCTAGGCATAATTTTCGGTATTTTTCTTTCTGCTTATGTTTGTTGAACTTCTTAGATCTGTACAATTATATTTTCACCAAATTTTGGGAAATTTTTGGCCACAATGTTTCAAATATTTTTCTTTTATTATTATTTTTTTTGAGACACAGTCTTTCTTTATCACCCTGGCTGGAGGGCAGTGGCATGATCTTGGTTCACTGCAACCTCTGTCTCCTGGGTTCAACTGATTCTCCTGCCTCAGCCTCCTGAGTAGCTGGGATTACAGGTGTGTGCCACCATGCCTGGTTAATTTTTCTATTTTTAGTAGACATGGGGTTTCACCATCTTGGCCAGGCTGGTCTTGAACTCCTGACCTCAGGTGATCCACCCACCTCGGCCTCCCAAAGTGCTGGGATTACAGGCATGAGCCACCACACCTGGCTGATTTTTCAAATATTTTTCTGCCCCGTTTTCTACCTCCTCTCTTTCTGGGACTCTAAGTATATCTGTGTTCATATGTTTGTTGTTTCTTCATAGATCCTTTACTCACTTTTCTCAATTTCTTTTTCTTCTCTGTTTTTCAGATTAGATATTTCTGTTGATCTTTTTTTTTTAATTCACTAATCTTTTCTTTCACTGTTTCCAATCTGCTGTTAAGCCCATTTTAAAGACTTAGTTATTATATTTTTTTCATTCTAGAATTTACTTTGGTTCTTTCTATTTTTCCACTGATATTATCTTTTAAGATCTTAAATATATTTAAAACAGTTTTAAAAAGATCTTTTCTGTTAATTCCAACATCTGAGACATATTGGAATAGATTTCTATTGATTGAATTTTTCTTGACTCTGGGTCAAGAGATATGCTGTTTCTTTGCATGCATGTCTAGTAAGTTTTGATTGCGTCTGGTGCATTTGATGAGACATTTTACATACTCTTGATTTTCTTATTTTTTTGGCTGAGTGTTGAGTTTTGTTTTAGCAGGCAGTTACCTAGCTGGACTCAAACCCCAAATTTTTTCTCCCTTGTCAAGGCATTAGCTGAAATCTCTACTCAGTTTTTCAGCCTCCTGTTTGGGTTCCTTGGAGTCTCCTACACAATACACAGTTCAGAGATCTGCAGGAATGTGTGCAGAGAGTTTACACATGGATTTAGAGGCTCCCATATCTGTGGCTACCATCTTTCTGAAATTTCTCCCCTCATAATCCAGCCATATTGGCAGTCCCAAATTCTGTCCTTTAACCCTTCAAGCAATTAAAATTGTGGTTTTAGCTTCAGTTCTAGCTTCTTTCTACCACAAGGTCTGGGGAGTATCCTCAACTGAAAAACCATATTTAGTTCCCTTCTTTAAAGGATTCCCTTCTTATTTCTGCCTGCTTCTAGACACCCTCCAGTGCCTTCAGATAGACATTATTTACATTTTTTTCACAGTATATAATTTTGATCTGCAGGAGATCTAGTTTGATGCCAGCTACCCTACCATTACCAAAAGTGGAACTCCAGTTGACTACTTTTTTTTACTTAAAGATAATGTGATCTTTTTTTTTTTTTTTTTTTGAGACAGAGTCTCGCACTGTTGCTCAGACTGGAGTGCAATGGCGCAGTCTCAGCTCACTGCAAGTTCAAGTGATTCTCCTGCCTCAGCCTCCTGAGTAGCTGGGAGTACAGGTGCCTGCCACCATACTCAGCTAATTTTTTTTGTATTTTCAGTAGAGACTGGGGGGCGGGGGGGCGTTTCACTGTGTTGGCCAGGCTGGTCTCGAACTCCTGACCTCCTGATCCACCCACCTCGGCCTCCCAAAGTGCTGGGATTACAGGCATGAGCCACCGTGCCTGGCTGATAATCTGATCTTTTAATCATTGGCATGTGTGAAGCAGAGAATGAGAAGGAGGGCTTACCTAGAACCTCAGGTGATTACACTGAAATAATTTAGATAATTTAGTCACAATTCTTGAATGATTAGCTCATGGTACGTTAAGGACAATGTTTTTCAGTAAAATAACTTATTGTAGTTCTTAAGGGAAATGTAATAATAGGGAAAAATAAATGATATTTCAAGGTTAATTGCTATTTCATATCGCCATAGTAAGAAAATTGATATGTGGAGTCTAAATAATAAAATAACCAATTAGGCTGGGTGCAGTGGCTCACATCTGTAATCCCAACAGTTTGGGAGGCCAAGGCGGACAGATTACCTGAGGTCAGGAGTTCAAGACCAGCCTGGCCAACAGGGTGAAACTCCATTTCTACTAAGAATACAAAAATTAGCCAGGCATGGTGGTGCTGCCTGTAATCCCAGCTAATGGAGAAGCTGAGGCAGGAGAATCACTTGAACCTGGGAGGCAGAGGTTGCAGTGAGCCAAGACCACGCTATTGCACTCCAGTCTGGGCAAAAGAGCAAGACTCTATCTCAAAAACATAAAACAAAACAAAATAAAATAAACAATTAAAAATAAAAAATAAAAGGTTTTATATAAATTACAAATAATTAGGGCAGAGACTACATTGTATGCTTTGTTTTATACATCATATAATGGACTTTTTAGAGTATCTATACATGCTACATATAGGAAGAAATAGTTCTGAAAATTCTTCAGGTGACAAAGAAAATAATAACAGATGGTAACTTGGATCTACAAGAATGAATGAGGACCACCTGAAATAGAAAATATGTGGATAAATATAAATGACTTTTTTTCTTCTCTTTATTTAAAGGACATATGAAGGGTTAAAGTAAAAAGTAAAGTACATATGAAAAGAAATAGTTTCTTTTTAGTAAATACTTTTAGATTAGTTATAAAAACAGTAAATGACTATCATGTATTTCATTGTATTTTTTCATAACAATAATTGGCCTCTCTTATAAATTTACCACATCAAATGTATAACTGACATGTCTGATATATCAGATTGCACTCTTTCATTTGAATCTGCTTTATGGAAGAGAAGACATATATACTTGAACAAAGGGAATTCTCACTGGATAAATCTCAAATTGGATAAATCTGTGAAAACCATCCAATTAAAAGGGCACTGAGGCTGCTTGAACATATTCTATAAATTGCAAACTCAGGTTTAAAACAGCTTTAAGAAATTCTTGATAAATGGCCTTTTTATTAAATAAAATGATTTGGTTCTTTCTTCAAAGAAAGCAAAAATACACCTGAAACCTTTAGCTTCAGGCCACTCCAAAAGCTCCATTCCTCATTGGTTGCATAACTTCATTTTAAAGCAATTAAAATCGTGTCCGGTAAAAACATGCATAGTTGCCGTCTTTACTATTTTCATATTCTTCTGAATAGATCAGTTACAGCTCAGGACAAGTGTCATTTGAGAACTTGATTGACAATGACAGCACTGACTAGATTAAACAATAAAGATCTAAGTTCTAGTACTCTCTTATTGAAATAAAAAGAAGGAAGTATATTTGCCAGTCACAGGTCTAAATATCTTTCAAACCTATTAAACTTCCTGAAAGCGTTTCCGAAGGACAACTCAGGAATCAATATAAAGTAGCAGAGTGGCTGCTTTGTTTGCCTTCCAGAAAGCACTGTAGAAAATAAATATTTAATGGTAGACAAACCAATATGCTGAGTGTAAGACATAATAATGGCTTGAGACAGTAGACCGAAGTATTGTTACATTGAGAGATCAAGTGAATTACAATTATTCTAATGATAAAACCTTTTAAGTCTTTGCTTTATGGTTATTGTCCTTGAACCTCATCACATGCATGTAGATACTACAGACTCATAATTATCCACTCTGGATCCATGAGCCTAAGGTTGAATTTTACTTTCTTTTTCCTGGTTTATCGTTTTTACCTAGAGTACAACATAGAAGACACGTCAACAGTCTAATATGTTTTTTAAAGGTCATTCACCTTGGTTTCTGTACTAAAGATAAGGAATAGTCAGATCAGGCATCAGCTAAGAAATCTGGGAACAGTTGACCTAACGAAGGTTTGGAATCAATTTCACTGAGAAAATTTCCTCATTTAAAAGCAGTGAATTTGTTAGTTCACTTCCTGAGAAATGCAATGGATGCAAAGGAATTCTTTTATTCCCTCAGGGTTTTAACCTTTTTCTGTGCTTGATTTTCTAGAAACTTTAGGATTACTGGAGCCCAGTGGCTGTGTCTGTACAAATTATTGAGTAAGGGAATGAAGACGGACAGGACTCTGTGTGTGTGTAGAGGGGGAGGGAGGCGGCTATGAAAAGTCTCTCTTTTTAAATAACAGAACATGTTTACCACATCATTATTCCTTCTCAAAATATTTTTTAGAGCAGTTTTAGGATCACAGCAAGATTGAGAGGAAGATACAGAGATTTCCAATATATCCCTCCCCTCATATATACATAGCTCCCCCGTTATCAACATGCCTTCATTATTACATCTATCTCACTAAACAAAATTCTTTTTTCAGTATGCATCTATTTTCTCTTTCAAATTCTTGATTCAATAATTCATTGTTTTGATTTCCTGGAATCCTCTTGAGATTTTCAGTTTTTTCCTTTTTTTTCACACTAGAGAAATGAATGGAGATGTAGACATGAGATGTAAGGACCAGAATTTGGAGGTCAATTAAAGCAATTAGCAAATAGAAATCATCTAAGCTATTAAGACTGATGCTGTCATATATATATACACATATATATGTATATGTGTGTAGATCTATACATATACATATATGTATACATATAAACATATGTGTACATATACATATATGTATACATATAAACATATGTGTACATATACATATATGTATACATATAAACATATGTGTACATATATACATATATAACATACGTATATTATATATGTTATATAACACGTATATTATGTTATATAACATACGTATATTATATATGTTATATAACATACGTATATTATATATGTTATATAACATATGTATATTATATGTTATATAATATACATATATTATATATGTTATATAACATACGTATATTATATGTTATATAACATACGTATATTATATATGTTATATAACATACGTATATGTTATATAACATACGTATATTATATATGTTATATAACATACGTATATTATATATGTTATATAACATACGTATATTATATATGTTATATAACATACGTATATTATATATGTTATATAACATACGTATATAATAAACATGTATACATATGTATATACATATATAATATACATTATGTCTATATACATATACATATATAATATACATATATTAATATGTATATTAATATGTATATACATATTAATATACGTATATAACATATAATATACATTATGTACATTATATAACATATGTAATATACATTATGTACATTATATAACATATGTAATATACATTATGTACATTATATAACATATGTAATATACATTATGTACATTATATAACATATGTAATATACATTATGTACATTATATAACATATGTAATATACATTATGTACATTATGTAACATATGTAATATACATTATGTACATTATATAACATATGTAATATACATTATGTACATTATATAACATATGTAATATACATTATGTACATTATATAACATATGTAATATACATTATGTACATTATATAACATATGTAATATATATATGTGTATATAAAAAACATACCTGGAAAAAGCAATATAAATGTCTGGGTCTTACTCAGTAGCCCAGACTAGAGTGCAGTGGTGTGATCATGGCTCACTGCAGCCTCAACCTCAGTCGATCCTCCTGCCTCAGCCTCCCACGTAGCTGAGACTACAGGCTTGTGCCACCACACCTGGCTAATTTTGTTTGTATTTTTTGCAGAGACAGGGTTTCACCATGTTGCCCAGGCTGGTCTGGAACTACTGGACTCAAGCAATTCACCTGCCTTGGCCTCCCAAAGTGCTGGGATTACAGGTGTGAGCCACTGCACCTGGCCTACATTTATATATGTCTATATAATTGTATAAAGTTATCATGGGTTCAAGTTGTTTACTTCACCTTGTTTCACATAAACATATCTATGTATTACATCCTCCATTTACTTGTCATTTTAATTTGTATATGGTAATACACCATGGTTTACTTAAACATGTTAATACTATTGGGCATTTGAACTGAAGCTAATTTTCCCCATTATAGGTAAGGCTGCAATGAAAATTGCTTTATAAGTTAGTTTTCCTTTCTCAGGGGAAGGAACGGGTAATAGGTCAAAGAGCATGTTATAGATTACCCCCCAGAAATATGTAACCATTTTACATTTCTACCATTAACATACAAAATGTACGTCTGCCTTCCTCCCAAAGACTTGTCCAGGTTCAGTTTTACAAGCTAAAAAATGTCTTCCAGGCTGGGCGCAGTGACTCAAGCCTGTAATCCTAGCACTTTCAGAGGCTGAGGCGGGTGGATCACCTGAGGTCAGGAGTTTGAGACCAGCCTGGACAACATGGTGAAACCCCATCTCTACTAAAAATACAAAAACAGGCCGGGTGTGGTGGCACGTGCCTGTAAACCCAGCTACTTGGGAGGCTGAGGCAAGAAAATCGCTTGAACCCGGGAGGTAGAGGTTGCAGTGAGCCAAGATCGCATCATAGCACTCCAGCATGGGTGACAGAGTGAGGCTCCGTCTCAAAAAAAAAATAAATAAAATAAAAAATAAAAAATGTCTTCCAGTTTAATGCATCTGTAAGAGAGTCTTCATGTGAGTTTAATTAACCTTTATTTTCATTTTTTAATAAAACTGATTTTTAAAAACACAATGATGTAGTCTAAATGTTCCTAACTGCAAACTGTCCATTCATCAAGTGGAAAGTGGTTATTGACTTACATAATCATTTATTTTTTCATATATTTTGGGAGAAAGCTATTATCACGTTATATTTGTAATATATCTATTCTATACTGGAAAGTTTTCTTTATAGCATTTTTATTTTACATTTTGTTGCATGAAAGTTAAAAAATTTAAATCTGCTCAATTAATCACCCCTGCTTCCGGTAACAACCTTTGTTTTCTGCAGTGATTAGAAATGCATGTTCTCCAGGTTGGGCAACATAGTGAGACTGTGTCTCCACAAACAATTAAAAAATTAGCAAGGCATGGTGACGCATGCCTGTAGTCACAGCTACTTGGGAGGATGAGATGGGAGGATTGCTTGACCCCGGGAGACTGAGGTTGCAGTGAGCCATGATCACACCACTGCAATCCAACGTGGGCAACAGAGTGAGACACTGTCTCAAAAAAGAAAATAAAAATGCATGTTCTTTTTCTCATAGGAAATAGA
The DNA here is from genome assembly GCF_000001405.40 of Homo sapiens. Classification (NCBI taxonomy): domain Eukaryota; kingdom Metazoa; phylum Chordata; class Mammalia; order Primates; family Hominidae; genus Homo; species Homo sapiens. The sequence continues at coordinate 17,817,616 of NC_000008.11, read as the reverse complement.
TAAACCACTCTTCCATTTTTTAAAAAGGGCTTTTACTTTTTGATACAGCTGGAATTTATTATACTGTTTGTTTCCGTGTATTTACGTATCTAACATGATGTTTTTTCCAGCCTGTTAGCCAACTATTTGGAAGACAACTTATTATGTGGTTTTCCCTTGCCCTATAGGTTGGATTCTTTTTTCCGACTGTAATAACCCAAGGCCATAAGATTTTGATCATTGTTGCAGTGTGTTCAGTTTTCCAAGTTTGCTGAGTTCATCCTTATTCCCAATGAAAATGTTTTGATAATGTCATCCATTTATTTTTCACTATTGGTTCTCACAGGAATTTATAACTGCAATAAATTTATATATTAAACATTTTTAATTGATGTCTTATTTAATCTCTCTAAAAAAGAATGTAGCATAGTTATTTAGGTATGTTTACCTTTTTTTATTAGAATTTAATCAACTTATTTTTCTTCAACTTTTAAGTTCTGAATACCTTTGCAGGATGTGCACGTTTGTTATATAAGTAAATGTGTGCCGTGGTAGTTTGCTACACAGACCTGCACAGATCAACCCATCCCTTAGGTATTAAGCCCAGCATCCATTAGCTATTCTTCCTGATGTTCTCCCTCCCACCATCCCACCTTCTTGGAGAGGCCCGTGTGTGTTGTTACCGTCTATGTGTCTATGTGTTCTCGTGGTTCAGCTCCCCCTTATAAGTGAGAACATGCGGTGACTGGCTTTCTGTTCCTGTGTTAGTTTGCTGAGGATAATTGCTTCCACCTCCATTCATGTCCCTGCAAAGGACATGTTCTCATTCCTTTTTATGGTTGCATAGCACTCCATGGTGTATATATACCACATTCCCTTTATCCAGTCTGTTGTTGATGGGCGTCCAGGTTGATTCTATGTCTTTGCTATCGTGAATAGTGCCACAATGAACATACGTGTACACGTATCTTTTTATTTTTACACGTGCACGTATCTTTGTAAAAGAATAATTTCTATTCCTCTGGGTATATACCCAATAATAGGATTGCTGAATCAAATGGTATTTCTGCCTTTAAGTCTTTGAGGAATCACCACACTGTCTTCCACAGTGGTTGAACTAATTTACACTCCAACTAACAGTGTAAAAGCCTTCCTATTTCTCCATATCCTCTCCAGCATCTGTTGTTTTTTGACTTTTTAATAATAGCCATTCTGACTGGTGTGAGATGGTGTCTCATTGTGGTTTTAATTTGCATTTCTCTAATAATCAGTTCTTTCTTATGTTTGTTGGCCACATGTATGTCTTCTGAGAAGTGTCTGTTCATGTCCTTTGCACACTTTTTAATGTGATTGTTCATTTTTTTCTTGTAAATTGTTTAAAATCCTTGTAGACTCTGGATATTAGACCTTGTCAGATGAATAGATTGCAAAATTTTTCTCCCATTCCGTAGGTTGTCTGTTCACTCTGATGATAGTTTCTTTTTCTGTGTAGAAGTGCTTTAGTTTAATTAGATACCGTTTGTCAATTTTTGCTTTTGTTGCAATTGCTTTTGGCATCTTTGTCAGGAAATCTTTCTGTCCCTTCAATCAATTTTTTTAAGAAACACATCTGTTTCAAGTTAATTTTATTGCTGGGTTATTTAATGTATTATTGATACGGTAAATTCTGTCTTCTAGTTGTGTATAACTATTTTTTGTTTGATTCTGCTGACATTTTAAGTATGCAACCATGTAACATGTAAAACACACTTAAATCTTTCTACATTCTCTGTTTAGTGATAGTGGTCGTAGGGGTACCCTCTGTATGTTTCTGTTTTTTAAGTAAATTGGCTCAAGTGTTTCTGACTTGTATTTCTTCATTAAGAGTTTTTTTTTCTTTTTTTTTTTTTTTTTTGACGGAGTCTTGCTCTGTCACCAGGCTGGAGTGCAGTGGTGCCATCTTGGCTTACTGCAACCTCTGCCTCCCGGGTTTAAGTGATTCCCCTGTCTCAGCCTCCTGAGTAGCTGGGACTACAGGTGTGCACCACCATGCCCGGCTAATTTTTTGTATTTTAGTAGAGATGGGGTTTCACCATGTTGGCCAGGATGGTCTCAATTTCCTGACCTCGTGATCTGCCCGCCTTGGCCTCCCAAAGTGTTGGGATTACCGCTGTGAGCCATCGCACCTGGCCAAAAGATTTTTCTAACAACAGATTATACAATTAATTCTGGTTCTTTTCATTAAAAATTATCTTTATTTTTAAAGTTATGTATTATTTTTGAACTATACATCTGGGGTTGAAACACAAAAGTAAATCAAATGTAGAACTCCAAAGAGCTGAGTTATAAGAAGGCAGTGTATTTGGTGGTTCAAGGTCAGACTGACCTGGATTTCAATCCTAATCCTGTTATTTATTAGCTTCGTGACACTGGGCATATTTATAACTAGACTGGGTTTCAACTTCATCACTTATAAAATGAATATAATAGTATCTACTTGCTGGGCACCATGGCACATGACTGTAGTCCCAGCTACTCAGAAGGCCAAGGTGGGAGGATCACATGAGTCCAGGGCTTTGAGGCCAGCAGCAGCCTGGGCAACATAGCAATACCTGTCTCTTAAAAAAGAAAAAGAAGAAGAATGCAATAATAATATCTACCTAATAGAATTGTTATGAATATTTAAACAATTAATACATGTAAAGTGTAAAATGACTAAAATCGTGCATGGTACATAATCAAGGTTTGGTATTATTTTTATAATCATCATAATTAATCTTAATATCTCGTAATTTTAATCAAGAAATCTTTGAATCCATGATGAATATTGATGTGGTTAGGCTTTTGTGTCCCCACCTAAATCTCATCTTGAATTGTCATCCCCAGGTGTTAAGGGAAGAACCTGGTGGGAGGTGATCGGCTCATGGAGGTGGTTTCCTCCAAGCTGTTCTCATGAGAGTGAGTGAGCTCTCATGAGATATGATGGCATTTCCCCTGGTTGCACTTACTTCTCTCTTGCCTGCCGCCATGTAAGACATGCCTGCTTCCCCTTCCACAGTGATTGTAAGTTTCCTGAGGCCTCAGCAGCCATGCAGAACTGTGAGTCAATTAAACCTCTTTCCTTTATAAATTACCTAGTCTCAGGTAGTATCTTTACAGTAGTTTTGACAAACACTAAAGGACTTCACAAGGTTCATTAGTGCTGACTCAGGTGCCTCTACTCTGTCGCACTTTAACTGATTCCTATTCCATCAGGGAGATTAAGTTTCTCACAATTCCATGTTGAATGAGCATAGGACTTAGGAAGACCTGAAGATTCTACTTCAGAAGATGGGGGTGATTATTAGATTAAATCAAATCAAATAATATATGTGGAAGCTACTAGCAAAATATCTGGCACATAGATCTCAGATAAAAGCTGGTTGCCTTCTGCTCTTTTTTCCTCTCTATGGCACCCTCTGAGCATTCACAGGGACTTCTGCCAACCTGTTTGAGCATTTCATGCTTGGTGCTGTCAAGGAGTACTCACCATATATAGCTGGTGGCTACCAAGATCTATCTGATGGTGTTTGGACTCAAAACACACCCCCAAAATAAAGGCCTCCAAAATAGTCTTACAAGTAAAACTTTTTTTTCTAATTTTCTCATGTCTTCTTGTCTAAGACTAAGACTGGTCTAAGACTAAGGTCCCTTTCTGCTTCAAGGCTTGCCATAGAAACTAGAATCCCTCTTCCCCAAGGCGGGTCATACAAATGAGAACCTCTTTGCCCCAAAGCCAGCCATAAAAAACCTAAAAATATTACTCTAATTTTTCCTGCACCTTTCTGTGTAAAACCTGGTCATAAAAAAATTATCTGAGCTACCTTATTTAATTATAGGCCATACGATCCCCATTCTAGAAAGGGTCCTGCCCTACATGCAAAAGAAAAACATACATACTCAGAGAGACACATGGGCTGATACGGGCTGGCTGTGTCCTCACCCACATCTCACCTTGAATTGTAACAATCCCCACGTGTCAAGAGTGGGGCCAGGTTGATATAATTGAATCATGGGGGCAGTTTCCCCATACTGTTTTTGCAGTAGTGAATAAAACTTGGTTTTATAAATGGGAGTTCCCCTGCACAACCTCTCTTGCCTGCTGCCATGTAAGACATGCCTTTGCTTCTCTTTTGCCTTCTGCCATGATTGTGAGGCCTCCCCAGCCATGTGAAACTGTGAGTCCATTAAACCTCTTTCCTTACAAATTTCTCAGTCTCGGGTATGTTTTTATTAGCAGCATGAGAACAGACTAATACACAGGTCTTACTATCTAAGCTTACCGTTTAACCCAGGCCTTCCTGGGTTTCCCTACTTTGTCTATTAACATTAGATGGTACCCTTTTTGTCCAGTTACATTTCTACATGGTTGTCCATACTTTATTGAACCTAAACATAAAAATAATTTCCAGGCTGGGTTCGAGGACTCATGCCTATAATCCCAGCACTTCAGGAGGCTGAGGTGGGGGAATCCTTTGAGCCCAGGAACTCAAGACCAGCCTGGGCAACATAGCTAGACCCTGTCTCTACTAAAAATAAAATAATTAGTAGGTTGTTCATTCCTGTGGTCCCAGCTACTTGGGAGGCTGAGGTGGGAAAACCCCTTGAGTCCAGGAGGTCGAGGCTGCAGTGAGTTGTGATTGCACCACTGCACTCCAGCCTGGGTGACAGAAAGACCCTGTCTCAAACAAAAACAAACAAAAAAAGATAATTTTCTCTATATCTTTGGGTCTTTATTCTAAAGGCTCTCATGTACACGTTAATAAAATTTATATACATTTACTCCAATTAATCTGACTTTTATGAGTTGATTTTTAAGCAAATCTTCAGAGGACAAAGGGGATATTTTCCTTGTACCCTTACAATGGTCACCTGTATCCGGGGGTCATCATTTTTTAACCTTAAAATTCTGCCACAAATATAGACAAAGGACAAAAGATAAAATAAAAAACCCGTGGACAACATCTATAACAAAATTAGGTGATGAAGTGTCTCCACGAACCCTAGAACATAAGGAATTGAGGAAAGCCATAGACAGATACAAGGGCTAGGTGGTATCAGCAACTGTATAATAGAAAGTGGAGGGAATTCATGAGACTCTGATAAATCTGATAATCTCAAAATAGCAAGCAGGCAATTGCTGGAAAGCTTGGAGGTTCCACTTGGGAACAGCAGCTGAAACTGGAAAAAGTTTTGCACACTCCAAAGTCAGGGGAATGCAAAGTGTCTGACGGGCACAATGAATGTTCCAAACTAACCACCCAAATTTCCACTCCTGGACAAGCACTGCACAGAGAAGAAACTTCTTGGAAAAGAATGCTCATTGTACGGAACTGGGACGATAGAGATCAAGGAAAGACGGGGTCCAGATGAAAGCAAGGAAAGAAAACAGAGTCTGACCATCTCAGAAAATAAGCCGCGATTGCCGGGCGTGGTGGCTCACGCCTGTAATCCCAGCACTTTGGGAGGCTGAGGCGGGCGGATCACAAGGTCAGGAGATCGAGACCATCCTGGCTAACACAGGTGAAACCCCGTTTCCACTAAAAATACAAAAAATTAGCCGGGCGTGGTAGTGGGCGCAAAAAATTAGCCGGGCGTGGTGGTGGGCACCTGTAGTCCCAGCTACTCAGGAGGCTGAGGCAGAATGGCGTGAACCTGGGAGGCAGAGCTTGCAGTGAGCCGAGATCACGCCACTGCATTCCAGCCTGGGCGACAGAGCGAGATCTGTCAAACAAAAAAAAAAAAAAAAAAAAAGTAAGCCCCGATAGTTTTAACCACCACACAAATACAACAAAAAAAGAGAGCGATCAGGTTGTGAAATTGGAAATGCTTTCCCAAATCCTACCTCCTCCTGAAAGTTTAAGAAAATTATTTCATATTTTTTTAAATGAGCAAAAAAATACCAAGATTAAATCTCATACAAAATTACTGTCAGGAAAAAAAGAGAAGAAACTGAAAAACATCCCTACAGACAATGCCAAAGATGCTAAAAAGACATACCTACAGAGCAGATGCAAACCATGACTTATTATTTCAATGTGTGCTAGAAGACATTAAAGAAATCATCCAAGATATGGAAAAAACAAGAAAAATGAGAATTGGGAAATATCAGAAATGAGGTGATAGATATACTTAGGAAAAAGATGTAGAAACAATAGTCAAAAACAGAGACTAGGCCAAGGAAAAAGACGTAGAAACAATAGTCAAAAACAGACACTAGGCCAAGGAAAAAGACGTAGAAACACTAGTCAAAAACAGAGACTAGGCTGGGTGCAGTGGCTCATGCCTGTAACCCCAGCACTTTGAGAGGCTGAGGCGGGAGGATCCTTTGAACCCAGTAGTTCAAGAACCCAATAGTTCAAGACCAGCCTAAGCAACAAGTGAGACCCCATCTCTTAAAAAAAAAAAAAAAAAAAACTAAACTGAAAGTAATGGAAGAATAAATAAACACAGAGAATACCTTAAGAAGAGAAGATGAAAGAGAAAAAATTTTTTTTAATTGAAGGAAAGTAATAAAAAGGGCTTGAGAGAAAGAAACAAACTTAGAGACAGGCAAAAAAGATATACAAAAATATGTTTAACAAGAGTTTCTCAAGAAGAAAAACCAAAGCAAGGCACAGAAGGACTACCAAAAAACTATAATGAAGAACATTTTCTTCAAATTAACAATATATGTATTTGAAGCTACGTAGTGAAAGGTTATACTACATACCTGGAAAAACTGACCCAGGACTAGTAACACCATAACTTATTATAATGAAATTAGTAGCTAAAAAAATATATTTTTCAAGACAGTGTCTCTCTCTGACCCCCAGCCTGAAGTGCAGTGGTGTGATCACAGCTCACTGTAGCCTTGACCTCCTGAGCTCAAGTGATCATCCCACCAAAATTACACATTTTAAAGGGGAAAAAATTATTTTGGGCTTCTAGGCAAAAAAAATCCACTTATAAAGGAAAAAAAAATCAGATTTGCCATCAAATTTTTTTTAACAGCAATGATTTAGGTAGAAGAAAAATGGAGTAACATATTTAAGATATTCAATGAAAGAAAATGTGAGTCAGTAGCTTTCCAAGATAAAGGCAGCATACGAAATGTAATCACTGTGCAAAAATTCAGGGAATATTGTTTCCATGAGCACTTCCTGAGGCATCTACTTGACAAAAACTTTCATAAGACAACCATATGTGGTGTATATCACATTTATTGACCTGTATGTGTTAAACCATCCCTGCGTTCCTGGTATGAAACCAACTTGATCATGGTGTATTATCTTTTTGATATGCTATTGTATTTGGTTAGCTAGTATTTTGTTGAGAATCCTTTTGTTGAGGATTTTTGCATCTATCTTCATCAGGGATATTGGTCTGTAGTCTTCTTTTTTTGTTATGTCCTTTCCTGGGTTTGGTATTAGGGTAATACTGGTTTTATTCTATCTTTTGGAATAGTTTCAATAGCATTGGTACCAGTTCTTCTTTGAATGTCTGATAGAATTCAGCTGTGAATCCATCTGGTCCTCGATTATTTTTTCTTGGCAATTTTTCTTATTACTGTTTCAGCCTCACTACTTGTTATTGTTCTGCTCAGTTTCTGATTTATTTTTATTTCTGGTTTAATATAGGAGGGTTGTATATTTCCAGGAATTTATCCATCTCCTCTAGGTTTTCTAGTTTGTCCACATAAAGGTGTTCATAGCAACCTTGAATAATCTTTTGTCTTGGAAGACAAAATGGGGTGCAGGAGGGATGGTTTTGGCCTAAACTGTTTCAGCTCAGATCATCAGGCATTAGTTAGATTTTCATAAGGAGCATGTTACCTAGATCCCTTGTATGTGCAGTTCACAATAGGGTTCACACTCCTATGAGAATGTAATGCCACCATTGATCTGACTAGAGTTGGAGCTCAGGTGGTAATGCTTGCTTGATGCCACTCACCTCCAGCTGTGTGGCCGGGTGCCTGACAGGCCAAAGACCAGTGGCAGTCCGCAGTCCTGGGGTTGGGGACCTCTGATCTAAAGAACTAACTCTATAAAAGAGAAACTGAGATCAAGTTAGGTCAAATCAATGAAAACATATCTAGGTGTCAAAGCTAAGTCTTCTAAATCCAATTTGCGTCCTCAGTTCTGGAGGGATAATGATATTTTTGTGTTTTATTCCCTATTTAAGATTTGCAGATAATCAGTTTGCAAATTAGTGAAGAGTCACCATAATTTTGTAGGTACTTGATATGGTTTGGCTCTGTGTCCCCACACAATTCCATCTTGAATTGTCATCCCCACGTGTTGAGCGGGGGATGGTGGGAGGTGATTGGGTCATGGGGGCAGTTTCCCTCATGCTCTTCTCGTGATAGTGACGGAGTTCTGACAAGATCTGATAGCTTAAAAATGGCAGTTTCCCCTGCCCTCTCTGTCTCTTCTGCCGCCTTGTAAAGAAGGTACCTGCTTCTCCCTTGCCTTCTGCCATAACTGTTAAGTTTCCTGAGGCCTCCCCAGCCATGCAGAACTCTGAGTCAATGAAACCTCTTTCCTTTATAATTTACCCAGCCTCAGGCAGTTCTTTATAGCAGTGTGAAAATGGACTAATACAGTCCTCAAAAAGAGATCAGAAGTATACTTACCCAAAATAGATCAATCTTTGGTAGTGTTAAGTGTCCATCCTGGATTTCTCAGTGTTCTAGATGCCTAAAAGTAAGATTGTCTTACTTCTAGGTAACCAATCAGGCATTAATTTACAATGTTGGCATACTGCAATGTGGTTTAGGAATAGTCTGTGCTCACTCTACAGAGAAAAGAACGAGGCTAATATTTTCAGTGGCCCTTTCCTGAATTGCCAGCCCATGTTTAGAAGCATGATTATATTTTGAGGAATGCTTATGTGACAGCATGAGGGCTAATGCCTGTTGTTCATTTAGTTTATGGTTCTCTTCCTACATTATTATGATTTGCAAACATTTGTTAGCTAACATGGAGCGCTTTGGCCTGCTTGACTGCATCCCTTTTGAAAATGGGGAGGATTTCAGAGCCAATCAAGAATCAGGAACTATGAATCAAGGCCAAAAATTGCAAAAGGAATGAACTGGAGATCAGTTAGTACATCAGGCCTGGATGTGGCCTGGTGTTAGCACAGAAAGACTGAACCCACAAGCCTTCCTGACTCTTTGCACTCTTTTTAGGTGATCACTGGGCCCAATCAACAGGGCCCAAGGGGGAACAGAGCAAATTGGAAGGCTGCTGGCAGTGGAAGCTCTCTTAGGGCTTTTATTTGGTCAAGAGAACAAGGCCAGGGGTATAAATTAAAAGCAAATTCAAAAGGTCTAAGTAAAAAAAAAAAAAAATGCTAAGTAGACTGTGGTAGTCTCAAAGGTATGAGGCCTCGAAGCCACAGACTTGTTATTAATATTTGTCATGAAGCAGTAAATACTCTGAAATTGAAAATATATCCCCTTTTTAAGGAAAGACTCAATCTGACTGGAGTAAAGCCTGACCAAGCCCAAATGTCACACAGTTATGAATCACTGTCAAGAGTGGATTATGCAGACGAGTAGTTTCTTTAGCCATGACATTTTAAGCAAAGTAAACATTTTCGAAGTGGTTGCATAACAAACTGGTGGTACTATATTTTTCTTAATTTCTTCCTAATATGAGGAGGCCCACAGCAGAATTACAGGACAACTTGTTTGTGTGTGAACTAGAATAATTTTGGCATCATGTTATAAGAACTGTTCCTTCTACAGAGTCTATAAATGGAACAGGACTGTTGAAGATGCCTTCCATGGGATGGGGAGATGGAAGAGTTTTTCAAACTTCTGCAGGTCATTTTGATAAGAGGAAGCTATATTTCTTCATTTTTTCTACTGCTTTGAACTTGCAACAAAAAACTCCTTTCTTGAGATACTTAAAAATCTTCAGACTTTGCCATAAGGACCTTTTTTTTTTTTTTTTTTTTGAGATGGAGTCTCGCTCTGTCGCCCAGGCTGGAGTGCAGTGGCACGATCTCAGCTCACTGCAAGCTCCGCCTCCCAGGTTCACGCCATTCTCCTCCCTCAGCCTCCCTAGTAGCTGGGACTACAGGTGCCCTCCACCATGCCCAGCTAATTTTTTGGATTTTTAGTAGAAATGGGGTTTCACCATGTTAGCCAGGATGGTCTTGATCTCCTGACTTCATGATCCGCCTGCCTCAGCCTCCCAAAGTGCTGGGATGACAAGGTGTGAGCCACTGTGCCCAGCCGGCATAAGAACATTTCTATTCTGCTAGTCACCTTCTGGGGCATTAAGAAGACAGTCCAGGGCCAGGTGCAGTGGCTCATGCCTGTAATCCCAGCACTTTGGAAGGCCGAGGTGGGCAGATAACTTGAGCTAAGAAGTTGGCCACCAGCCTGAGCAACATGGTGAAATCCCATCTCTATAAAAAAAATACAAAAAGTAGCTGGGCATGGTGGCACATGACTCCATTCCCTGCTACTTGGGAAGATCAACTGAGCCCAGGAGGTCGAGGCTGCGGTTGAGCCATCATGGCACCTCTGCACTCCAGCTTGGTTGACAGAGTGAGATCCTTTCTCAAAAATAAGAAAATAAAAAAGAAGGCCAGGCGTGGTGGCTCACACTTGGAATCTCAGCACTTTAGGAGGCTGAGGCAGGTGCATCATGAGGTCAGGAGTTCGAGACCAGCCTGGCCAACACAGTGAAACCCTGTCTCTACTAAAAATACAAAAATTAGCTGGGTGTGGTGGCAGGCGCCTGTAATCCCAGCTACTTGGGAGGCTGAGGTAGAAGAATCGCTTGAACCTGGATGGGAGAGGTTGCAGTGAGCCGAGATCGTGCCACTGCACTCTGGCCTGGGTGACAGAGCTAGACACCATCTCAAAAAAAAAAAAAAAAAAAAAGAAAGAAAAGAAAAGAAAAGAAAAAAGAGGAGAGTCCAGTTGGGTCTTCAAGTCCACTGAGAAAAAAAATAGATAATCAAGAACCTGGGAGTTATTGGTAAATAAATCAGGGCCATTTACTGCTCTCACGTTCTCTCTTTCTTGTTATGCAGCCATTGCTACAGCTGGTCAGTTTGGGTATCTTACCACACATGTCTCACCATCTTTGGACACAAGAATTAAAAGTCATAGGCCGGGCACGGCGGCTCACGCCTGTAATCCCAGCACTTTGGGAGGCCAAGGCGGGTAGATTACCTGAGGGTGGGAGTTTGAGACCAGCCTGACCAACATGGAGAAACTCTATCTCTACTAAAAATACAAAATAGCTGGGCATGGTGGTGCATGCCTGTAGTCCCAGTTATTTGGGAGGCTGAGGCAGGAGAATTGCTTGAACCTAGGAGGTAGAGGTTGTGGTGAGCCGAGATCACGCCATTGCCCTCCAGTCTGGGCAACAAGAGCGAAACTCTGTCTCAAAAAAAAAAAAAAATCATATGACTATGTGTAATATACACATTCTCTTCACAAAAACAAAGAAAAGGTCATCGACAGTATCACAAAATTCCAGCATTCTGGGACTTTGCCAGAGATTACCGCAACTTCTGACAATGCTTCAGCACCTGTCTAATGAGTGCTCACTAGAAAATTTCTGGAATGTTGTATAAAGCAACTGTGTTTACCTCTGTGGTAAGGGATTTGTGGAGATGTTCACGTTTTACCATGAGCATATTTGACTTTCAGAAGTATATCTGAAGAAGCTGCCGTCTTTCCACACTTCTATTTACAGCCAATCCTTGATCTCATTATGCTGTTATAAGACCGGTCCCTGTCTGGGTGAGTAACTTCCTCAAGTTGAGTTTTATTACAATACTTTTGTTTTTTTGGCCAGGCACAGTGGCTCACGCCTGTAATCCCAGCACTTTGGGAGGCCAAGTCTGGAGAATTGCTTGAGCCCAGGATGGGCAACATAGCGAGACCCCGTCTCTATTAAAAAAAAAGAAGAAAAAAACTTCTAGTTTTATTCACAGTCACTATGAAAAATAGCCACATGAAGTTCCTTATGGTATTTTAATAGTATATTGTCATTTTCCATTTTGTAGTCTTGAATTGAAAATGAGTGACAAAAATTTTTCTTAAAATTCAGTGCTAGGAAAAGTTTTTCTTCCTTTGAGAAACTTTCAGCCTCTTTTGAAAATGACAATTATGTAAGCGGTTGGCGTACCTGGGTCTCAGGAAGCTCAGTGTTTTAATTCGTTGCTCAATAGTATGTTTACTATTACCTGTATGCTTTTCCGGGAATACCATTTTATACTAAAAATACTTACACTTTGAAATATTTATTTTTAAAATGTACTGTTTCTGTCTTTTAAAGATGTTCAACTCCCTTCTCAGTGAGATGGTGCCATAAGGAAACATAAATAAAAAAAAAGGGACCCGGATTGGGAACAAAGGCAATGACTCCATGGAGTTCCCCTTGAGAATTAAGGCCTGGAATACTTTTTTCATTTCTGATTGAATGCAACTTTGGTAAAGTTATCTGGAAGCCCTACCCAAGGGAGATGTCACTGCTAATCAAATTGCAAGGAATTTACAATTTGCTAATTCATCGTTTTCACCACACTTGTGTTAGAGTTTTATGTACCAAAGTTGTCTTTTTTAGATAAACTAGAGAAGAAATAGGGTCAGAAGCATCTATTGAACATTTTTTTTTTTTTTTGAGATGGAGTTTCGCTCTTGTTGCCCAGGCTGGAGTGCAATGGCGAGGTCTCTGCTTACCGCAACCTCCGCCTCCCAGGTTCAAGCGATTCTCCCGCCTCAGCCTCCCTAGTAGCTGGGATTACAGGCATGCACCACCATGCCCCCGCTAATTTTTGTATTTTTAGCAGAGACGGGGTTTCTCCAAGTTGGTCAAGCTGCTGTCGAACTCCGAACCTCAGGTGATACACCTACCACGGCACCATGCCTGACCAATCATTTATTTTATCTATAAGTGAAATTCGTTCACAGAGAAACTTTGGTCATTCCTGATGGCAAAACTTCATGCGGTAAAACATTTTAAAATATTAGAATGGGTTCTGTTATTTATATGGCTCAAAATCCAAAAAAAGTACAAAATTGTATTTAGTAACAAATTTCTCTTCTAATGCTGCCATTTAACTATCCAACTCCCATCTCAAGACACAACCAATGTTATCTGCTTCTGGTATATCTCTCCAGATATTTTATGGGTTTTTGTTTTGTTTTCTTTTGACACAGGGTCTTGCTCTGTCACCAGCTTGCAATGCAGTGGCACAATCATGGCTCACGATGGCCTCAACCTCTTGGACTCAAGCCATCCTCCCACCTCAGCCTCCAGAGTAGCTGGGACTATAAGCGCATGCCACCATGCGCAGCTAATTTTTGTATTTTTTATAGAGACAGGGTCTAAGTTGCCCTGGCAGGTCTCAAACTCTTGGGTTCAAATTATCCTCCCCCTTAGACTTCCCAAATAGCTGGGATTAAAGGTGCAAGCCACCATGCCTGGTGGCTTATGCTTAGTTTATGCTTATACAAACATATCTATATATGTATCTATACAAGTTTGTATCATTTCCTCCCTTTTAGTAGAAATTGTAGCATACTATTAGGTAATTGTTTTGTGTTAAAAAATGCACATGACATAGATTGAAGATCATCTCATAAAAGTACAAAGAGCTTTCTCAGTCTTTTTAAAAGCTTTCATAAGATTTCATTTTATGCCTATATCATGATTTATCAGTCCTTTACTAAAGAATATTTGTATTTGAAATATATCTTATTATAAACAATGCTGAAATAAACAAGGTTGTAGATACATACCATTTCTCCTGTGTGTTGTAAGATAAACTCTTTTTTTTTTTTTGAGACAGAGTCGCGGTGCGTTGCCCAGGCTGGAGTGCAGTGTCACAATCTCGGCTCACTGCAAACTTCGCTTTCCAGGTTCAAGGGATTCTCCTGCCTCAGCCTCCCAAGTAGCTGGGATTACAGGCGCCTGCTATCATGTCTGGCTAATTTTTGTATTTTTAGTTGAGACAGGGTTTCACCATGTTGGCCAGGCTGGTCTCCAACTCCTGACCTCAGGTGATCTGCCCGCCTCGGCCTCCCCAAGTGCTGGGATTGCAGGCATGAGTCACCGTGCCACCACGCAGGGCCAAGATAAACTCTTATACGTATAGTTGCAATATTGTTAGGTATCCTGACCTTCCCCCTAGGGAGGTCATTATAATTTACATTTACATTTTCATTGTGACTGCTAGTCTACACTTTTACCAACACTGTGATTATCAAACTTTCTAATCTTTGACAATCTGATAAGTGAAAAAATGGTTTCTCAATACAGTTGCAATTTGCATTTTCTTATGGAGGAAAAAAAATTGAGCCAACTTTTTTTTTTTTTTTTAGAATAAAGAGCCACAAAGTTATGTGAGTTATTATTTTATCCTTAATATTGCTCCTGGAGTCTGTAGCAGGTCAGCATCAGAGTTCAGAGATCAGGAACATGGCAACATGCCCAGAACCAAGATGAAAAGAAAAGCCAATAGGCCCCATTTCATGAATATTTGCCTTGAGGAGTCCCTGAAGATGTCCCTAGAAGTTAACTTCTGTTTTTATGTGGAGACAATTAGAAGCTAAGTTTCAGATTCCCCAATGCCTGCGTAAGTAGCTCTAATTACTTAGCAGAGCATTGTATGTTTCCCCCCTTCAAACCACCTGACACAAAAATGAAGTAAAACAGGTTCTATATTTATAGATATAACTAAGCCACACAATAGGATTGTGGGGTTTAGACCAAATCATCTAGGTCACATCAGGGTTATAAAGATTAAATGATATGTTTCACACAAGAACTATTCTGCTTAGGGATGGAGGCTTGTTGCTAATTAGCATAATTGCCTCGTGACTTGCGGAAACTATGTCAGCGTTTTGTTTTGTTTTTGTGTGCTTTTTCAGAGGGAGACTCATCTGGTGGTGTTAAATACTATATCTATTTAAAATTAATCACATGCCTTTCCTAACAACACGGATCATGCTAGTTGCATCTATCTTTACAACAGGGATTTCTGAAGCAAATGAGAGGTGTCATTATGTAATGGAATTAAAAGAGAAGATTAGGAGTTAGGCTGGCTGGGTTTGCACTTGCCCTCACTGGCTGTGTGACCTTGCGCTAGTCACTTGACCTTTCTGAGCTTCAATTCCTCATTTGAATAATGGAGATAATCTGACCTATATACCCCTGGGTTTTGTAGTCAGGAAATAATGGATCATTGTACATATGAAAAGTCTTTACAACTATCAATGGCAAGACATCTGTCAGTTATTCTAATATTCATGGTATAGAAAACTGTGAAATACAGAGTCCTTACGTCTATTCTCCAAAAAAGTTCACTTCTCTTTAAAAGCTTTTAGCAAACCACAATCCAGGTAATTAAAAAGGAAATATTAAAATTTTGTTCTCAGGTTGTCTGACATTTCACGGTTCAGCAATGTGACATCTCTCACAGGCAGAATAGCATCTTCGGACAAGTTTTCTATTAAAAATATGCTTTATAGAAGAAAATATTTTACGGACCTAGAAGACAGCTGTCGATGAAATTTGCTCAGTTTAGCAAACAGCAAGGACTGTGTTTGTGTTTAGAGAAAAGTAGGTCGAGCCTAGTTTATCTCCCTGGGGTTCTAGACTCCTTTCCACGTTGTATCTCAAGCTCTAATAGCTGGAAAGCTACTTTCTTTAACCTTTAATACACACTTGCTAGTAAACTTGCTAGAAGCATGAAGATAATACAGACTGCGAATCAGCCCTTCTAAGAGACAATCACGACTCCTTCCTTGCAAGCTTCCGCCCTGATAATTCTGCAACCTTCCCACCTTCTATACGCCCCGCGGTGCGAGGCCCCTCGGCCTGCAGGTGGCCAGAGGCAAGCAGGAGTCAGATCCCCCACCTACCGCGGCCCGGCCTGGGCCCTAGCGCTGGGTGCGGCGGAGCCCCGGGCTCCTGCGGGGACGAGCGTGGTCCCGGGACGCGCGGTGCAGCCAGGTGCGCCGGCGGCAGTGGCAGCCGCTGAGCGCCGCGTCGCACGTGGCAACAGGTGCAGCGCTGTCCCGGGCTGGCGCCGGGGGGCGTGGGGCGCGTCCGCACTTAGTCCGGGAGCGCGCGGAGCGTCGGGATTGGGACCCGAGAGCGGGAGCGGAGAGCGGGAGCGCCCGAGCGGAGTCCAGCGCCCCGAGGTACGGCCTCGCACGTCATTCAGGTTCCCCGAGGGCCGTCCCCTGGGACGGCGGCTGGCCTTGGTCTCCCGCAGCGAGCCGCTGGAGTGGAGCCTTCGGAAGGAGCCGCCCCGGGTTGGGGCGGGAGGCCCGAGTTCGGCTATTTACAAGTTTCCCGAACTCCCCGCCCTGCTCCACCCCCTGGCGGCCCCGGAGGCGGGGAGGCGGGGAGGCCGGGGCTCCGGGTCCCGCCTGGTAGCCGCCGCAGGCGTGGGGTGGTGCCGCGCCGCGCGCCCCCAGGTGCAGACGCCGCCCCCGAGACCTCCGGGGCGGGTTCTCGGCGACCCCGCCAGTGGTGCAAAGGGCGCCAGCCCTCCCCGCCTCTGCGTCTTTGCTCCCGGAGCGCTTGAAGGAGCTGCGGGTAAGTGCGCGCTGGAATCTGTTCCCGCTGCCCGGCGGCCGGGGTGGGGAGGGGACAGGCGAGCGCGCCGCCCAGGGTGACGGGACCGGTCCTCGGGGAGGGGAGGGGGCGTTCCAGGGGCCTGGGGGCCGAAGCTGAGGGCTAAAGGGGGCGGCAGCGCCGGCGGAGCGGAGGCGGGTCTCACGTGGGCCAGCGCAGAGCCTGCGGAAGGGACGGATGCGGATCTCGTCGCTGTCACCTTGAAAGTGACCGAGGGGCTTGACTGTGGACTCCTTACGCCGCCCACCCGGGCCCGGCGGTCCCAGCCTTCTCGCAGGGCCCCTTCTCAGCAGAAGCAAGCGGGGCCGAGAAAGCGGGTGGAATAGGGTTGCTGCAGGTCCCAAAGACCCCTCGTGGCGCCTCGCTACTTTCTGCAGCTTGTTTGCACTTTTTCACGCTCTAGAAAAATCTCATCTTAATTAAGGTGACCTTATTGACTACTCTATAGTGCTTAGTGGACTTAGGTGTTCACTGAGGAACGTTTTTGTTCTTTTTTGAAGACGTACTCCTTTCTACCAAGTTGTTTGTTGATTTTTGACTTGGAGTAATTTGGGACTAGGAAGGAAGAGGTTAATTCATTTAGCCTGCGTAGTTACACATACTCTGTTAAATACTGTTTGTTTGAAGTAGTCAGTGTTCTAAGAAAGGAAATCCAGTGTGTTTTGTTTGTTTCAATGAAACCAAAGTCTTAGGCAAAACGGTGCGTGGAAGCTTTCAAGTTTTGCCAGGTGCAGGTGATCGAAAGTCAATCATCACTAAATCACAGCGCTGGGGCTGGAGGGTGGGAGTAGGGGTGTTACCAGTGAATTTCAGGAGGAAGGGAGGCAATGCAGGAGGGAGGGGATTAAAAAAGAGAGTCATTGCTTCCTGGGAACCAGTGACCTCTTTAAGGAGGGTATATACAAGATAACAGTGCATGGACAACTTTAAAAGGAATTGCATAAACGGAATTGCAATTCTGTAGACAGTTTGCTTTTTCAGGGATGGTTAGGGCAGGAAATGATACACAACTTAAAATGGTGATGTCCTGTTAGTACAGTGCTTTACAGTGTAGAAAGTGCTGTTACAGATTTTTTTTTTTTCATAGGCAATATATTCCATTAGGAAAGCTATACAAAGAAAAGATTAGAACTACATGCTTATCCTTAAAACCAAAGCTAAAAAACCTTAGAAGTGGAATTTAGTTTAAAATAATATGTAGTTATTTATGTAACTTGCACCACGTTTTTTCACCTGTTCTTTTTAAAATCAGGTTTATGAAGAGAAAATAATTCTTGGTAAATCTGCTTGGTAGAAAATCATGCTTGGAACAAGACCTTTTAATTATGTCAATAAGTCAAGGTTACATTTTGGAGTATAATAGGATTATAAGATTCTAGATAATATCTTATATTTTTTGGAAACTAACCTGCAGTTATTACACTCAAGCATTTAAAAAGCCTGTTACTTAATAGCCCTGTTCTGTTAACCCTGTTTGTTTTGATTTCAAAAGTAATCCGTGCTTGCTGTATAAAAATAGGTAGATTGAGAAAAGTGAGTTAAGCAATTTCAGCAAAGATAATCACAGTTAATATTTAAGAAAATACTTGTTAATATATAGAAAAATTTTTTATAGTTATATAGTTTATCTAAATATACTATTGCGTGGAGGTTTTTTCCTGATTAATGTATCATGAAAAATTTTCCATGTCATGAAATCTTCAGAAATCTTAGTGGCTACTTAATATTACATTACATAGATGTATCAAACTGGTTTTCATTTATTTCCACTTACTAAATATACTTTTGCAACAAATACGTTTTTAAAACTTTATGTGCAGGGTTAATATCCTTAGTGCCCTTGAAATACAGTTGATGGTTGGAAGATCTCCTCATACATATTGACCATTTGCTTTCCAAAAAATGTTTAACCAAATTATGTTCCCACCAGCTCTCTGTGAGAATACTGGTGTTACCGTATTCTTGTCAACATGTAGAATCATCCTTAAAGGGAAAAAAAAAAAATTCTTCCCAGGTTTATAGGTGAACAGTGCTTTCTCTATATTTAAACTTCAATTTCTTTGATTACAGATGATTTGAACACCAAAGAAATCTAGTTGTTTTCCATTTTGAAATTTGATGTAGTGCCAGATTTTTCTCCTGGGATATTAGTATTTTTCCATTAATTCATAAGAGCCTTTTATGGATTGATAGTAAATCTTTGCCATTCATATTGCAGATACTTTTCCCATTTTATCTTTGCTTTATATATTTACAGTAGTTTTGACATACACAAATTTCTTTAATGTTGATAAATCTGTTGACTTTCTCAAAACAGAATTTTTAACACTTCTAAATCGTAGCTTCAGAACTATATGTGACTGTGGTAGAAGATTTAAAAAAAATTTTCCAGCCGGGTGCGGTGGCTCACGCCTCTAATCCCAGCACTTTGGGAAGCCAAGGCGGGCGGATCAGGAGGTCAGGGGTTCGAGACCAGCCTGGGCAACATGGTGAAACCCCGTCTCTACTAAAGATACAAAAAATTAGTCAATTGTGTTGGCATGGATCTGTAATCTCAGCTACTTGGGACGCTGAGGCAGGAGAAGCGCTTGAACCCGGGAGGTGGAGGTTGCAGTGAGCCGAGATCACTCCAGTGCACTCCAGCCTGGGCAACAGGGCAAAACTCCATCTTAAAAAAAAAAAATTCCCCAAATTCTAAATTAGAATCTTTTCAAATTCATTGCAAGAACTTCCATATCTTGGGTTAGAGACTGTTGCAAAACTAATTGCATTTGTTGATGAGAAGCCACTGGGCCTGGTATATACTATTAGGAACAACATCCTTTGAAATCAGAGCAGAAAGTTTTAAATCCCTAAGACTGAATGTTTTTCAGATCTGTTATTCTGTGATTATACAAAGTAGGCTCACACTCCATTTATTGTCAGTAATCTATTTGTAGTATCATTTTGCCAGATTCTTCTTTTTATAGTCATTATTGTGGTTTCATACGGACTTGTTGATGTCCAGACAAATGTACTGCATACGTAGTTAAAAAATTTCCTGGATTAATTTCCAATACTGCTACTCAGCAAAGTATTTATTTGGGGGGGCGGGGGAACACGTCTTCCTGATATCTCAAAGTTGGGTTCTTTCTCTGTGTTGTGAAAGCTTGAATATACCCTGAAAGTCCTCACTAAAGGAAGTGTGTTCTCCATGAGAGCCTGAGTCCCTTTTATTCCCCAAGCTTAGAGCGTAAGAGTAAGCGATAGGACCATATTTGAGCCATAAGGATGAAATTGGAGTTCAGGATCTGCGTGCTTAGGGGCACTTAAAAATGGCCTCAGACTTTCTCTGGAAGAAGGCAGGCCCCGGAGGGAGGTGACCACTTAGCAGCGGATACAGTGGTGACTGTGGCCTCCTGAGAAGGAGGATGAGCGATCCCACCCACAGGAAATGAAGGACTAGATGGGATGGTATGAACTCAGCTAGCTTGAAATCTGGCCCCGAAAAGCCTACTTTGACCAGGGAGACTTTATACCTGGTTTTGGATGGTCCAGTATAACCAGGAGTTGAATTTGACTTGTAATTTCTTCTAACTTTTTATTTTATTTTATTTTATTTTATTTTTTGAGACGGGATATTGCTGTGTCACCCAGGCTGGAATACAGTAGCATGATCATAGCTTACTGCAGCCTTCACGTCCCAGGCTCAAGCTATCCTCCCGCCTCAGCCTCCTGAGTATCTGGGACTACAGTCATGTGCCGCCATGCCTGGCTAATTTTTGTATTTTTTGTAGAGACAAGGTTTTGCCATGTTGCCCAGGCTGGATTTGAACTGCTGGGCTCAAGCAAATCCTCCCACTTCAGCCTCCCAGAGTGCTAGGATTAGAGGCATGAGCCACCGCCCTCAGCCTAAAAATTTATTTTGAGATGGAGTCTCACTCTGTGGCCCAGGTTGGAGTGCAGTGGTGCGTGCGATCTCAGCTCACTGCAACCCCCACCTCTCAGGTTCAAGTGATTCTCCTGCCTCAGCCTCCTGAGTAGCTGGGATTACAGGTGTGCGCCACCATGCCTGGCTAATTTTTGTATTTTTAGTGGAGACAGGGTTTCACCATGTTGGCCAACTTGGTCTCGAATTCCTGACCTCAAGTGATTGCCTACGTCAGCCTCCCAAATGCTGGGATTACAAGCGTGAGCCGCTGTGTCTGGCCTAAAAGTCCGGCCTAAAAATTTATTTCTAAACCAAGTTTTGTAGATGATTGCCCTGATGATGGTTATTTATTTATTTTCTTAGAGAAAAATCCCTCAGTAATCTTTGAATTTACTCTTGGATATGGGGCAATTTTCCATGATGACATTAATCATGACTTTTTCTTGCTCACTTGGCCTTAGAAATGGTAAAAGAGACTTCCATTTTGGAGGTGACAGATTTGGGGGCTCTTTGCCATGTGGATACATAAGATAAAACTTCCTTTTCATACCCTAGAAGCAGATTGGCAACTTGTGATTGCTCTGATATATAAATGTTACACAATCAAGGAAGAAAGGGTGGGTTTTCTCAACAAGTTTAGAGTGTGAACAAGGTCGAACTTGGAAGTGCTTCACTTAAGTAAATAGCTTTCAGGTACTTTAGAAGTACGTATTTGCATATAAATCTTGATTACAAAATAACTTTGTTCATTAAAGTTTAGACTTCAAGCTGTATATTGTAAAGTAATAAAAATGTATTTATTCAAAGATAAACTGCATTTAAATCTTGCTAGCAGGCCCATATCTAAAGTAAGAATGTTCTTGGGGCTGGGCGTGGTGGCTCATTGTAATCCCAGCACTTTGGGAGGCCAAGCCAAGCGGATCACTTCAGGTCAGGAGTTCTAGACTACCCTGGCCAACATAGTGAAACCCCATCTCTACTAAAAATACAAAAAATTAGCTGGGTGTGGTGGTGGGCGCCTGTAATCCCAGCTACTCAGGAGGCTGAGGCAGGAGAATTCCTTGAATCCAGGAGGCGGAGGTTGCAGTGAGCTGAGATCGCTCCACTGCCCTCCAGCCTGGCCAACAGAGTGAGACTTTGTCTCCAAAAGAAAAACAGAAAAAAAGAATGTTCTTGGGCCTGGCTCAGTGGCTCACACCTGTAATCCCAGCAATTTGGGAGGCCAAGGCAGGTGGATCACCTGAGGTCAGGAGTTTGAGACCAGCTTGGCTAACATGGTGAAACCCGACTCTACTAAAAATACAAAAGTAGCTGGTGTGGTGGTGGGTGCTTATATCCCCGCTACGTGGGAGGCTGAGGCAGGAGAATCACTTGAACCCGGGAGGCGGAGGTTGCAGTGAGCCGAGATCGCATCACTGCCCTCTAGCCTGGGTGACAGAGTAAGACTCTGTCTAAAAAGGAATAAAAGGAATATTCTTGTATACACATTAGCTACATAAATAAAAGTAAGAAAAACACACATTTTACCCTCATTCTAACCTAGAAGCTTTATTGCTAGGACACAGTGTGAACTCATCTAAAGGGAAGAACAGACTAGGAATGGATCAGTCTTTCAGGTAAGATGTATTGGAAGAGGTTTTTAAACCATTAAATGACCTTATTCTTTTAAATGCATAAATGTGTACCTTATAAGTAAATTGTGTCTTAAGCATGATGCAGAAGAAAAGAAAATTAGTATTTAAATTTGAGGACTAATCAAATATAATTATTCTGATCTTCTACTGTTAACTAAAACATTTAAGGACATTTTGTGTCCTAAAATGACATTGAAAAGGGAATCTTGGGAAAGACTCATACTTATCAGGAGACTAGGAAGAAGAGGCGTAACATACATTCTTGTGTAAATAATGTTTGTGACAGTGTTCATTAAGTCTTGACTGTTGGGTAGTTAGCTTATCTTTTATGCTTTTTGTACATTGGAAACATGGTAATATTTAACTCAGGTGTTATTTACACATATACCAATCTGGATGAAAAGAATCAATATTTCTTCACCTTATTTCAGATAAGCAGTTCATAGGAGGTATTCAGCAGTGTTCAGTGACAAATAAGAAATTTATTTTCCTTAATGTTTATTTTGTAGATTTTTGCATGATTGTTAGCTATGAATGATACGAAGTTGAAACTGCATGTCCTCGTAAAACATAGCTCCCTTGGCTAGCTTTACGGAATGAAAATAGAAGCCAGCATAGATATGAGCAGTTTCTGAGATGACATTGAAACATAGACCTACCCCCTTCCCCTGACCTCTGTGTCAAGGTGGTTGAGTCATATTTCCCAGAATTCTGATTAAGTCACCTTGCACTGTTAAAATCTTATTTTTTATTATACTGTAAACTGCTATACTGTTAATCATTTCGTTGTTAATCAAATTACAGAATTGAACCATATTTGCTTATTACTGTGACCCTAAGCCAACAGGCTTTAATTGAAGTGAGGATTGCAGAAGTCCTCCTTGCTGGTGGGTCAGGATAGGGTAGAAGGATATTGGAGAATGAGAAATGGATTTAAAAGGGCTGAGCCATGCCAAGACCTAGCTACCAAGAAAAATTCACGTGTTGTATTAGATCCCCAATCTAGGCCCCACATACAGAACCAAGTCATTTATACGTAGTGTATAGTTAGGCTTATATTTCATGTAAAATGATAAATAAAAAGCATGAGTAAAAATCCTTGCTGTTAGAATATTATGTTTGATTTTTTTTTCTTTTATCTTTTTTTTTGAGACAGAGTTTTGCTCTTGTTGCCCAGGCTGGAGTGCAGTGGCGTGATCTTGGCTCACTGCAGTGTCCGCCTCCTGGGTTCAAGCGATTCTCCTGCCTCAGCTTTCTGAGTAGCTGGGATTACAGGCATGCACCACCACGCCCGTCTTCATTTTTTATTTTTAGTAGAGACAGGGTTTCACCATGTTGATCAGGCTGGTCTCGAACTCCTGACCTCAGGTGATCCACCGGCCTTGGCCTCCCAAAGTGCTGGGACTACAGACGTGAGCCACTGTGCCCGGCCTGTGTTTGGTTTTCCTCAGCCTCAGCCATTTTTGAGCACTTTCTATGGGCCAAACACTGAGGTAGAAGAGAAAAAAAAGAATTTGACCTCTTTTCTTGGAGGAGTCAGAGAAACCCCAATCATTGTGAAAAGTGCAGTTTTGGAGATGTTAGTAAGTGTTTGTGTTGTTCGAAATATTCTCCCAGGTTGTTAACGTTGGGCTTTGCATTAAAAATTCCACCTGCTGACTTGACCAAAGTTTGGTCACGTAGGTTGTATTGACATTCTTGGTTATATAAAGCATCCTTGTCATTAATCATGCTTACCCTTTTCCTTCTCACCAAAAGGATTAAGAAGGAAAATACTTAGCACTGTACTCTTTGGCGTCTCTTAATTTCTCTCAATGAGAATCTTTAGTTACCTTTTCCAGTATATTTTTGCTACATCTTGTAAGCTCCTTAAGGATAGGGTCTAAATGTTCGGATGCTGGGTACATTTTTACTTTTATAATTATTTCTCCCAGATGTGGTCTGGAATAAATCATCTAGAGCTCTGATGGCATGGGAATTTGAAATTCTTTTGTCAGATAGTCACAGCTACTGGAAGGTCTTTTAAACCACAGGTATTAATTTCCTTATTGCTTTTCTGTGCCTTGCTCCTTGCCCTCTCCTCTTGCCCTCACCCCCTCATCCATTGTTTCATACTCAGCAAGCAGAGGGAAGGTAGTTTACCCTCAGTCTTGTGTCCGACTGAACGGCCATGGCTTTGGGAGCAGAGCATCAGAGCTGGAAGGTGCCAAGTTTCCTGATGCTTCTGAGTTACTGTTTTATTATGAAGAGTCAGTTTGAGAACATCTGGCATACCCATGTGCAAATACATGTACGTAATTGATTCCACTCATGATTTATGACATTCCCTATTCGTGCAGACAATCGCAAGTTGACAATTTCTTTTGACTAGGGACTTGGGCTGTTTTCTGTTTAGAGAAAAATGTATGTACAACTTAGGAATTCAGATAACTTTGCAGTCTAGGATTCTTTTTTCTCATTACATCTAATAAGATTTGTGTTTCAGAGTAGTTTTGCATTTATGTAAAACTTTTCAATAGTTCTCTAGACTTGCTGGTTATTGAACTTGATTTAATGCTGTGAAGAAGTATTTTCTGTTTAAGGGTTAAAAAATTGTTTTGCTTTCAGATTTTTTTTGAGACAGAGTCTTGCTGTGTCACAGGCTGGAGGACAGTGGTGTGATCTCGGCTCACTGCAACCTCCGCCTCCCAGGTTTAAGTGATTCTCATGCCATAGCCTTCTGAGTACCTGGCACTACAGGTATGCGCCACCGCGCCTGGATAATTTTTGTATTTTTGGTAGAGACAGAATTTCCCCATGTTGGCCAGGCTGGTGGCAATCTCCTGGCCTCAGGCGATCTGTCCACCTTGTCCTTCCAAAGTGCTGGGATTACAGGCGTAAGCCACCATGCCCAGCCTTCTGATGTTGCTTTATAGTGTTTTTGATGGCACCTCTGCAAAGGGATTTACTTACTCTTAATTTGAATTTAAAAGAGTAGGGTCAGTTAATGAAAAGGGAGGTAAGAAAAATCCTACATTTCTGTTTCTATGAGAAAACCTAAACCATTTTATATTGCAGATAAGACTATTTTGTTGGAAAGTTCTGGTTACAGCTTATTAGGCTGAACATTTAAAAATGTATAACCTTGTAGATATATAATCAAATGAAAACTATTTTCTCCTTATATGGTGTGAGTTGTTTTGATCTTGAATGATTAGCCCTCCATCCTTCAGTGCTAGGGACTGCTTTTCTTCTCTCCTTCCTCCTGTTTTTATTGAATTTCAAATAATAAATAGAGGTATTTCACCATTTAGCTAGATTTTGCCCACCATGACATCCATTATGAAACCCTGGGGACATACTTTATTATAGAATTGGAAAAATGTAATGGGTATCCAGGACATTTGGTGCAGTAATGTCATAGAGAGTGCACAGACTTAACAGGCAAAATTGGGTTCATGTCTGAGATTTTCCTATTAGCCATGTGACCTTGAGTGAAATTTCATTACCTTTGCTCCCCAGTTGGCTCATCAGGACGCTGGAAGGTGGGGGTAGTACCTTGTCTCCTGGGGTTATTCTGACACAGGTGCCAGGTATATAGAAAATGATCAATGGGTGCTAATAACCTTCCTTAGTCTCTAGTTTTAAATTAAATCTTCTGATTCATAGATAGGTGTTTCATTTAATTTCTGCTGCTTAGCCTTGGAGGTGTTGCTTGGATCTGCTGGTGCTGTCGGTTGGGAGTTAAATTCTAGGCTCAGGAGGCTGATAACTTTCCCTCTTCCTTAGGAGGAATTGATTTGTAGCAAACATTGGAGATTGTTTATTCTCAGACTCCAGCTTTGTCACCTCTTGTTTTTCTTGAAAGTTTAAGTCTAGTGAGCTGCTGATACTCCATTTGAACTGTGTTTTCAAAAAATCAATGTAGATACTTTTATCTTTGGTAAAGTCTGTAAATTATGTTGCCTCTTTGCTATCAGTCAGCACATTCGAAAGACAATTGAGTCATCACTTTGAACTAATCTTGGACTTGTGGATATTACAGTACTAAGGTTCCCTGTTCTGATTTTTCACCTGTAACATAGTCCAGAATATTTGTATTTTAGAGTTTCAATTGTAAAATGTTACTATTAATATACAGTATTTAAATATAAAAGCAATTTTGTATTTTCATCTTTTAAGCATAGTGAAATATTAATTCCCTATGTTTGTGGCAAGCACATTGTAAATATGATATTAAGAACTGATCACATCAGCCCTGCGGTTGGGCAGAGCAGGTCATGAGTGCTTTCTTTTATACTGAAGGAGACTGGGGACCAGAACTATTTGGATAAATGTTTTGTCTTATGGCGAGTAAGTTATGGAACTGGGACTGGACTTGTACCGGTCCATTTCCCACACCCAGTATGATGCTGTTATTTGACTAGTTTTAATGCGAGTGGAAGTAATAAGTTTCTGTTGCCAGGATTTTCTATACATTGGTGCTGAAATGGGATAAAACTTCTCCCCGCCCCCACCGATAGTTTGCTTTGTCACCCAGGTTGGAGTGCAGTGGTACGATCCGGCTGACTGCAACCTCCACCTCCCGGATTCAAGCGATTCTCCTGCCTCAGCTTCCTGGGTAGCTGGGATTACAGGTGCCTGCCATCATGCCCGGCTAATTTTTGTATTTTTGATAGAGATGGAGTTTCACCATGTAGGCCACGCTGGTCTCGAACTCTTGACCTCAAGTGATCCACCTGCCTTGGCCTCCCGAAGTGCTGGGATTATAGGAGTAAGCCACTGTGCCAGGCCAAGTCATGCAGTAGTTATGATATGTAAAATTTCAAATGACATAGCTGAGAATTACGGTTTATTTTCACATTTTCTAATCACAGAACGTAAAGCCGAATGTTAAATGTTGTAAGCCATTCAGATTAGTAGCACAAGTGAAAAATTGACAGTTAGAGATCATTACAATCATGAATTCCACTTACATAGGACTTTATAGCTTTCAGACTGCTTTTTGCAATAAGTCCTAATAGAACTGTATAGAAACAATCATTTGAATAATTAGATTTTTTGTATCTCACTTCATAGATTAGCAGTCTGTGGTCTTATATGCTGGATAGCAACTACTATTTTTTTTCCTGAAACTTTTTTTTTTTTTTTGAAAGGGAATCTTGCTCTGTCACCCAGGCTGGAGTGCAATGGCTTCATCTCGGCTCATGGCAACCTCTGCCTCCCGGGTTCAAGCAGTTCTCCTACCTCAGCCTCCCGAGTAGCTGGGACTACAGGTGTGTGCCATCATGTCTGGCTAATTTTTTGTATTTTTATTAGAGGTGGGGCTTCACCATGTTAGCCAGGATGGTCTTGATTTCCTGATCTTGTGATCCACCTGCCTCAACCTCCCAAAGTGCTGGGATTACAGGTGTGAGCCACCGTGCCCAGTTGAAACTTTTTTTAAAAGTAGAAATCTTGAATTCTGTTTCCTTATTGTAAGCTACTGAGCGGCAGGTAATTAGTGGAGGAAATGGAGGTAATCCCAGATGGAAACTGAAGTAGGAGGTGAGGCCAGTGTCAGAACTGGGAAGAGACGAATGCCCTCACAAAACCACAGTTTCAGCTGAATATCAGTCATGATTTTTAGCCCTAAAAGTCATCAGTTCTCTATTTCCAAATTGTCTTCTAAGGAATATATAGGGTTAGGACTGTATAAATAGGCCCTGGTTGGAGGTTGGCTATCGTTGGGCTGCTGCTGTGAGTTAAATGTGTATATACAGTCACCTTCTGTTAAAGAACTCTTGCTAGCAGAAAGCCTAACATAGGTAATCATTTTCAAGAAAAGGGTGCAGGAAGTCGATGTTTAATAAAGGTTGGGAGGTATAAGGTGAGGTGCCAACTTGCGTAACTACACACACATAAAGACATTTTCCATTTGGTGTTGGCGTGATTCAAATGGAAAATTATTTCCTTTTCACCAAGTGGACTTTGGAGAGAGAGGACAACTCTGAAGTTTCTAAACAAGGAAATGTTCATGGTCATTTAACACTTTGGGGTAAAGATTTTATATTTCAGCTGTAAACTCTGCCCTGCCCACGCGATCTACCCCCACGTCCCTCAAACAGTCTGAGCTACCTTTTAGGTAGTTTTTAAAAACTAACTGCATATAATTTAAAAACTAAAAGTGGCCGGGGGCAGTGGCTGACACCTGTAATCCCAGCACTTTGGGAGGCCAAGGCGGGCAGATCACCTGAGATTGGGAGTTGGAGACCAGCCTGACCAAATGGAGAAACCCTGTATCTACTAAAATTACAAAAGTAGCCAGGTGAGGTGGCTCATTCCTGTAATCCTAGCTACTGGTCAGGCTGAGGCAGGAGAATCGCTTGAACCTGGGAGGCGGAGGTTGTGGTGAGCTGAGATCGTGCCATTGCATTCCAGCCTGGGCAATAAGAGTGAAACTCCGTCTCAAAAAAAAAAAAAGACAACTAAAAGCATGCACAGTCTGTACATCAAATCATTTCTTTAGCATAACTGTACAGTCTTTGAGAGTGCCTTTGATAAGCCCTGGGGGTAGATGGTGCTTTTAATTATTTACTTCTATACAAACAGCTCATTGTATAAAAGTAAATACTTTGGACCCAGTACTATCCTGAAACTTACTGTTTTGCCTCTTGTTCTTTTTTACTGATTTTCATGACAAAGGTTACTTTCTGATGGAATTTTGAAAATCATCTACAATATGATGTGATATCTAAGAGAGCAAGGGCTTTATTTTGTTCCTTCCTCTGGGAGGAGTATTTAGAATTGTGCTTTTTATTTTTGTTCAATAAACTGTTGAAGGAATGTTGACTTAGATTGAGAAATATAGTTGAGATTCTCAGAAGTCGGCTGAGTTAGGACTGCAGGCAGCTGGCACATGATCCTTCCTAGCCTGCTTTTCAAGGTGGTGGTTTAGTCTGTGGCTGTCGTACCCTACTGGGTTGTGGACAGAGACCTACTTCAGTGGAAGGTTCTAGATGAATATGTTCAGGATGTAACAGTAAAACATGAAATTCTGAGTAAAGAGACAGAAACGGTAACTAGTAGCTATCGTCAACATTTAAGGGTTTCTGTTGGGTAGGAAGGATTAGTTGGCAAGCAGATTACAGAAAAAGAATGCGGAAAAAATCTGTAGATTCCAATAAGAATTCATGAATATGTCTCAGAATACACACTGCTGTTCACTACCACATGATCTTTGAAACAATTTTTGAGATAACATTAAGTGTGATGAAATGCAGTGCACCTGGCTTAAGTGTGCAATTATATGAGTTTTGACAAATACATATTGGTGTAACGATCACACCAATCAAGATACAGAATGTGTCCATCACCTTAGAATGTCTTTTTTTTTTTGAGATGGAGTTTTGCTCTTGTTGCCCAGGCTGGAGTGCAAGGGCACGATCTCGGCTCACTGCAACCTCTGCCTCCTGGGTTCCAGCCATTCTCCTACTTCAGCCTCCGGAGTAGCTGGGATTACAGGCACCCACCACCACGCCCAGCTAATTTTTTGTATTTTTAGTGCAGGTGGGGTTTCACCATGTTGGCCAGGCTGGTCTTGAACTCCTTACTCAGGTGATCCGCCTGCCTCGGCCTCCCGAAGTGCTGGGATTACAGTGTGAGCCACTGTGCCCAGCCAGAAAGTCTTCGTGACTGGATGAATAAACTATTGAGCTTTGGTCATCAGAAAAGTGAGGATGATAATAAGGCTTGTTTTACAAGGTTGTTGGCATAACAGTAGCAATGTACAATTGTGTATTAGAAAGTTTCCAAAAATTTTATTTAACTCTAAAACGACCCTATGAGATGGATTGTTGAATCAGTTTTTGTCCATGAGGAAAATGAGGCGAAGAATATTTTTGGCTTGTAACAGGTAACCCAGTTCCTGAGTCAGTTTAGGAGCTCCTTGATAAACGTATGCTTCTCATATCAGGTGGCTATAAGGTCCATAGCTGTGCAGACCTACCAGGTGTTTAGGTGATTTCGTTATTGTGAGAAGGAAGGTGGAAATAGATCAAGATTACACATTGGAGTAGAGTTTAATGTCCATTGCTGCTATTTATTAACTCTGTGTTTTGAGCAAGGTACTCAACTTCTGGAAACATCAGGTTTAGCATCTCAGAGGAGGAGGGATGGGGGAATGTGACTGTCATGTGACCTGTCTGTCACATGGGACTGTCTACTGGGAGGATGACTGTGGGAACACTGTGGACTTTGAAGAGCTGTGCACTGATGTCGTTATCTTTACCCATGCTGGAGGCTGTGGCCTGTTCCTCATCCTGGCCTCACAAACTGTGCTGGCCTGGCGTGGAGCAGTGGAATTGACAGGGTGTCAGGGAGCGGTGGCCCCTCCTTGGCAGTCCTTGGATTTGCCAAACACTGTGTTTACACAGCGCTTTCTCTCACCAGCCCTTATGATGTCCTGAAGCTTCCGATCGCTTTTCAGCAATGAGGTCAGCCTCACTCCACAATGCTTGTCAAGTGTACTAGGAAAGAGTCTTTTTTAAAAATTCAACTTTTATTTTCTTTCTGAAATGTATAGCTGTGATACAAAACAGTATATGCTGGTTTGAGGTGGAAGAGTTCATAAGGGATCCGAAGAACTGATGTACTGTGGCCTGAGCGAAAGTCTCTTGTGATAAAGCGCTACCCCTGCAGTGTTAAATGTTGGTTGTTAACGTAGCACCTTAACTCTTAATATCACATATGAAACCCAGCTCCTTCATACCGCTCGGGTGGATCCATTTCTTCCAGCCCCAGCCAGTCTCTCAACTACGGAAGCAGGTGGGACACTTACACATTCACATTGTGACCCCAAATGGAACTTTATTTCTTTATAACCCAACTGCCTCACACATCCTCATTTCACCTCACTTGTAGAGAACATATAATGTGGCAACCTCAAGATAACTCAGTGTTTTTTGGTTTCAAAGAGTCGCTTGCAGATAAATATCTCCTTGAGGATTTTAAGTGTGGTCAGTTCACGCTTCCTATCTGAGGCTCTTCTCTCCTCTGAAGGATGGATTTCCTCCTTCCTCAGCGGCTCACCCACTTCTGAGATGGTGCCTGGGTCCTTGAAGAGCTTTTATCTGAGATGGTGCCTGGGTCCTGGAGGAGGTTTTAGCATCATGGCAGCGGGTGAGGACTGTCTGCTGCCAGGCACTGCCTTCCAGACCTCTCTGGTCTCTACGGAAGTAACTCATCGGGCTTGGTCTTTGGGTGCCTCTGTCCTAGGCTCGTGCGTGTGTTGGTGATGTGGCTTCCATTGCAAGAAGGGTCAGAATACACTGACCTTCCTTGACGTGTTCTAAGCTGCTTTTTTTTGTTTGTTTTTTCCAGAGATGGGGTCTCGCTCTGTCACCCAGGCTGGAGTGCTTTGGCACAGTCTTGGCTCACGGCAGCCTCTAACTTCTGGGCTGAAGTGATCCTCTGGTGTCAGCCTCCTGAGTAGCTGGGACTATGGGCATGTGCCACCATGGCTGGCTAATTTTTAAATTTTTTAGGGACAGAGTCTCACTGTGTCGCCCGGGCTGGTCTTGAACTGGGTTCAATAGATTCTCTTGTTTTGGCCTCCCAAAGTGCCGTGATTACAGGCATGACCCATGGTACCTGGCCTTAGGCCTTTGCTGATCCATCGGCCCTCTCAGTACTTCCCTTGGTGTATTTCTTTCTCTCCTGGTCTGTTGCTTTGATCTTTGCAGAGGTGAGAAACTGCCCTCCAGATCTGCCTTTGTCATCTAGATCAGAGGTTCCAAATGTGCATCTGTGACCCTGGGGTACCTGGTGACAGAATGTTGACTTGAACACGGTGAGATGGAATAAAAATACAGTGTACCAAGATTTTCATAAGGCTAAATGTATATTACGTAAACTAAAGGAATGTTCTTTATGCTGCAGTTTTGTACCCCTTTCACTTTTTGTATTAAAATAATGTCCTTTTATGATGTGTTGGCAGTCGTACAAATTTTGTCTGAAGTGCCCCTCTTGGCAAAATTAAAG
This sequence comes from Homo sapiens, assembly GCF_000001405.40. NCBI lineage: Eukaryota > Metazoa > Chordata > Mammalia > Primates > Hominidae > Homo > Homo sapiens. The sequence continues at coordinate 17,785,478 of NC_000008.11, read as the reverse complement.
CTGACATCCCCATGCTGTCTCTGCAGAGTTTTGGAGTGTGGATGTCACAGGTCCATAAAATCTGAAAGGCTGAGAAGCACTCACCTGCCTATGCCTTAGTCTCAGCTCAAGCTTTATCTTCTTCTGGAAGTGACATTTCACTGTTTTCTCCATATCTGTAACAGTGGAGCCTATTCTCTGGGTCCCTTTAGCCTCCAGTCGCTTCTACCTTTGCAGTTTTTGTAATTATTTACTTGTACATTTTTGTCTTCCTGGCTGAACTGGAGGCTCTTTGGAGGCTCTTTGAAGGCTGGGACCATCTTGTTCAGCATTGTGTCCCCATCACCTAGCAAAGAAGCTGCATGTGATAGAGGACCTAGGAATGTTTGTTGCATGAATAAAAGTTCTTGTTATAGGTGGGGCGCAGTGGATCACACCTGTAATCCCAGCACTTTGGGAGGCCGAGGCAGGTGGATCACTTGAGGCCAGGAGTTCAAGACCAGCCTGGCCAACATGGTGAAACCCCGTTTCTACAAAAAATACAAAAATTAGCCGGACATGGTGGTGCACACTTATAATCCCAGCTACTCAGGCAGCTGAGGCCCGAGAATCACTTGAAGCCGGGAGGCGGAGGTTGCAGTGAGCCAAGATTGCACCACTGTACTCCAGCCTGGGTGATAGAGCAAGCCTCTGTGTCAAAAAAAAAAAAAGTTCTTCTTGTTATAAAAAGGTCACTCTGTAACAGGGATAAGGAAGCTGACAGAGTGGTGTGAGAAATGCCCCCATTCTGTAGCCACGGAACTTCTCGGAGACTGTTCTGCATGCTATTGTATACATTCCTCTCTTTGTAGCCAGTTGGAACTCAATCGTAAAAATTACACAGGGATCATTTCATTCTTGAAAGTCTCTTAATATGGTGGCTCATGCCTGTAATCCCAATACTTTGGGAGGCCGAGGCAGGCAGATCACCTGAGATTAGGAGTTCAAAACCAGCCTGGCCAATATGGTGATACTTCATCTCCACTAAAAATACAGAATTAGCCGGGCATGGTGGTGCGCACCTGTAATCCCAGCTACCTGAGAGGCTGAGGCTGGAGAATCACTTCAATGTGGGAGGTGGAGGTTGCAGTGAGCCGAGATGGCGACATTGCACTCTAGCCTGGGCAACAAGAGTGAAATTCCATCTCAAAAAAAAAAAAAAAAACAGTTGTAAGAAAATTAGCAGGGTTTAGATTGCCAACTAAAACATCTTACACTGATGTAACAGCAGGGAGTAGGAGTATTCTCAACTGTAAATGTGGATTCAGTTAAACCACACTGCCATTTTGCCTATAACGGCTAAGCTATAGGAAGTTAGTATCAAAAGGAGAGATGTTATTTTATTTAACTTATGATTACTTTATGAAGAGTTGAAATCATTTGGAGAAAGGCATGAATGGATACTGAATTATTTGCTTTTAAAACGTTTGGGGGCTGTTGAATTCCACAAATCTCAATTGGGTGAGTGTGGGTAGAACATTTCTCTGCCATCTTTCAGTGGAAATCTTCATTGCATTCATCTCTGCCTTTAAGCTCTGAGTGACCTTCATGTCATCGGGGCCCATAGGTCTTTGGGAATTGGAGTGGTGGTCCGGGCCACTGTCAGTGGTATTTGTTGACCACAGCAGAGCCTCAGATTGCCGTTAAGGATGGAGTCTGCATGTTACTGAATTGTTTTTTGAGAAATTACTGCTGGGGGTACTTAGTTGGTGTCTGTCTTGCTTGAGCTTCAGATACCAGTGATTGTAAAGGCTGTCACCAATAGGCTGTCAGGCCCTTGGAAGTCAGACTCAAGGACCGTCTTCATGGAGCCTCAGGCTGAGTTGAACACAGTAGCCACAGGGATACAAAGCTAAACAATGCCCAACTTGTGAATTTCCACATTCTTCTCATAGCACAACAGCATGCGCATTGCATATCTTTTTATTTAAAAAAAAAATTACATCATCTCCTCCTCCATGTCTAGTGAGGACAGATTCTAAGGCCTGGTATGCTCCCTCTTCCTACACTCCCATCTAAGAAAGGCAAATAGCGGCCAGTCCTGGAGTGCTGAGACTTTGTTCTGCTTATGAGGGCAAGAGAGGGAACTTGGCTGGTCCATGTTGTGTTCCTTTGTTTTCCTGGCACACCCCCACCTTTAGCAGTGTTTGGAAAATTCCAACTCCAGAATGGATGGAATGGAGAGAACACCTCACTCACCTTCACAGCCAGAGACTTCACTGGGCAGGTGCTTATTGTCAGAGCTAGGACCAGTGAGCAAATCGTCTTTATTTCTTGGAGCTGTAGCTCAGAGTCAAGCCAGGTTGCCTTCTCAAATACAAGGGCCAACATGTTATCCTCATTGCGTTCTTAAGGGCGTGTGTGTGTTTGTTTGTTTGTTTTGAGACAGAATTTCACTCTCTTCGCCCAGGTTGGAGTGCAATGGCACGATCTTGGCTCACTGCAAACTCCGCCTCCCAGGTTTAAGCGATTCTCCTGCCTCAGCCTCCTGAGTAGCTGGGATTACAGGCGCCCACTACCACACCCGGCTAATTTTTGTATTTTTAGTAAAGGTGGGGTTTCACCATGTTGGCCAGGCTGGTCCCGAACTCCTGACTTCAGGTGATCCACCCACCTCTGTCTCCCAAAGTGCTGGGATTATAGGTGTGAGCTACCATGCCCGGCCAGGTTTCATAAGGTCTTCATTTAATGTTGCCAGTAGAAACCTGGGAATGAAACATTTTTTACACTGTAGACTTGTGGTTTCAGAAAAGATGTTACAATTCTTTACAAAATCCAAGTTAGGGATAAAGAAAAGGGATCAGTTTTGATGTCATGATGGCCTTGGAGGAAAGGTGTGATATGAAATACATAAATGTATTTTCTCTGTATTTTTGGATGTACTCTCCCATAAAACTTCACTGTTAAAACATTTAAACCTAATTTGAGGGTCTTATGCTTCATTTTAATAGTGAGATGGAAAAACCAATCAAATATTTATCTTGAATTTGTAGTTCTTAAAATTCAAGTTATTATAGTCTTGTTTCCTAGAGGCGTAGCAGAAGATAATGTATAGTTTTAGGATCAGGTGTATAGTATCTCTGGTAGACCTTTTCCAATTAGAAATGATACAGTATATGGTTATGTCTATAAATAGCACAAGGGAATATTTAACTTACTACATCATCTTGGTATGCTGTGCTTTTTTTGAAAAGTGACTAACATTTTCTTTGAATATTTTTATCAATACCTTTTCCCAAAGCTGTTACACACATCTGAAATCTCACTGTTATGAATGGACATGACATTTAAGGGGGGAAAAAAATCCCATCATTGAGTTGTTTGAAATTTCCTGGCTAAAATCCATGTATGAGTAGTATATCTGTGTCAGCTTTGATTTGTTAGCCCCATAAAACCACGGACTTGCCCATTTGAAATGGGAGCCCAGCCTTGGGTCTGGCCAACCGAGGGCCATCAGGTTAGAGGGCGCTGTCCTTGGAGGGCCTTTATAGCACTTAGGACCTGAGACTTGCTGTGTTAGCAGTGGAGTGTTGCTAATCCCACAGGGACCTGCCTGGCTTCTGAAGGGTTTCTCTCTAAAGGCGGCCTCATGATTATCTAGGGCCAAGTCAGGAATCAGAGGGGCTGCCAGCCCAAAAATAGCCACAGCCTACAAAGAGGGACCTCATGGCACAGAGCCACCACTGCCTTCCTGATGCCAGAGGTTGATCACATGATGGGGGCAGGAGGCCGTCGAGCAGGAAAGGGGTGCTGTCTAAAGACAGGTGTGGCCAGTGCAGGGGAGAGCCAGCATTTCTTCTTGGCGTGTGTAGGGGGAGGTTAAAGTCTTAGTGGTTGATTTAAAAAATTTTAGAAATGAAAGTAAATATTGAAGTTAGTCATTTTATGAGGCTAGGCTTACTGGGATATGTTTCTGGATAATTCTAATTTGTAAGAAACTCTTGTGTTTAATATTAATCACTGTCATTCAGAGGAATCGAAACAGTAACATGTCTTGTTTCCTTATACTGCCTTTGAACACAAAGTGAAGCCTTGTTTCAAAACTTGCAGACAACAGGCCATTTAAACAAAGACTACACATTTTAAGTTGAAATTTAGGGGAGGATTATTTAACATTCTTACTAATAACTCTTTGGTTACAATGTGGTACAAATTGTATGTTGAAGTCATATGGGCTGGAAGAAACTTTGATTGGAAATTCAGACAAAATCTTTTCAGAATGGTAGTTGTTTGCTGATTGGCTATGAGATATTTGAAACGTAGTATTTCTTTTAGAGACTCCTTTGTTCCATTTTAGGTGGAAACAGATCACTTGAGAAGTTGTGCAAGTAAATAATCCGTGGTCAAAAACAGGCACACTCTTATTCCTTGAAGCCTTCAGGGTACTTATGGAGATCTGATTAGATAAGAGGATAATTCTGTTTGCACACCTGTTGATTTAGGGGTGAAATGTCATTGAGTTTCCTAGATTCTTCCACAGCCCCTCAGGATTGACTATGAAGTGTAAGCTGTGTCATCTGATTTGTCATGGCAGTGAGCACTCCCTTACCTTCGATGATGCCTCACGTCACCTTTTGCATAAAGGTTAGTCTGTTGCTAATTATTGTCTTAGGTCACTGGGTCCCTTTTTTGTATTAGATGTGATAGGAGGCCATTAGAAGGCTTGGACTGAGGAATGGCAGGAACTGAGTACAATTCAGAAGGATGACTCTGGTTGCTGTTTTGAGAATATATTGTAAGGAGGCAGAGGCTCATGATTTGACCAGTTAGTAGTCCCAGAGAGAGACAGTGGTGGCTTGGACCTGGGATAATAGTGAAGGTGAGGAATGCTTGCTTTTGAAATGTATTTTGAAGGCAGTGCCTGTCGGAGTTGCTACTGGGGAGAGAGGGAAAGAGGCAGATTATTGCTGACTCCTAGGTTTTTGGCTTGAGGTATATTCATGGTGTCTTTTGTTGAAAACCAGGAACACTAGGACAAGAAGGAAATGGGCAGGGGTCTGGAAGCCCAGAGTTCCCTTTTAGACTTGAAGCTTGAGATTGTATCAGACTGTTCTTGCATTGCTAGATTGAAATACCCGAGGCTGGGTAATGTATAAAGAAAAGAGGTTTAATTGGCTCATGGTTGTGCAGGAAGCATGTTGCTGGCATGTGCTTCTGATGAGGCCGCAGGCAGCTTCCAATCATGGCAGAAGGCAGCAGGAATCTGTCATGTCACATGGTGAGAGCAAGAGCAAGGGGACGGGGGAGGTACCACACTTTTTTTTTTGGCTGTCCCTTGTGGAGCAGGGCAAAGCCATAGGAAGTGTGCCCAGAGTCCGCTGCCACACAGTTTCAACAACCAGATGTTGCAAGAACTGACTCCCTCTTGTGGACAGCCCCAAGCCATTCATGAGGGATCCACCCCCATAACCCAGTCATCTCCCACCAGGCCCCACCTCAACCACTGGGGATCACATTTCAACATGAGATTTGGAGGGGACACACATCCAACCCATGTCAGAGATTCCTGTTAAACATGTAAGTGGAGATGTCACATTGACAGTTGAGAATTCAAACCTGGAGCTTTGGGGAAAGATCAGTGCTAGAGATGAGTATGTGGGAATTGTTATCGGAGTGTATTTGAAACAAGAGTGAGTGAAGGAAGAGAAGGAATAAGGGGCTGCCCCCGCCCCCCCTCCAACACTTGGATGTTGATCAAAGAAGAATCTCTTAGAGGCATTTGCCAAAGAGAAGTCTGTGAGTTTAGGAGGAAAACCAAGATAGAGTAGGGCCTCTGAAGCCAAGTGAAGGGGGCCTTCTTTAAGGTTGATTCCCGTATTGTGAAGAGGTTTCGATTTGTCAAACTGGGACCATTTTTTCCAATTTTTGGTGAGAGAGAGAGTGAGTGAGTGTCATTATCATTTAGAAACGTTGATAAGCTTCAGGAAACCTTGTTAAATAAATAATGGCAAATTCAGCCAGAAGTAAGAACAAATACAACAAATCTTTTAAACACCAGAACATGGGTTTTAGTTTACCCATAGGCAACCTCATTTCAGGGAAATACATACATGTGTTGATCATTTTTGAAATATTGACAAGGATTGGAGGAACGTACTCCTTGATGGTCCCTGAAATCCAAAACACATCATTACGTCTCCTGGTCACTGTCTTTAGGCTGTTTTAAAACCTTCATTTACTAGGGCTTCTTATGTAGGAGGCCATAATCCTTATCACAGCAAAATAGTAAACTGTAACCACCCGTCACATGTTGAAACAGTTGAGTTGCTGTTAACTACTGCTGTAATGACACATTTAGAAACCTTTCCAGTCTCTGCCTCCTTACCTACTACTTATTCCTGGGGTCTAAGCTTGTGTGACTTGTTCAGAGAGGCCTTCCTTGACCCCTAATCCCGTAATAGCAATCAGAGCATCCATGCTTTCCTATGTGACCTGTAGTTTGTTTGTATAGTTGTGTCTATTTTTTTGTCTATTTTGTTCACTCTGTACTAGCTCATAGCAGAGCATTTGGCATTAGATGGGCACTCAGTACATTTGATGAATGATGAATGTCATCCAATATTATAAAACAGACACCTTACAGGTGCCTCAGTAGCTTTGGTTTGGTGTCTGAGCTCAGTGTCTTCTTTATTTTTATTTTTATATATTTTTGGAGATAGAGTCTTACTCGGCCACCCAGGCTGGAATGCAGTGGTGCTATCTCAGCTCACTGCAACCTCCCCCTCCAGGGCCCAAACGATCCTCCCACTTCAGCCTCCCAAGTAGCTGGGACTACAGGCACCCACCACCACACCTGGCTAATTTTTGGATTTTTTGGTAGAGACAGGGTTTCACCGTGCAGCTCTAGAACTCCTGGGCTCAAGGGATCCGCCTGCCTCCTCCCTCCAAAGTGCTGGGATTACAGGCGTGAGCCACCACACCTGCCCTCCTCTTTAAGTCTGGTTTATTGAGGTATAATTTACATATAGCAGAATTTGCACTTTTCGGGTGTATAGTACAATGAATTTTGACAAACACCTGTAGCTGTGCAACCACCAACCACACTCAGCAAAATAGATTTTCATTATTTCAAAGTTTCCTTGTGCCCCTTTCAGTCTTTGCCCATTCTTAGACAAACACCAATCCTGTTCCCTTAGATTTGCCTTTCCAGAATATTATATAAATGGAGTTATAGAGTATGGAGACTTTTGTGTGTGACGTCTTTTGCTTAGCGTATGTGTTTGAGATACATCTGTGTGGTTTGTGTATCAATGGTTTACCTTTCTGTTGTGGAGTGGTATTTCATCAGATGAATGTACCACAATTAAAAAAAAATAATCTACCCGTGATGGACATTTGGGTTATTTCAAGTTTTTGGCAATTAGATTTTTCTTCCTAGTTTAATAACACAGGCAAGATAATAAAATGGCATCAGTGACCCACAGCTCCATACCCCCACCCACATCTGTTTTTGTTTTCCTGTGTTGCTTTTTCTACATATTTTACATAGCAGGAATCATAAAACACAAAAATATTTTTCCTAGTTTTGTAAACTGCATAATTTATAAATAGTTGCATTTTATTGAATCACTGTACTGTGGTTTTCTAATTCCTTCTTGTCAACATTTTCATCATTTCTAAGTCTTCACAGATGTGGAAAATATACTGAAAATCTGCTGAAATATTTCCTATAATAAATTTCTGACGATAGTTTTCTTGAGACTCTTAATGGAAAGTCATAAAAATTCAAGCAAATAGGGACAAAAACTGGATGGGTGTGATAAGGATATGGAGTCCTTCTAAGAACTTAGTGTCTGGCAGGTTCTCAGGAACCAAGTCAGTGAGGCAATCTAACCTTCACTGTTTTTCATTTCTGCTCCCCTTGGTATGTTGGTCCCATCCACGTCTCTGTAGAGATTTGCTTTCTCTGCTTTTGGGTGTGTGGAGAAGGTGGCTGATGCACAGCGCCTGGATTTATGTTATTTAGTTCCAGGGACACACTGTGCCTGACATCTTTTTTTTTTTTTTTCTTTTTCTTTTTTTGAGACAGTGTCTCCCTCTGTCACCCAAGCTGGAGTACAGTGGTGTGATCTCAACTCACTGCAGCCTCTGCCTCCTGGGTTCAAGCGATTCTCTTGCCTCAGCCTCCAAGTAGCTGGGATTACCGGTGTGCGCCACCATGTCTGGCTAATTTTTTTTGTACTTTTAGTAGAGATGGAGTTTTGCCACGTTGGCCAGGCTGGTCTCGAACTCATGACCTCAGGTGATCCAACCACCTTGACCTCCCAAAGTGCTGGGGTTACAAGCATGAGCCACAGTGCCCGGCCATAGCCACCTGTTTCAAATCCAAATGCTGGGGGTGGGAAAATTGCATACTGTTAGACTTAAGTGTCTGCACGAGGGCTAATTCACTAGTTCATTTAGTGGAACCCACCTCAGTGAGTAGGAGGGGCTGTGTTCAGAGAAAGGGGGTTGTTGTGGACTAAGCCCACACCCAGGTTTTCCATTTTAAGTAAGATATCATGAAATCAAGTCTTACAGCTGTTGAAATTGCTCTCCGAAAGCGCAATTACAATTAGGTCTTAAAAGAGGAGAGAGCCCAGGGAGTATTACGCATATATTTCCTTAAATTTGTATTTAGATAGGAAAACAGTTGTTAATAGTGATTAAATATCACTCATCGTCACCTATGAGTAATGTTTAATAGCAAGGAAAATCTAATTTACAGTCAACATTTATTGAATGCTTTCTTTATGTAAGCCTTGTATCTGAGATTTTTTTTTTTTTTTTTTTTTTTTTTTTTGAGACAGAGTCTCACTCAGTCACCCAGGCTGGAGTGCCGTGGTGCAGTCTCACCTCACTACAACCTCCACCTCCCGAGTTCAAGTGATTCTGCTGCCTCAGCCTCCCAAGTAGCTGGGACTACAGACATGTGCCACAATGCCCAGCTCATTTTTGTATTTTTGGTAGAGACGGGGTTTCACCACGTTGGCCAGGCTGGTGAACTCCTGAGCTCAGGTGATCCGCCCACCTTGGCATCCCAAAATGCTGGGATTACAGGCCTGACTGCACTGGGCCTCGTATGTGAGACTTCTGTGTATTGTCTGTAGGTCTCTGCAGGGATTGTTACCAGGATCACCCCCGCCCCCACCGTCAATACCAAAATCTGAGAATGCCTAAGTTCGTTATATAAAATATTGTAGTCTTTGCATATAAAAACACATCCTTCCATAGACTGTAAACCATCTCTAGGTTACTTTTAATACCTAATGTAAGTGCTATGTAAATACATTTATACTAGTTATGTTATAGTGTATTTTGTATTGTTGTTTTTTTTTCTCCCGACTATGTTCAATCTGCAGTTGGCTGACTGTAAATACAAGCAAGTTTGAAAGACCACTCAGCACCATGCTGCATTCTAACTGAGGTTTGTTTAACCCTGCAGAAGGACCTCGTTATTAAGTGGGCTTTGACTGGGAATATTCCATGAAGAGGTAGTTGTGTCATTCTTTGCCTGCAGATGGGACCGGCGCTGATGCTGAATGGCTTGGCGGCCCAGTAGGAACCTAAGCACCTTGACTTCACTCTGAAATGCCTGCGTAGTCATGCGACTCAGTATCGGGCTGTGTGTCTTGTCACTTTTATTTTTAGGCCCCCACTGGGGTAACCCAGGTTGGCCAGGCTGCCTCACCAGGAGACTGTACCTGAGCTCTGTTTGCCCAGTGCCTGGTGGCCATGGGTCCAGATGTTTGTCCTAGTAATTTATTCTAAACAGCTACATCGAAAACATCTTTGTCAGCATACTTGCTGTGGTTACTATGATAATTTTACTCTTCTATGATATAATGTCTCTTTTATGATAGTTAAGTTAATAGAGTGAGAATTTCATTGAAGATTTTAACAAAGAACTTGCAAACTTAGGAAACTTGTTCATATGTACACATGGCTGCTTTCTGTGCGACCATCTAGCTTAGAAAAGCTTCCACCTGGCAGGTGTGTAGGGCGTGATGCATGCTGTCGTGTAGACCCTTTACATTTGAGGATTTAGCATTTGAGGTCTCAGATACTCATGATGCAGCCTGAAGTTTCAGGATCCCGGAGGTGGTACGGTATTTTTCTCCTATTCTGTAGATTGGGAAGGTTGAGGTATCCAAAGGTGAAGCCATTAGCTCTGACTCTTCTAATTTGTGGTGTTGCTTTAAAAAAAAAATTATGGTAAAATATATATAACATGAAATTTACGTTTTCAACCATTTTTGAGTGTACGGTTCAGTGGCATAAAGTACATTCACAAAGTTGTGTAACTATCACCAGTATTTTCAGAACTTGTTCATCATCCCACACAGAAACTGTACCCATTTAACAATAGCTCCCCATGTTCCCCTGCCCCAGCCCCTGGTAACCTCGAATTGACTTTCTGTCTCTATTCATTTGACTACTCCAGGTGCTTTATGTAAGTGGAATCATCCAATATTTGTCCTTTTCTGGTTTTTTTTTTTTTTTTTTTTTTACTTATAATATTTTCAGGGTTCAGCCATGTTGCAGCATGTAACAGAATTTCATTCTTTTTTATGGCTGAATAATATTCCACTGTATGTATAGATCACATTTTGTTTATCCACTCATCTGTCAGTGGTGGCCACTGACACCTTTGATGGTGTCCACTTTTTGGTTATTGTAAATACTGCTGCTGTGAACATGGATGTACAGATTTCTTGGAGTCTCTATTTTCTGCTTTTGGGGGTATAAGAGTGGAATGCTTGATCATATGGCAATTCTATGTTTATCTCTTGGAGGAACCACAGAATTGTTTTCCATAGCTGCTGCACCACTTGACATTTCCACCAGCAACGCAAGGGGGTTCCAATTTCTCCATATCCTCACCAGCATTTTGATCATAGGTGTCCTAACGAGTATGAAGTGGTATCTGATTGTGGTTTTGATTTGCATCTCGCTAAAGACTAATGATGTTGAGCATCTTCTCATGAGATTCACCCCAATGCCTGGTGGCATCACCTCCGCTTCCTTTTCTTCACATTTTAGAAAGGGGTAAACTTACTTTCATTTTCTTCCCCAGTCCTTATCCTCTTCTGATTTGAGACTGAGGTGGTACTAGCCAGAATCAAGTAGGAAAAGCAACACCTTTGTTTCTTTTAGACACATGGAAACAAAGTCCTAACTGGTGTTCAGCTGTTTGGCGTTTATGCAGATGTGAAGGGCTAGTGTTTTCCCAAACTAGTAGTAGCTGCATTGTGGTTTAAATGGGTTTCAGATTGGAGGCCAGCCTGGGAGCTTCTTAACAGAATGCTATTAAGAGAGAAATGCTGTTAGTAGCGTTTATCTAGGAAAACGAGCTTTAAGTTAAATAAATCTCCAGGCAAACTTTGGAAGATTATATGCTTGTGGGTTGGGGACTGCCTTTACCAGCAGGATTGTTAAGGTCATATAATGAGGTGAGGGAGCTAAAGGAGAGAATGTAGATGTGAGGGCTGCACAGTGGGGAAGAACATGGACGTTGGAATGGTTAGGTGTGCCTCCTAGTCTTATTTTTATATAGTGTGCTGTGGGCCCTGGCTTCCACCTCAGAAATGCTAGTCATTGATCCATGCATGTGTAGATCTGTGTCCAAGCTGGTTGACATAGACAGGAGTGATGAGGGACATGTCAAGAGTTCTTCCTGGAAAGACCCTGTGGGATTTTGGTGCTCCATTGCTATGATTTGAATGTGACTCCCAAATTTTATATGTTTGGAGGTGGAGTCTTTGGGAGGTAATTAGATTTAGATAATTTCATCAGGTGTGGACCCCATGATGGGACTGGTGGCTTCCTAAGAAGAGAGACCTGAGCTGGCAGGCTCTTACTGTCTCACTATGTGATGCCCTTCTCCATGTTATGACACAGCAAGATGGTCCTTACCAGACACCAGTTTTGTGTTCTTGGACTCTAAGCCTGCAGAACCCTGAGCTAAATGAACTTTGATGGCTTATAAGTTACCCAGTCTATGGTGTAGCAACAGAAAACATAGTAACATATACATCAAAGTGAGGTATCTTACCCTAGATTTGCCTTTATGTAGGAAAGCCATTGATATAGACACTGGGCTTTTTGGCTTGTTTCAGGTAACCCCAGAGCATCTCTAGGCCACCTCTAATGACAGTGTGGCTAGCATGACTCTTGAAGACTCTTCCCCTGCTCCTGCACTACGTATGGTGATCTGAGACGTTGCAAAATATTTAAAAAATTCGGTTCAGAGACATTGATTTGCAGTGATGTTTAATACAGTCTTTTATTTTCCTTGGGGCTCTGATTCCTAATCTTTTTATTTTACTGTATATCTTTTTTCCTCTTGGATCCTCTCTGGCATAACAGGAGTAAAGAGAAATAATAGTCCTTCAGCCTAAATTAACATCTCATCCCAACTAGGTGAAAGTGGGGGAAAGTTGTGCATGTGTGTATATTGCATGAACAATATGGAAAGGAAGGATAATTTAGTTCATAGTAGTTTTTCTTCTGAACGTATCTTTGGGAGTTTAATCTCCTTTTGATTCTCTAATATGGATTAGTCTTGTTATATAATCTTCAAGTCTTTTCCATGCCAGTACTTTTCAAGGGCACCTTATGTTCATATGGTTTTTCCTTACCTTTTATTCCTTTGTGTGTTTTTTTGGTGCTGAATTACAGGTGATTGTTTCAGAAATTAGAAGAACTACTCTGGCTGTTTACAAAGTGATGATCTGAAATGCTTTTACTTAGTGCCTAGATTTTCTCTAACATTGAATGATAGTGGGTTATAAGAAGAAGTTGAACATACTTTGTCTGGTTTTGGGCCTAGTTTCTCTTTGTAGGAAAACTTAATCTGCTTTGCAACAACCTACTAGAGTACTGAATGTACTGGTTTCTTATGTTAATTGACATCAGTGATTGTAGCCATAAGTGCTTCCTTGGTATGACATCAGTAGAGAGTACACTGGCCTCTTCTACTGGGAAGCAGGACCAGATAATTATGTTTTAGCAGATATAATATGACAGTCATAATTATGAATCTCTTTAAATCCTCTGTGGTACAGTCAGTAGGGATATTGAAAACAATAGGGATTCAAGTTTGGATAATGCGAGTGAAATATTTATTCTTGTTTTCACCTGTAGCTTTGGGACACAAAGTATTTAATATAGTATAATGGTGTAGGACATCTTTAAATGTTTCAGTTATTTTGTTTTGTACATGTGTGTCTAGTTTCTATAGGCATTCCTTTTAATACATACGATGTTCTGAAGGTAGGATTAGTCTGCAGTATTCATGCCATTTCAAGGATAAAAATTAGAGTTTTATCCTAAATGCACTTGTATTTTGCTTTCTTTCATACATTTATGAGGCAAGATGATGGTAAACTAAAGGAGAGGAAGGAGATAATTCTGATCCTGATTCTGCTTCTAAATCATTGTGTCATCTTAAAAGTCATCCAGGCCACTACCCTGCACAATTCTGGGCCACCATGGCCATCATCTTTAATGTAAATGGACCAGTGAAGTTTCTGTCCATAGAATGTGGTGTGAATGGTGACTCATAGAGTTATGCAGTAGACACTAGTAGAAATCGTAACTTCTTTTCTCTAGATCTCAGTTTTCTCACATACAGAACTAGTAGATTGGGTTAAATGAACTCAGCCACTGTAAACACTGGACGATGAATTATCCATGTTAGTCGATCTCTTTTCCATGAGTGGACCCTGTTTATCGGAAAATAGTAAAATTGTCTTTGTTGTAAGAGTTGTATTTAATTTCAAGAGAATCTATCATAGGGTTTGTTTTCATGCGTAGACTGCCTGCTTGCAAGACTTCTTGGCATGCATTTCAGGTGTCTGATTCAGACAATCTGTTGTTGGAATTTGAAAGACATTTATTTAGGGACTACACTGACTATTTTGTAAAGTAACAGCTTTGATGACACTAGTTATTCACATTGCTGAGAGCAGATACGCTGGCCCAAGATTCTGAATAAAAGATTTGCAGATCTTTTAATTGCAATGTCTGTGAAAGAAACGTTGATTTGAAAACTTCATTGCATGAAGCATGTATTTGATTCCATTGGAGCATAAATTTATTTTGTTTTGATATTCAAAATTCCAAAAGTAATTACAAATATTTAAATAATTATATAAATGTATAAAGTAAACTTACAGTGCAGCCCCCTGCCTCCCCTTCCTCATCATTGACCTGAGATGGTGAACCACTGCTAATGAGAAGGTATGTATCTTTCAGGAACTTTTCCTTACACAGATTATTTTATTTATTATTAACTTGATAATTTTTGAGCAGTCTGAAGTTCCTAAGTTTAAAGGATATAACACTCCTAAGAACTTATTGGTATAGGTAATTAGTCAAGGGAGTGAGAAGTACAATTGTAGCCAGATTAATGTAGGTTATTCCTTACATCTAAATTCCAATTATATTATAGATGCATACTTAACATCTTACCTTTAAAACTTTTTTTCTTTTTCATTATCCAAATCACTGGAATATTCCAGTTTCTTTAATCCAGAAGCAGTCACCCAGCCACAGTGAATGCTGATTTAATCTGACAGGCAAAAGTGCCTTCTGTTTTCAGAGATGATCTGAAAATTGCTTAAAGAACTTGTCATGTTTTTGTTTGTTTACAGTTTTATTGCAAGTGATGTGTACAGTATAACCAAGAAACATCTGCGTACAAGTTTTCTGCCTGTAAAGCCTCAGAAAAGTCTGTGATGTTTCATTGGCAGAGAGTCCAAGGAAAATTCTTTAGTTTGGAAGAATAAAAAAGTCGTTACACTCAGCCCTATTACTGCTGCAAGGCTGAACTGTCTTTGAATAATCATAGTCCCCAGAGAGGCTTCATTGTACGGTCTGGTGTTTGTATTTCCTGTAGTCTGGTTGCAGTTTCTGCATTGCTCCATGAAAAAGACAGTCTCTGAGGTGCAACCAAAGGCATTAAAAAATTTTGTTTGGACAGATAACTCGAATAAGACATCTCTTGCTTAAGTTGATAGCAGTTGGTTTTGATATTCTGAGGAATATAGGTAAGTTAGCTTGGTATGGTTGATTTGGGGCATTTAAATTAAAACCACTCAAGTTTCAAAAGGGATTTTTTTTTGAAGCTGCTCTTTAAATCTTAGATGCTTTCCACCTGCTTATATTTTGTTTGTGGTATTTATCATACTTTATTAGATTACCCCTACTTCAGGCTAAATTCTAGAACGTTTGAAAATGCTAAGATGATTATGCAGAAAAGTGAGTATCCCCTTATGTACTTTTTGTAAAGGATAATAATCAAATGCAGGGCTCTGCTTTGGGTTAAAATATCAAGTACAAAAACTCTCATTAAGCAACATGTAAAAATGTTGTATATTATTACAAATGACTGTGGTTATTTTATGGTTACACCAACAATTGTATGGAGTGCGGCAGGAAATTATTATGTATTATATACTTTATATGTCATCTGAAGTGTCTAGAACCTTGCTTATTTCTCACTTTTGCATTGTGATTCTGACTGTAGTGCTTCCCCCCCAACCCCCCCCGTGTGTGTGTGTGTGTGTGTGTGTGTGTGTGTGTGTGTGTGTGTGTAAGCAAAGAGTGTGGCAGTGGGTCAGAGAGAGAAGAAAACTGAAACTGCTTGAGTGCTTATGATTTAAAATGATCTGAGCATTTTAATTTGGCTTTCATGTCGTCTTCACAGCAAGAGATGAGGATTGAGGGAAACACAACTTTGTTATTTCTGCTGCTTTTATGATATGTTTAAAGAATATAGGATGCCCTGAAAATGTTAAACCATTTTCCTTATTAAGATTACTGACTAAGGGCCGGGCGCGGGTGGCTCACGCCTGTAATCCCAGCACTTTGGGAGGCCGAGGCGGGTGGATCACGAGGTCAGGAGATCGAGACCATCCTGGCTAACGCGGTGAAATCCCGTCTCTACTAAAAATACAAAAAATTATCTGGGCGTGGTGGCGGGCGCCTGTAGTCCCAGCTACTGGGGAGGCTGAGGCAGGAGAATGGCGTGAACCCGGGAGGCGGAGCTTGCAGTGAGCCGAGATCGCGCCACTGCACTCCAGCCTGGGCGACAGAGCGAGACTCTGTCTCAAAAAAAAAAAAAAAAAAATTACTGACTAAGCCTTCAGAAATGCAGTTTTAAGAGTTTGTGAATGTGTAAGGTCTTCCACATGCTGGTTTGGAGGTTTTAGGAAGTTGTTGAGCCAAAAAAAAAAAAAAAAAAGGAATAAAAGCATTTTTTGGAATGAACTTGAGGAATCAGAATTCTTGAACCTTAGCAGGTCAGTGAATTGATTTTGTCTGGAATCTTTATACTTCCCGCAGGCTTTGCTGGGAGCTTCTCCTTCGGGGTGCTGTCTTTGCTATCACCAGCTAGGGGCTTGCTCCTCCACCCCCAAGCAGAGGCTTTTTAATTGCATAGTGTGAGTTATCTAAGACAAACTGACTATACTGTGCTATTGACTGAGTAAGTCAGTTTTCCACTCCAATGCCCATTTAAATTGTAACCATATTAAAAAAACAAAAACAAAAATCCCCCGAAAACTCCAGAAGTGTAAACAAAATACCATTAATTGTTTAATCTTTATTGGTGTAAACATGATTTTTTGGGAGATTCTTTGACTTTTCTGGTGTGTTGATATCAGTTTTAGAGGACTTTGGAATGCTGTCTGCCCACCAGGACTCTCTCTTCTCTGCTGGTGGTCTTGTAATGGTTTTTTGTTTTTGTTTTTTGTTTTGGAGGTAGGAGACTTCTATCTTCTTATAAGTCACTTGATAATTTTTGACTGTTTGTATAAAAATGTTCTAATTGCTGCAAAAAGGCTCTTAAAGATATTTTAAATACAAACCTCATGTGGCTTTGAGGGTGGGTAGGGAAAGGGGGTGATATATTTTTGTTGAGGTCATTTTAATTTTTTTTTTTTACCATGGCATAAACAGAGTTTCTCTCATAGCTTTCTTTGTTGTATATGATTTTCTTTTAAAAAGTCTTAAATGTGTGTGTTTTAGAAAGAAGCAAATTAGTTTTCCTTGGATAATTAAACTAGTATCTGTCTCTATGCTTAATAAATTATTCATTTTAACCCAGATCTCTTATTCATGTTTTGAACCTCTCTTTTATTTATTTTGGATTGAGTAAAAGACCTTCAAGACCCTGGAAAATCCTGAATTAATATCCTGAGCTCACATATTAGTTTATTTGAAGAAAGAGAAGAGAGAACATTATAAAACTCTCCTAGTTTATACTCAAAGCGTAAATCCTTCGTGTATCTCTCTAGAATGTGATACATTATTTATACAGCTCTCTGATACTATCTGCTGTGGCTTCCTTCTTTAAATATTAATGTAAGTGAAGTAGTCTTTTAAAATAATGTTTAATTCAACAGACCTGTATTGGGCACATATTGTGTGCCAGCCTCTCTGCTGCTCAGGGCAGAGGACACAGCAGTGGCCTTTTAAGCGTGTCTGGCTTGTCCTCTCCTTTGCCTCGTGCTGCCACTGCCAGGAGTTCCCATCTGCCCTAGCAGTTTCGTGCGTCTAGTCTCTCCTCACTAGGACATCTTCCACCTTTAGCCAATTCGAAGCATCAGTCTCCATCATAACTCCTTTGGCAGACTCCCATTGCTCTCAGAGTAGAAGCCAAACTCTTGAGCTGACCAAACCGTTGGCTCTTTATCTTCATGTTCCCCAACCCCCAAACTTGGAGCATCTTGCTGCACTTCAGTCTCTTTCACACCGTTTTTTTTTTTTTTTTTTAAGAGACAGGGTCTTGCTCTATCACCCAGGCTGGAGTGCAGTAGCGTGATCATGGCTCACTGTAACCTCGAAATCCTGGGCTCAGGCAGTCCTCCTGCCCTCAGCCTTCAGAGTAGCTGGGACCATAGGTGTGCACCCCCATGCCTGGTTGATTTTTTTTTTTTTTTAAAGAGATGGGGTTTTGCTGTGTTGCCCAGGCTAGTCTCAAACTCCAGGCCTCAAGCAATCCTCCTGCCTTGGACTCCTAATGTTTTGGGATTACAGCTATGAGCCACTGTACCCAGCCCCTTTTACCTCCTCTCACTCTTTTTTTTTAAACTGCTAATGGAAGCTTTAATCACCACATGGAAAAACAATACATTCATATATCAAAATTGGCCCCAAATTCCTTATCATCATCATCAACAGTCTAGAAATGAAATGACACATAATATAAAACTTTCCTGTTTATAACTAAAAGATTTATGAAACTGTTTTTTATAAATGCCTTTTTTTTTTTTTTTTTTTTTTTTACCCTGAGGATGATATCACCAAAGTGAAAAAAGAAAAGTCGGTCATTATCAGCTGGAATGTATTCAGCATAGAGTTTTAAAAACCATTTGTCATTATTCTGGAGTGATTTCCATTCATTCTCCCCACCCACACTATGTGATGATAACAGGAAAAGATGGCAAATGGTTGTGCCAGTCTTATTATATACTGGTCATATAATTCTCAAATATACTGATCATATGATTGTCAATTCAGTCTACCTACTAAAAGAAGAAAATAAAATTTTAACATCCATTAACTCTGCACTATCATACTTTAAAATATGATTAAAAGAAAGATCATATTTTAAAATATACTGGTCATACAATTCTCAGATATACTGATTATATGATTCTCAATTCAATCTACCTACCAAAACAAGAAAATAAAATTTTAACATCCATTAACTCTGCACTATCATATTTTAAAATATGTATCAAAATCAATTCTCTGTTATAAAAGAGGGGTTGGCTGTACATTCTCAGACCCCACAACAACAACAAACCACCAGAAAACCAGGACAATACTTTCTTACACAGGCTCCTGCCATGCGTTCTACAAATTTCATATAAGCCAACTAGGTAAGTTCAGAGTTCGCATAGATTGCCTCACAAATACTTAACTCTGGGCTCTTAGTCACCTTCAGATAAGATCTGCAAATGTCTAAAAGAAAAATAACTCCCAAATGGTGCAACAGTTATTCCAGTCAAGTGCTGAGAGAGGTTTGCCTATTAAACTTGAAAAAAGATAGCCATGTTGAGTAGTAGGAGGAGATCTCATGGAGGAAGGAGACTTGTATGTGGCCTTTGGCATGAGTGGGAATTAAACATTTTCTCATTCTCATTAAGGATGATGATTACTTGTGTACTGGGTGTACTCACATGTGATGGTCTGCAGACATTTAATTACCCATTAGTTGCCAAGTTTCTGTTCTTTTTAAAATTGCATGGATACTGATAAGACTTGTTTTTGCTAATACCGTATGCTTTCAGTTTTATGATCTTTGACAGCTGTAGCAAACTTGAACTTGGTGACAAAAATTCACTAAATCGGCACCCAGTGTCAACCAGTCTTAAAATGCCTCTAAAGTGACAATTAAGCTTTTTTATTTAAACAAAGGTAAACTAATGCTAGCATAAAGGTCTCTTAATTTGTAGTGTATAATTTATAGTATGTAAAGTATATAATTTCATATAGTAAATGATATCTTAAATGATAATTAGTGGAGAGGATTTGTGAAAAGTAAGAACCAATTTTTGGTGCTATTTCTGTTTGTTGTTAGGTAATTTAGAAGCCCTATGGTACCTGATTTTGTGAGTGGTTATTTTTATGAAGAGATGTAGTAATGGACTTTACGAGAAAATTGAGAGTATACTGTCCTTGAATTGAGTTGACCTGTCTCTGAAAGAGCCAAGAAATAAAAATAAAACCAAAAAAATTGTGTGTGCATTTGTGTGTGTGTGTGTGTGTGTGTGTGTGTGTGTGTGTGTGGTGTCTGTATTTTAATGATGGTGAAGTATAGATGACAGCTAGTCTTTTTTTTTTTTTTTTGAGACAGAGTCTTGCTCTGTTTCCTAGGCTGGAGTGCAGTGGCATAATCTCAGCTCACTGCAACTTGTGCCTCTGGGTTCAAGTGATTCTTCTGCCTCAGCCTCCCTAGTAGCTGAGATTACAGGTGCACACCACCACGCCTGGCTAATTTTTGTATATTTTGTAGAGAAAGAGTTTTGCAAGGCTGGTCTTGAACTCCTGACCTCAGGTTATCTGCCTGCCTCGGCCTCCCAAAGTGCTGGGATTACAGGCATGAGCCACCATGCCCAGCCAATGACAGCTAGTTTTGATTCATCACGGCAAGGTTCCCCAATTCCTGGGCTGTGGCCTGTTAGGAACAGGGCTGCACAGCAGGAGGTAGGCTTCAGGCGAGGGGGCAAAGCTTCGTCTGTGTTCACAGCCACTCCCCATCGCTTGCATTAGTGCCTGAGCTCCACCTCCTGTCATGTTAGCGACAGCATCAGATTCTCCTGGGAGTGTGAACCCTATTGTGAACTGTGCATGCGAGGTATCTAGGTTGCGAGCTACTTATGAGAATCTAATGCCTAATGATCTGTCACTGTCTCCCATCACTTCCAGATGGGACTGTCTACTTACAGGAAAACAAACTGAGGGCTCCCACTGATTCTACGTTATGATGAGTTATATAATTATTTGATTATGTATTACAATGTAATACTAATAGAAATAAAGTGTACAGTAATCATAATATGCTTGAATCCTCCCCCTCCTCCTGGTCCGCAGAAAAGTTGTCTCCCATGAAACCAGTCCCTGGTGCCAAAAAGGTTGGGGACCACGGGATTAGGGCATAGACTAGTTCAGGGGTCAGCAAGCTACAGTCCACGGCCAAGTCTGGCCCACTGCCTCTTTTTTGTAAATCATTTTACTGGGATGCAGTTGCGCTTGTTCATTTCCATATCGTCTGTGGCGTCTTTGATTCTACAACAGCAGACTTGAATAAATGCAGCACAGACCGCACATCCTGTAAAGCCTAAGATATTTTATATTGGCCTTTTTCAGAAATGGCTTGCCAGCCCTTGGACTAGATTAACGTGTGAAGACGTCTTAAAAGAAGCAGACCTGGGGAAGATATAAAGATGAAACAGGAACAGGGAAATTGTTCAGTGTGTAGGGGATGCATTATTATAAACTATTGTTTAATGGGTTTTCTTTCATAAAATTGCAGGTACATAGAAATTACCTTTTTTTTTTTTTTGCAGTTTTCTTTCATAAAAATGCAAGTGCATAGAAATTACCATTTTTCCCTGCTATTTTAGAACCTCTTAGCTTGGATTTCTGAACAATATCAGTGAGTAAGAGGATAGGTCAGATGTCACCAGCTACCCTGATTCTCTGTATCCCCAAGGATTTGTAGATCATAGAGTTTTTTCATATTAAACAAGCACAGGCCTGTAACATCTTTGTTTTGACAAAACAAAAGATGACTAAAATGACATAGTTCTTAACTGTTGTTCTCTTCTTTCAAAGTAGTTACAGTATTTAAGAATATCTATCATCACTGTTCTTTCCCCACCAAAAAACCCTTTAAAACATTCAGGTATAATTTATTTCTTGCTCGCTGAGATCTGGGTGGCTGTTTACAATTTGTGGGCACTAATCCTCCAAGGAGGGATTCAGGGATCCAGGCTTGTTCCATCTTGTGGTTCCGTCATCTTTAACACGTTTCCACACTTGGCTTGCTTTGTTCATCTGTGTGGTCACATAAGAACATGAAGGATTATGTGTGAGTTCTATGGTCCAGGCCCAGAGGTGGTACATATGATGTCCACTCACATTCTGCTGTCTGGAACACACAGCATTACCTGCAAAACACATAGAAACATAATATCTGTGTGCTAGAAAGAAGAGGAGATGAGTTAGATAACCAGCCAGCCACAGTTACTTGTGTTTCCCTTTGCCTGGGGCTCCAGGCTGGGTAGGGTACTGTTAATCCTGTTGCCTTAGTGCCTCCAGCGAGTATCTCCCTCAGTGCACCGTCGTCCTGGCTCTGGTGGGCAGCTCATTCCCAAGAGAAAAAAAGAGGTCGGGCCATTCTGGGTTTGTGCAGCTAATTCTCACTAAATTTACAAAAATCCACTAAGTCACTTCACTTCTCCTGGATGGAGTGAGTCAAAAGCCAGGAGTGTTATACAAATTAAACTCCCTCCACGTGGAAGGAATAAGCCGAAGTGGTATGGAAACAACATTCTCTGCATTTCCAGTTATTTTCTAGATGCAAAATATGAGCTGTCTTGAGAGCAGCATTCAAAAGCATAAATTAAGAGTCCAAATGTAGAGAAAGTCTGTATCTACTTTAAGAAATGGTACCGGCCAGGCGTGGTGGCTCACGCCTGTAATCCCAGCACTTTGGAAGGCCGAGGTGTGTAGATCACAAGGACAGGAGTTCAAGACCAGCCTGGCCAAGATGGTGAAACCTTGCCTCTACTAAAAACACAAAAAATTAGCTGGGCGTGGTGGTGGGCACCTGTAATCCCAGCTACTCAGGAGGCTGAGGCAGAGAATTGTTTGAACACGGGAGGGGGAGGTTGCAGTGAGCCAAGATTGCGCCATTACACTCCAGCCTGGGGGATAGAGCAAGACTTCGTCTCAAAAAAAAAAAAGGTACCATTGGATGTGAAAGCAGTCAGCCCTGACAGCCACTGTTGTTTTTGATCTGGTCAACTGGACAGGTGTTTCTCAAAGCTCTTTGCCGCATCTTTGCTAATCCAAGGTGGCCCATGGACCAAAAGGATTGGTATCACCAGGGAGAAGGATAGAAATGCAGAATCTCAGGCCCCATCCTTGCCTTCTGAATCAGTCAGTTGACCAACCAAAGGCCCAGTTGATTTGTGGGCACATTAAAGTCAGAGAAATACTGTTTCAGAATAAAAGGATGTAATTTCAAATTTATACTTGTTTTCTAAATTATTTAAGGTATAACTTGTATTACTTCATAGCCGTCCACCATTTTGAAATGCATTAAATCAACTCTAGTTTCCTGCTGTTGATTTAAGCAACTTCATAGGAAATCGTTATGCTTTTAGGAAATTGACCACCAAGTACTCCTCTACTCGGTTCCTAGGTGGTAGACATGCTCCGTTAAACGTAGTGCTTGAGGTGGCTATTAAGTTTGATGAAAGGTAGGCTGCAAGAGCAAATTTAAGAATGTAAGCTTGCATTATGAAAAATAGTAGGAAGTTGAGGCTTAGAGTAGAACTGTTAGCTACCTTGAATGGTTTTAACAGGAGGTGGAGTCTTATGAATATATTTTTTATAATACATGCTGCTGATGACATTTTGTTCAGCTGCTTAATTTTTGTTTTTGTTTTGTTTTGTTTTTGAGACAAAGTCTTGCTCTGTCACCTGGGCTGGAGTGTGGTGGTGTGATCTCGGCTCACTGCGACCTCCGCCTCCTGAGTTCCAGTGATTCTCCTGCCTCAGCCTCCTGAGTAGGTGGGATTACAGGCACCTGCCACCATACCTGGCAATTTTTGTATTTTTAGTAGAGACGGGGTTTCACCATGTTGGCTAGGCTGGTCTCAAACTCCTGGCCTCAAGTGATCCGCCCACCTCGGCTTCCCAAAGTCTTGGTATTATAGGCCTGAGCCACTGCACCAGGCCTCAACTGCTTCGTTTTTAGTAAGATAAAATGATAGCTTAGATGTTGTGCCAATGTCATCTTTTTTGATTCAAGGGAGGTTGAAGATCAGGTAATATTTTGGGTTTTAAAGCTTACAGAGCTAAACTACTATTGTGATTTGTGAGTTCTTAAAAACTTTTAAGAAGACTGATAATGGCTTTATGATTTGGAAGCTATAAATTATAACTGTATTTGTATTCACATCTTAAAGGACTGGCGTGCCATATATTAACATAAATAAGTAGTAAAATTACATTCTGTGTGGTTATAAAGTAATGAAGCCAGTTCTTATGTTTTACTTTTGGAAACATTCTTGATTTTATAGTTATAATATGGTGTTACAAGGTTAACTATATTAGGTCCAAATTATTAAGCTAGACACTGTGGGTAATAGGGAGATATAGAAGACATCTACTCTTATATAAGCCTCTATTGAGTTTCTAGTTCAGTTGGTGAAATAAGGCACACAGCTATTGTATAATCTGCTATTGACAACTGATTTGGTCACGTCATGCAGTTGATTTCTCAGAGGTTTCTCATTTGTAAAATGAAGTTTGAATTGGATCTTTAAAATTTCTTCTAGCATTAATATGGTAATGATGATGAATTCTATTATATGATAATAATTGTAATTAATATAATGATTCAGTTCTTTAGGTGTGTCTCTTCACATGAAGAAATAATGGAATTTTTTATCTTTGGGGAATAAACAATCACTTTTCTTAAGCTAAGATTTAGAAAGTTTTTTTTCCAAAGGCATTGGAATTATACCTCAAAGCTTGTACTAGTAGTTCTTTGACCATTTCTTTCAGCACATATTTACTAATTTTTAATCCTTATAAATCCTTAGGGAAATATATATTTTGGTAACCGTTTAAGAGGAGCTGCTCTGTTACATTCCCAGCTCTTTAATAAGTGGGGAATTTGTTCTCTCTGGTCCAAAATGTTCTCTGAAAAAGATCTCCTTGTTTTCCCAAATGATTCTCTTAGAAAGGAAACTTGATCATTCTGCTTTGTTCTGGAGTGTTACACAAGTGTTATACCTTTGTTCTGGTGTTATACCTTGTTCTGGTGTTATACCTTTGTTCTGGTAGGTAGTACTACCAAAAGAGAACTTGAGAAATTATCCCTTTGGGTGAGGATGGTTTGTTTCAAGTTTTTTTTTTTTTTTTCCCTCCAGCACACTCTCTGTCTTTTTATTTTTTAACTTTCTGCATCTTGTTTAATCAAAATATTTCTAAGATGGCAACTTTGAAGGCTTTACAAATAGCAACTACAGCAATATGAAGACTTTGCTTATGAGTCAGGTGAGATGAAGGCAAAGAATATATATGTCGAGCAAGTGGTGCAAGCTTAGGACCCATTCTTAAAGTCGGGGAGAAATAAAATAGGCAGTAAAACAAAATGGCCAACTTTTAACTCTTTTGACAAACTCCTGAGCGAAGGCCGGTCACCCCTTTTCTGTCCTTGGCTTTGTCTTCATGGTGGTGGTGGTGGTGACTTAAAGCCATTGTTTTCTTTTCATGAATGGTGAGGTTGATCTTCCATCTTGCTGGAACTGATCAGCTTAACTGCAGAACCTTTTTGATATCCAAATCCCTGTACCACTATTTTTTTACTCTTGTCTACAAAGTAGAAGAGATGTCAGTAAATTTATTTTATATAAAAACAATCCTTAAGTATTTATGAACACATGTTTGTGGGTTTTTTAGTCTCTTTGCTCACCAATTTGAAATTTGTTTTATTTTGTTTTGTTTTCTTTTAATAGTGATAGGGTCCCTGTCACCCAGGCTGAAGTGTGGTGGCATGATCATAGCTTACTGCAGCTGTGAACTACTGGGCCCAGGTGATCCTTTCTCCCTAGCCTTCTGAGCAGCTGGGACTACAGGCATGCACCACCGTGCTAAAAAAAAAAAAAAAAAGAAAAGAAATCGTAGAGGTAGGGTCCTGCTATGTTGCCCAGGCTAGTCTTGAACTCCTGGGCTCAAATGATGCTCCTGCCTCAGCCTCCCAAAGTGCTGAGATTACAGGCATGAGCGACCACACCCAATCTCTTTTTGTGAATTAAAAAAAAATCATAAACCCAAGTGTACTAAAATGTTAAGTGAAAGTTAAATGGTTGATGGCTTCTTTATTTTTCTGTTACTCTTGTAAACCACTAGCTTGTAAATCTAAAACATTTAACCTTAACTTTAGTGGCGTTTCACAACCGTTAAAAATGTTTTTATAGTATAATGACATGGGAAAATGCTTCAGAGACAATGCTGACCACAGTATATGAGTCTTAAAAGCAAAACTCAGTATATAATATATATATTTTATATTACGTATTTTTATATATAAATATATAAAAAGAAAGAGAACTTTTATATATATATATAAAATATACATATATAGTAACATGCACATTATAAAGAATCCTGCCCCCTTTTTAAATATAGCAATTTGGCAAATGATCAGATGTCAAAGATTGTGAAGATTTCAGTTTAGTATTATTTATAAATGAGAAAAGCTGGACCCCTTTTCTACAAAAAGTTTTTTAAAAAAATTAGCTGGGCATGCTGGCACATACCTGTAGTCACAGCTACTCGGGAGGCTGAGGTGGGAAGATCGCTTGAGCCTAGGAGGTTGAGGCTGCAGTAAGCTGTAATCACATCACTGCACTGCAGCTTGGGTGACAAAGTGAGACCTTGTCTCAAAAAAAAGAAAAATAAAAAAAGACAACTGGTAAAAACAAACATAGGACTAGTGATAAAATTATTTATCCTCTTACATACTTATTTAAAAAATAACCTTGGGGCCGGGCATGGTGGCTCATGCCTGTAATCCCAGCACTTTGGGAGGCCGAGGCGGGCGGATCACGAGGTCAGGAGATCAAGACCATGCTGGCTAACACAGTGGAACACCATCTCTACTAAAAATACAGAAAATGAGCCGGGCATGGTGGCGGGCGCCTGTAATCCCAGCTACTCGGGAGGCTGAGGCAGGGTAATCGCTTGAACCCGGGAGGCGGACGTTGCAGTGAGCCGAGATCGCGCCACTGCACTCCAGCCCGGGCGACAGTGCCAGACTCCGTCTCAAAATAAATAAATAAAAAATAACTTTGACATATGAGCCCTTAATTCAATTTATATGAGGTTTAAAAATCATCTTTTATGCACTTCAGAAGAGGAAACTTGAGTAATAAAAATGCCATTAATTGAAGCTAACAATTATTTACAAAGACAGTTCCCACGATCTATGCTAAGTGCGTGTTTGCAGTGCACTTTGCATATATTTGCTTATGCCACAGTCTGTTAACTGAGTATTAGCTGTTAGGGAAGCAGAAAGCTGTAGCATATTTAGTGCTTTTGGAAATTATATCCCCTGCATGTAAGCCTAAAAATGAATAAATATATTTCTTGATTTAAACATTTAGCTTGGATGTATTTTATACTGGAGGATTAAAAATGTTAATTTATGTTTCATAAAAGCTTTTATTAAGGCTCTTGCCAATAAACTATTCAGTGATTTCACTAAGGAGTTATATGGTAAAAAGGGTTCACAAATTTACACTTTCCATCAGTATATAAATCACGCAGCCTTCATTTTTGGATTCAAAATCGCTTTTTGGATGTGTATGTGTGCACATGCTGTTGAAATCAACATTGCAGCCTTTCTTTATTCCATTAAAGGCTGGTATCAGGATGCTTGGCCAGAAAGACACAGAGCACTGTTAGCGAAGAAAACTGATCGTTTCAGTTTTAACATAGTTCCTATTCTGGTTTTATTCAGGCCACTGAAGTTTGAATGCAGAGAAAACGCTGCAAGATAGAAAAATGAGACCTACTCTTCATTCGGCAAGTTGAATTAACACACGAAATGGCATTTTTTCCCTCCCTCATGGATATTTTTTTTTCTTTACAACAGTACTGTGACATCGGATTGACATTGAATACTAGGATTAGAAAATTAGTTCAAGTGTGTGCGTATCTGTTTGCAGTAGTAAAAAGAGTTAACAAATTTACACTTTCCATCAGAATATAAATCACACAGCCCTCATTTTAGGATTCACAATGACCTGTTTGCAGTCCTAGCTTGAACATTTGGACCTTTCTTTGGCACTGCAGTTTGACCAAAAGCATAATAAAATTTAAGTTATTTCCCAAAAGTGGCCGGGCGTGGTGGCTCATGCCTGTAATCCCAGTGCTTTGGGAGGCCGAGGTGGGCAGATTACCTGAGGTCAGGAGTTCGAGACCAGCCTGGCCAGTGTGGTGAAACCCTGTCTCTACTAAAAATACAAAAATCAGCCACGCATGAAGGTGTACACCTGTAGTCCCTGCTACTCAGGAGGCTGAGGCAGGAAGATTGCCTGAAACCGGGAGGTGGAGGTTGCAGTGAGCCGAGATTGCATCACTGCACTCCAGCCTGGGTGGCAGAGCAAGACTCCATCTCAAAAAAGCAATAATAATTTATTTGCAAAAAGTTTTAGATTTAAATGCTTTCGTGGGTGTTTTAATGGTTTCATTTTTAAGTGTACAATTCAGTAGTTTTCAGTATATAACATTGTGCAGCCATCATCAGTACATAGTTTTAGAACATACTCGCAAAAGAAACGTCATCCCAATTAGCAGCCACTTTAGGTTTTCTTATTCTGGACATTTCATGTAAATAGTGTCATATAGTATGTAGACTTTCATGACTGGCTTCTTTCATTTGATATAATATTTCAAGTGTAATATTATATCCGTGTTGTACCATGTGTCAATATTGCATTCCTTTCTATTGCTGAGGAATATTTTGTCAAATGCATAAGAGTACATTTTGCTTTCTGCTCTTCAGTTGATGGGCATGTGGGTTTCTACTTTATGACTATTATGAATAGTGCTTCTATTTAGAATCATGTACATTTGTGTGCAAGTTCCCATGTTGACATATGTTTTCATTTTCTTCAGTAGATTCTTAGGAGTAGAATTGCTGGGGCATGTGGTACTTAAGTCTTCTTCGGCCACCATAACAAATTATCATACACTGGATGGCTTAAACAACAAAAACTTACTTTCTCACAGTTTTGGAGGCTGGAAAGTTGAAGATTAAGGTTCTTTTCAGGGTTTGGTTTTTGGTGAGAGCTCTCCTACTCTTCTCAGTGTACCCTAATTTGGTAGAGAGAGGGGATGAACCAAGAGTGGGAGAGCATTCTGGTGTCACTTTCCCTTCTTCTAAGGGCACCAGCTCTGTTGGATCAGCACTCCACGCTTATGACTGCTTTTAACCTTAATCACCTCCTTAAAGGCTCTGTCTCCAACATAGTTACATAAGGGGTGGGGGTTTGGGCTTGACATATGAATTGGAGAGGGGTGGGGAACAGTTTAGTGTATAACATAAGGTAACTCACATTTCAAGGGACTTCCAACAGGGTACCACTGGAGCCTTTAAGAATCGACAATTTTTTTTTCCCCTTCAATTTGGAAATAGCATATGTTTAAGATAGGAATAAAAACAAAGGAGAAACGTGAGTTCTTGATTGATCTTCAGCTGATTTGCTGGGCTTTCATGGCCTGTCTAATAATCACTCTGCATGGAAATAATAGGGGGGCCCTTCTGAGAATGAAAGGGACATGTTTACTAATCATCCTGGGACAACAGACATACTTTGGGACTGTCATAAGCAAATTTGGGTGAATTGTCACTCTGTCAGCCAACAAGAAGAAAATACTATTGCCAGATTTACCTCCTCCTCTCTTTGACAAGTCCCTGGGAGTGGGGGAGAGGCATATCAGTTATAAAGTCAGGGACAGGGTTAACGAGCAATGACCCCATCTTCCATTTTGCCCCATTTGCTATTCCCTCAAATTAAAAAAGTATCTTGAAAAGCGGTGATAGATTGCCTGATTATATCTCAGTTACCCACATCAGTAGTTGTGGGGTCTAAATGTGAACATAAAGTGATTGAAACTAATCACTTAGTGATTGAAACCAAGGGGTGGCCTGTTAATTTTTCTTATAGTTACTTGAGTTAAACATTTTATTTCTTCCAGGGAACAACAAATCATTTAATCTTCAGAGCATCTTAGACTGAAAACCTTTCAACTGTGCTGAAAAACCTAGAAGACAGACCATTTTGCCCACCCTCTCATTTAAAAGGAATTGAAGAAGAAATAAAATGGCAGAGGTTTAAGGTTACTATTCAGGATGACTGATGATAATTCAGATGATAAAATAGAAGATGAATTGCAAACCTTCTTTACCAGTGATAAAGATGGAAATACACATGCATACAACCCGAAATCACCACCTACACAAAACTCTTCAGCCAGCAGTGTGAACTGGAATTCTGCCAACCCAGATGACATGGTGGTTGATTATGAAACTGACCCTGCTGTAGTTACTGGTGAAAATATTTCTTTAAGCCTTCAGGGTGTTGAAGTATTTGGTCATGAAAAGTCTTCTAGTGATTTCATTAGTAAGCAGGTGTTAGATATGCATAAAGATTCTATTTGTCAGTGTCCTGCACTTGTAGGTACTGAGAAGCCCAAATATCTGCAACACAGTTGTCATTCCCTAGAAGCAGTTGAGGGCCAGAGTGTTGAGCCATCTTTGCCTTTTGTGTGGAAGCCTAATGACAATTTGAACTGTGCAGGCTACTGTGATGCCTTGGAGCTAAACCAAACATTTGACATGACAGTGGATAAAGTTAACTGCACCTTTATATCACATCATGCCATCGGAAAGAGTCAGTCCTTCCATACTGCTGGAAGCCTGCCACCAACTGGTAGGAGAAGTGGAAGTACATCTTCTTTATCCTATTCCACTTGGACATCTTCCCATTCTGATAAGACGCATGCAAGAGAAACTACTTATGATAGAGAAAGCTTTGAAAACCCTCAAGTCACACCATCAGAAGCCCAAGACATGACTTACACAGCATTTTCTGATGTGGTGATGCAAAGTGAGGTTTTTGTTTCAGATATTGGAAATCAGTGTGCATGTTCTTCAGGAAAGGTCACCAGTGAGTACACAGATGGATCACAACAAAGACTAGTTGGAGAAAAGGAGACACAAGCACTAACACCAGTTTCTGATGGCATGGAAGTCCCCAATGATTCTGCATTACAAGAGTTCTTTTGTTTATCCCATGATGAATCCAATAGCGAACCACATTCACAGAGCTCATACAGGCACAAGGAAATGGGCCAAAATCTGAGAGAGACAGTGTCCTATTGTCTTATTGATGATGAATGCCCTTTAATGGTGCCAGCTTTTGATAAGAGCGAAGCTCAAGTGCTGAACCCAGAGCATAAAGTCACTGAGACTGAAGACACACAAATGGTCTCCAAAGGAAAGGATTTGGGAACCCAAAATCATACCTCAGAATTGATTCTAAGTAGCCCGCCAGGACAAAAGGTGGGCTCGTCATTTGGACTGACTTGGGATGCAAATGATATGGTCATTAGCACAGACAAAACGATGTGCATGTCAACACCAGTCCTAGAACCCACAAAAGTAACCTTTTCTGTTTCACCGATTGAAGCGACGGAGAAATGTAAGAAAGTGGAGAAGGGTAATCGAGGGCTTAAAAACATACCAGACTCGAAGGAGGCACCTGTGAACCTGTGTAAACCCAGTTTAGGAAAATCAACAATCAAAACGAATACCCCAATAGGCTGCAAAGTTAGAAAAACTGAAATTATAAGTTACCCAAGACCAAACTTCAAGAATGTCAAAGCAAAAGTTATGTCTAGAGCAGTGTTGCAGCCCAAAGATGCTGCTTTATCAAAGGTCACGCCCAGACCTCAGCAGACCAGTGCCTCATCACCCTCATCAGTGAATTCAAGACAACAAACAGTCTTGAGCAGAACACCGAGATCTGACTTGAATGCAGACAAAAAAGCAGAAATTCTAATTAACAAGACACATAAGCAGCAGTTTAATAAACTCATTACTAGCCAGGCTGTGCATGTTACAACTCATTCTAAAAATGCTTCACACAGGGTTCCAAGAACAACATCTGCCGTGAAATCGAATCAGGAAGATGTTGACAAAGCCAGTTCTTCTAACTCAGCATGCGAGACCGGGTCCGTTTCTGCGTTGTTTCAGAAGATCAAAGGCATACTCCCTGTTAAAATGGAAAGTGCAGAATGTTTGGAAATGACCTATGTTCCCAACATTGATAGGATTAGCCCTGAAAAGAAGGGTGAAAAAGAAAATGGGACATCTATGGAAAAACAAGAGCTGAAACAAGAGATTATGAATGAGACTTTTGAATATGGTTCTCTGTTTTTGGTAAGTAATATATATATATTTTTTGCATGCTTCAGAGAACTGTGGAGAAAACTGAGATGTGTTAGCATTTAGTTATCTATTAGTCAATAATATTGCAGAACCAGGTGGGCAGATTTACATTTAGTTGTTAATTCATTGTCTTGTCAGTACTGGGGTGTTAATAGGTTTCAATACAACAAAACTGCATATGGAAAAAAAAATCCTCAATTTCAGTATTTTGTATCAAGTATCACCGTTCCTTTTAATAGTGTGCTGAAAAATGAAGTTACTTTAATATTTTAGTATAATTAGTAGTTTAAGTGCCTGATACAATCAGGTTATATTTTATTTTTCTGAAAAAGTTGGGTTGTCAACTTTAAAATGTATTGGACAGCATTTAAGAAAGGGCTTGGGAGTGCTGGTAAACATGTCAACATAAAAATAACTCCTGGACTCTTGCGGAGGAGGCAGCTCTGGGAAGTAGAGCCCTCTTGTATGAGCAAGAGTGTTCTTGATTTTTCCTCTGACCGGCCAATAATGATTTTTGGCAAGTAATTTTTCGAGACCCAAAGATGAAAGGATTGGACCTAGTGGATGTGTGAAGCCTCTTGCAGCCTTAATATATTAATTCCTGGTATATAAAATAAAATCTTTTACTTATGTATAGTGAAAAACCAGTATGTTTTCCATAGCGCCTGTCTAAAATATTTGGGGGGGACCTAGAGAGTGCTGTTTAAAGAATAAAGAATTCACATGCAGTGTAAAGGTGATTTTCCTTTAAACATGCATGTGTTTTTGAGAATAGTGTGTAGAAATTGGTTTTCTGGGTTTTAAAAACATTTGACAGGCCACTGTTGGTCGTTGGGCATGTGTCCTCAGCCCTATTTTTGGCAGTGGGGACTTAGGTGTATTTTCAGCCCCAGACAGGCTGTCCTTGGGTGCCTGTCCTCTGGGCCAGGAAGGGAGCTAAGTGCCAGCGGAGAAAGGCAGGTGTGACACAGACAGCCTGTCCCTTGGAGGGCTCGTGGCAAGAGGAATGAAGCACATAGAATAGCAAGTGCAGAAGGGCTGACTTAGGTGTGTCTTCAGGGTGCATGGGGACCACAAGGGAGGGAATTGTCAGGTCCGTTTAGAAGACAAGGTTAGGAAAGACCGAAGATATTCTAGATTCTCTAAAACATCAGTTTAGACATGTTTGGGCTTTAACAACCAGTCTTCTCTATTTGGAAGAAGGGTACACCACAGTGATTTCTAAACTAATGAGTTCATCCGTTGTTTCAAAACTCAGATTTAGTTTTTAAGTTATCTTGAAGTCAAACTTAGAAAACCGATATCATTTATAATTTTAATTTTTTTGCAAAATTAAATTACAACATACTCTTAATTCTAATCAACATTCTTAGTTTGGCATTTACAGATATACATAGAAACACGATGTTTATTCTCTTGATTTATGGGAGACTTTTTTTGGTGTGTCAGTCCCCAGCTACCAAAAACTCTATCATAAAGTTTCTTTTTCTTTAATGACATTTGTCTTGAATTTAAATTGGTTGTGTAATTTTGAAACTAAAAGTTTTCCTGATTTGTGCATTGAGTCTTAGGGTTATGTTGCCCCTGTGCAGCTTGAAAACCTGTTTTTCAGGCTCCCGATGTGGTACTGAGGTAAGGATAGAATCATCAGGTTGAAATGGATCCTAGTATGTCTTGGAGAAACAGCACTTTTCGCCTCAGGAATCTGGCTGTTAGGATTCATAATTAGATATGAAATACTTTGTAAGTCTTGAAAGATTGTCCCATATTCGCATATGCTTATCAACTGGCATAAGGGACTCTTTTTTCTTTTTTGCTTTCTTTTTTTTTTTTTTTTTTTTTTTTAAGGCAGAGTCTTGTTCTTGCTCTTTCGCCAGGCTGGAGTGCAGTGGCAAGATCTCGGCTCACTGCAACCTCCGCCTCCCAGGTTCAAGCAATTCTCCTGCCTCAGCCTCCCAGGTAGCTGGGACTACAGGCGTGCACCACCACATCCAGCTAATTTTTGTATTTTTAGTAGAGACGAGGTTTCACCATATTGTCCAGGATGGTCTTGATCTCTTGACCTCATGATCCACCTGCCTCGGCCTCCCAAAGTGCTGGGAATACAGGCGTGAGCCACTGCCCCCGGCCTACTCTTTTTTCACGATCATGTCTGAAGCACAGTGCTCTCTAATTTTGCTAGTTTACCTCTTGCACATTTCCATGTCTCTGGGAAGGAGGACTGGAAAGTGTCTGGGCAGACCCTCATAGGCCACTGGCTTTGCACTTACTGTAGAGAGCTGAATGAATTTGCTGCGTGTTTTCCTGAAACATGAATGTCGGTTGGTCACTTCAGCAGCACTCAAAGGCTCTTACTGCCCTGGATTGACGAAGAGACCATGCTGGAGGGATGTTAATTTTCTTTTTCTTTGAGATGGAGTCTCCTCTCTCACCCAGGATGGAGTGCAGTGGCGCGATCTCGGCTCACTGCAACCTCTGCCTCCCAGGTTCACGCATTTCTCCCAAGTAGCTGGGACTACAGGTGCACATGCCTGGCTAATTTTTTGTATTTTTATTAGAGATGGGGTTTCACCACGTTGGCCAGGCTGGTCTCGAACTCCTGACCTCAAGTGATCCGCCCACATTGGCCTCCCAAAGTGCTGGGATTACAGGCGTGAGCCATCGCGCCCGGTCGGATGTTAATTTTTACTGTTGCTTTGTTGGCCTTGGCCTGCCTTAGGCCTTGAGTTTACTGAATCCCTAGACTGCCTGCAACCTCACAGCTCATTGGTGGTCAGGGTGTATCTGAATCTTTAGAAAAGTTCTTATTTGGAAGAAGGAACTTGATTTTTATTTGAAACGGGGCTAGATGTAGCTCCTCACAACAGAGGTTATGTGTTCATGATAGTGTGTGAGATAAAGGGAGTGGAGACTTAACCTAAAAGGAAAGGAATTGATATTTATTCAGTGCTTGCTCTGGGTCAGGCACTTTGCTCAGGTGCCTTAGTTATATTATGCCATTTAATGGGCCCTGTAACGCTCAGGTGCTTTCCATACATTGTTATTTACTCTTCCCAATAACAACAGGGCAATTGTTGTCGACATTTTAATACTTCAGCGAGGTCACTTAAAACTCACACAGCTGGTAAATAGTAAAATTGGGATTCACACTCAGAGCCCTCACTTGAATCCTGGCCTTTTCTGCTCCATACACCATACGGTTTCAAAATTTTTGGAATGTTGGCTCTGAAAGGCAAAACAAGTGATTTGCTGAAGATTCACTTTTGTAAATTGATGAGCAGTTTGCCTTACTTTTTAAAAGAAGGTTTTCTCTGGGAGGTTAACTTTTGGGTTGCTTTTTAAAAGAAGATTTTTCTCTGGGAGATGAATTTAGCCAGCTTTAATTTAACCTAGCCAGAGACAGAAGATCTTTGTTAGTTTGTGTACAGTCACTTGCTTTTCTTGGCCAATTCTGTATTGTTCTCCAGTGCCAAAACATGACCTCCAGCTGTTCTCATGGGTGATTGGCCTGCTAAGTTATTGTTGAATTCACCTAATGTATGAATTCGACTGCCATCGGCATTGGGCTTTATGTGTATCTATCGGAAATTAACACTTGAGATTTATTAAAGAAAGAAGAGTGATGACAGGGAACATGCTGCTTTACAAGCACGGATTTTAGAGTAGTTTCAAATTGTAGCTCCACCATTTACTGGGCAAAGTGACCTCTGGCAGGTTACTAAGTCTCTATTGAGCTCAGTTGTTCTTTGTGTCAAAAAAAGGGTCAAACTCTGTAATATATTTGAAGAGATTTATTCTGAGCCAAACATGAGTGACCAGTGGCCCATGACACAGCCCTTAGGAGATCCTGAGAAGATGGGCCTAAGGTGATCGAGGTACAGCTTGCTTTTACACATTTTAGGGAGACATAAGACGTCAATCAGTACATGTAAGGTATACAGTGGTTCTGTCTAGAAAGGAGAGACAACTGGAAGTGGAGGCAGCTTCCAGGTCACAGGCAGATTTAAAGATTTTCTTTCTTTTTCTTTCTTTTTTTTTTTTTTTTTTTGAGACAGATTCTCTGTTGCCCAGGCTGGGGGTGCAGTGGTGTGATCTCTCGGCTCACTGCAGCCTCTGCCTCCCGGGTTCAAGTGATTCTCTTGCCTCAGCCTTTTGAGTAGCTGGGATTACAGGTGAGGACCACCACACCCAGCTAATTTTTTTGTATTTTTAGTAGAGACTGGCTTTCCTCATGTTGGCCAGGCCGGTCTCGAACTCCTGGCCTCATGTGATCTGCCCACCTCGGCTTCTCAAAGTGCTGGGATTACAGGTTTGAGCCACCACCCCCAGCCTAAAGATTTTCTAATTGGCAGTTGGTTCAAAGAGTTAAAGACCTGGAATCAACAAAAAGGAATGTCTGGGTTAAGATAAGGAGCTGTGGAAACCAAGGTTTTATCATACAGATGAAACCTTCAGGTAGCCGGCTTCAGGGGGAGTTGATTGTAAATGTTGCTTATCAGACTTAAAAGAGTCTGTTCTATCAGTCTTAAGGTCTTTGTTGATGTTAATGCTGGTCAGCTGTGCCTGAATTCCAACCCTTCGGAGAGTATAATTATGTCTGACTCCCCCTTCCTTTCATATCCTGAACTAGTTTTTCAGGTTAACCTTGGAATGCCCTTGGCCGAGAGAAGTGGTCCCTTCAGATGGTTGGGGGGCTTAGAATTTTATTTTTGCTTTACATTAATGTAAAGGGAGAATTGCAAATTGTAGTTTGGTGTTGGAATTCACACTGTGAGTAAGGCTCAGACTCCCATTTCCTCTATGTAGAATAGAAACATTTATTGGGTGCATACTATGTATTATACATATGGTGATGATTGTTAGGATGTAGGGAAAAAAGAGACCCTGTCTGAGTGCCTAGTGCAGTGGGTAATACTGTTGCAGGAGTTTTTCTCAACCCATTTGTAAAACTTGCGATGGGGGTGCCCCATTCAGCCCGCCATGCTCAACCTCTTGCGGGCAGGAGTGTGTGGGCAAGTGAGTACAGGATCCAGCCAGCCACTTTGAGCACCGGCAGGAGCATGCTGTGTGCAGGCCCCACAGTGGTGCCCAGGTGGTGGTGTCTGTGACCCTAAAGCCCCAGAGGGCATGCTACAGTGCTCTCTTGGCTCCACCATCCATGGACACCGGTGTGTCATCAGCTCAGTGGGCCCTTTGCCTCACTGTGTGGGGCAGCTGCCCTCCAGTAGCGAGGGCAAAGGGTCAGTGTGATAACCTTTTTTGGGTACCCAAAGTTGGTGGGTCCCAAGCTCTTGTCCACTGTCCAAGAAGAATTGGGTCACATGGACACCTGAAGGATGGTGGAGGCAGATAATTTTATTTAGCAATGAAAGTGGCTCTCAGCAGAGAGGGTAGCTGAAGACGGGACAGGACGGGCAGATAATCTTCCCTAAAGTCTGGCCATCTACACTTGGCTCTTCTCCAAAGCTAAGCCATCTCTCCTCCAAAGTCCAGCTGTCTGTCTGCCATCCAAGTACTAACCAGGCCTGACCCTGCTTAGCTTCAAAGATCAGGCGAGATTGGGTGTGTTCAGGGTGATATGACAGTAGACTCAGCTGTCCTCTGAAGTCTCCAGTTGATATGATTTGGCTGTGTCCCCACCCAAATCTTGTATTGAGTTCCCACATGTTGTGGGAAGGACCCAGTGGGAGGGAATTGAATAATGGGGGGGCAGGTCTTTGCCATGCTG
Source organism: Homo sapiens (assembly GCF_000001405.40). Taxonomy (NCBI): domain Eukaryota; kingdom Metazoa; phylum Chordata; class Mammalia; order Primates; family Hominidae; genus Homo; species Homo sapiens. The sequence goes on along the minus strand of NC_000008.11, from coordinate 17,747,979 downwards.
TTCTCATAATAGTGATTAAGTCTCACAAGATCTGATGGTTATTATAAGGGAGAGTTTTCTTGCATGAGCTCTCTTTGCCTGCTGCCATCCATGTAAGACATGTCTTGCTCCTCCTTGCCCTCTGCCATGATTGTGAGGCTTCCCCAGCCACGTGGAACTCTTAAGTCCAATTAAACCTCTTTCTTTTGTAAGTTGCCCAGTCTCATGTACGTCTTTATAAGCAGCGTAAAAATGGACTAATACATCAGTCAAGCCGCTTGTCTCCCCTACCAAGTGAGTCTGGGGTCTTTACATGAATGGGATGTGGGGGGCAAGGCAGGCCATAGGTAGTTTTGGAAAAGGCAACTTTCAATTGGTAAAAAGACATTATTCAGAAAGAACTAATTAGGAGAGAGTGGGCAAACAGGTTTAGAAGTTCTCACTTTAGGCTGTGGGTTTCAGGGTTTTTGCCTTGAAGGTGGGGTTTTGCTGGGGACCTGCCCCCGTCTGCCTAGAATTTCTCTGCCTCCTGCCTCTATCAATACAGTAAACAGGCAAGGGTATGTTGATTGCTAAGTTGGGAGTGTGAGTAGACTGCTGTGCTGCAGGAGGGGGAACAAGATGTGGTGGTGGGCAGAGTTGTCAAGGAAGGCTTATAGGGGACATCACATGTTGTCACTAGCTGGAATTTGAAGGGCAGGTATTCTGGGTAGAGTACAAAGCTGAAGAAATATGAGAAGATTTTCTAATTTAGGGGACTCTAGGTAGGTGTGGTGGGAGCTGGGAGAATGGAACCCTGAGCAGTAGGGAATAAGGTGAAGAGGATGGCAGGGGCTTCCATATGCAAAAGGATTGCTGGGCCTTGTGAAGAAGATGTTATCTGGAAGACAGACAGAAGGTGTCTAACCCTATTCGAGTTTGAGAGAGATTGCCCTAGCAGGCAGATAAAAGATGAATTGAAAGCTGGAGAGACCAGAAAGATCCTGTGGACATCGTTTCAGTAATCTTGCTGAGAAATGACAGCAGATGGAAAAGAGAAACAGCTTTCATTGTTGAAGTTGGGTGCCTGGGTATGTTGTGGTGAATACAGGAAGAGATAAGTTTTGAGATAGATAGGAAAGTAAGATTAATTTTAGAAAATGCTTCATGTTCTTGTTCTTTAAAATGGGGTACAATAAACCTACCAACTTCACAGGATTATTATGAGGGTTAAGTGAATTGATACATATACTTAGAATTTAGAATAGTATTCTATACGGGCTATATGTTAGTAAGTTAAGTAGAGTCATATGGTTTGGCTGTGTCCCCACCCAAATCTCATCTTGAATTGTAGCTCCTGTAATTCCCACATATTGTGGGAGGGACCTGGTGGGAGATAATTGCATCATGGGGGTGGTTTCCCCCATACTGTTCTTGTGGTAGTGAGTAAGTCTCATGAGATCTGATGGTTTTATAAGGGGAAACTGCTTTCCCTTGGCTTTTATTCTCTCTTGTCTGCTGCCTTGTAAGATGAACCTTTCACCTTCTGCCATGATTGTGAAGCCTCCCTAGCCACGTGGAACTCTGAGCCCATTAAACTGCTTTTTCTTTATAAATTACCCAGTCTCAGGTGTGACTTTATCAGCGTTGTGAAAATGGACTAATACGTAGAGGTGCTTGAAGGATGCTGAGTTGGGATGTATAGAAAGAAGTTAGGTATATGGGAAACTCAGGAGAGAGTACTGGTTGAACATGTGGATTTGGATGTACCAGTGTACACGTGGCAATTGAAACAGCAGCCAAGATCATGTAGGAAGAGTACATGGTGAGGAAAGAGAACAGGGCCAAGGCTAGGTCTTCATGAAGACTAGCTGTATCAGTCTGTTCTCACATTGCTATATAAAGAACTACCTGAGACTGGGTAATTTATAAAGAAAAGAGGTTTAATTGACTCACAGTTCCACAGGCTGTACAGGAAGCAAGGCTGCAATGTCTTGTATGACTGGAGGAGGAGGAAGAGAGTGAGGGGGCAGGTGACACACCCTTTTAAACAACCAGATCTTGTAAGAACTCACTGTCATAAGAACAGCAAGGGGGAAGTCTGCTTCTATGATCCAGTTACCTCCCACCAGGTCCCTCCTCCAGCACTGGGGATTACAATTCGATGTGAGATTTGGGTGGGGACACAGATCCAAATTATATCACTAGCTTCCAAAGGTACAGAAGAATAGGACCCAGAAAAGGAATAACCGGACAGGTAGAAGGAAAACCAGGAAAGAGCTTTGTCAGGAAACCAGAGAATGGAGTTATTAACGTTCGATGTGTAGAGAGAGCCCCCAGGGGAAGGATTGAAAACTAGCTTGAATTTAACTTGTGACACTGGTGATCTTGAGTACACTCTCACTAATGGGTACAAAGGCAGAATATGGTGAATTAAAGAGTAAGCTGTGAAGAGTTTTAATTGTTTCATAGTAAAAATGAAAATTGAATACAGTCAGCCCTCTGTATCTATGGGCTCCACATCTGTGGATTGAGCCAAACTTGGACTGAAAATATTCAGAAAAAAAATCTGCAGTGTTTCAAAAAGCAAAACTTGAACTTACTACATGCTGAATACTATGTTGAATCCACCTGAAACAAGTAATAGGTAGATGTTGTAAGTAATGATCGTGGAGATGATTTACAGTATATGGGAGGATGTACATAGGTTATATGCAAACCCTACACCATTTCATATAAGAGATTTGAGTGTCCATGGATTTTGATATCTGCCAGGGTCCTGGAACTAATCATTTTTGATACCGAGGGACAACTGTACACGTTCACTTAGAAATTGTTCCTTTCACGTAGCTAATACCACAAGGAAGTGGTATGGGGAAGGTATGATCTGGATTAAAATTTTGTTAATGAAAAAAGCCAAACTCTAAATCATTTGAAGAGACTTATTCTGACCCAAATATGAGGACCATGGCTGATGACACATCCTCAAGAGGTCCTCAGAACATGTGCCTAGGTGTTTGGGTTACAGCTTGATTTCATCCATTTTAGGGAGACAGAGGACATCAGTCAATACATTTGAGATACACGTTAGTTTGGTCTGGGAAGATGAGACATCTTGAAGTAGGGACTTACAGATCATAGGTGGATTCAAAGATTTACTGCTTGGCAGTTCGTTGAAAGAATTAAGTTATTGGCTCACGCCTGTAATCCCAGCCCTTTGGGAGGCCGAGGCGGCAGATCACGAAGTGTGGAGTTTGAGACCAGCCTGACCAACATGGCGAAACCTCATCTCTACTAAAAATACAAAAAATCAAAAAAAAAAAAAAAAAAAAGAAAACATGGTGAAACCCCATCTCCACTAAAAATAAAATGCCAAAAAAAAAATACAAAACTTAGCTACAAAAATATAAAAATTAGCCATCTCTACTAAAAGTAAAAAGATTGATGGTGGTGTGCACCCGTAATCCCAGCTACTCAGGAGGCTGAGGCAGGAGAATCACTTGAACCCGGGAGGCAGAGGTTGCACTGAGCTGGGATCATGCCACTACACTCCAGCCTGGGCGATAGAGGAGACTCCGTGTCAAAAAACTAAAGAAGTTATTATCTAAAGACCTGAAATCAATAGAAAGGAGTGTCTCGGTTAAGATAAGATAAGGGGCTGTGGAGACCAAGGTTCTTATTATGTAGATGAAATCTCATACGTGGCCGCCTTTAGAGGTAATAGATGGCAAATATTACCTATTTAGACTTTTAAAAGGTGCTAGACTCTCAGCTAATTTCTTTGGGACCAAAGATCTGGGAAGGGAAGAAGATTCTCTACAGAATGTAAATTTGCCCCTACAAGAGACAGCTTTGCAGGGCCATTTCAAAATGTGTTAAAGAAAAATATTTTGGGGTAAAATACTTCAATTTCCTTCAGGGCTTGCTGTCTGTCATGTGATGCTAAACTAGAGTCAGGTTGGAATTTAGTGTCTTTTTGCTATAAAGAGTCTGTTTTGTCTGACTTAAGGTTTCTGTTTTAATGTTAATTCTGGTCAGTTGTGCCTGAATTCTAAAGGGAGGAGAGTATAATGAGGCATGTCTGACCTCTTTGCCATCATGGCCTGAACTTGTTTTTTAGGTTTCTTTGGAATTGCCTTGGCCTAGAGGAGGGGCCCATTCAGTCAGTTGGGGGGCTTAGAATTTTAGTTTTGGTTTACAGTCTTAACTGTTATTTTCACAGGGCTCTGCTTCAAAAACAACGACCACCTCAGGTAGGAATATATCCAAGCCTGACTCCTGCGGTTTGAGGCAAATAGCTGCTCCAAAAGCCAAAGTGGGGCCCCCTGTTTCCTGTTTGAGGCGGAACAGTGACAATAGAAATCCCAGTGCTGATCGAGCCGTATCTCCTCAGAGGATCAGGCGTGTGTCCAGTTCTGGTAAGAATAAAATAGTTCAATAGTTTATGAGTTAATTGAATGTAAAATTGGACAGTCATGATTATAGGTCTAATGCCTTCTGTCACTAAAGCAGTTAGCCTTTTGTGGATCAGCATCCTGAGCACAGGAGGTAGAAAAAGAAGATGACAACATATATCCCTTATCTTTGAGCAAGGCAAAGGCTAGTTGAGGAGAGAGGTATAGGTGTATAAACCATCTTATAAGCTATTCAGAAGGATGTGTACATAAATATACAATTGGGTGGCTGATGTAAATTTGAATCATTTCATTAAGTTTTTTCAAATGGTTAAGTGCTTAACAATGCTGAAGTGTTGTACGGTAGGTCCCTAGTGTGCCCTCAATACATGTGAAGAGATTAATTTTTTTTTTAATTTTACTGAAAGATGTATGATAGATTTAGGAGGGATATGAGGGTGACTAAAAAGTTAAATTTTTCTAATGTGAACTTTTATTTATGTTGGCTTGTATCTTACAATTTGTAATTTTAAAGTCATGTTAGGCCAATGAAATGTGAGCGCCTCAAGAATAGCTATTAAGTATCATACTAAATTTGGCGGACGTACAGATCTGTGTTACAAAGAAATGGAAAAGTCATCCCTGTGTCACGGGGATGAAAAGCCTGCTAGCCATTCCAATTGACTGAGAACATCTTGCAAAGAACCCACCTTACTTCTGCCGGTACAGCCTTGGGCAAATTAAAGTCATGTCAAATCAATTTAGTAGTAAGTTCCCTTATACAAATAGTTATGTGTCCACACACGTGAGAATGTTTTATGGAAACTAATGAAAGCGAGCAAATCCCAGAAGATCTCTGTACCTCTCTACAATTTAGTATTTGTAGGTTTCATTTTTCAACCCTACCATGAAGCCTCAAGTGTGAAAGCCTGTAATGCTTAGAAATGTTTTACGGGCTGTTTATTTAGATTCAGGCCTAGTGTCAAGGTCAAGGAGACATGACCACAGAGGCGTGAGTGGAGGAAGAGGGGTTTGCAGCACATGGCTCCATCCCCAGAGGATCTGGGTGGAAACAGGAATTCATTAGCTTGGAGTGTTCATCATCTGGGAGAAAAACAGAGGCCAAAAGCCATTGGGAGAAAGAGTGATTCTTATTTGGGATATTGCCACACCTGGGGAGTCAAGGCATGAGTGAGATGAAAGCTCTAGTCCTGGCTGGGTGTGGTGGTTTATGCCTGAAATCCCAGTGCTTTAGGAAGCCAAAGTGGGCCAGGAGTTCAGGACCAGCCTGGGCAACATAGCAAGACACTATCTCTAAAAAAAAAAAAAAAAAAAACAACAACAACAAAAAAAAAAAACAGCTGGGCATGAGAGCATGATGGTGTGCCCTTGTAGGGGCTCCTCAGCTATTCAGGAGGCTGAGGCAGGAAGATCACTTGAGCCCAGAAGTTCAAAGCTGCAGTGAGCTATGATCATGCCACTGTACTCCAACCTGGGCAGCAGAGCAAAACCCTGTCCCTTGGTGGTGAAGAAAAAGCTCTGGTCCTTACTGTAGTTGTCCAATAAGGCTCATGGTGCTTGCAGAGAATGGGAAGCTCCCTTCCTCCTCTGTGAGGAACACCTGTAGCTTGGTGGCACTGGAGTGTGGCCCCTGGCCTGCAGTTAGGAGCCCTGTGTTTTAGTTCCACTCTGGCCCCAATACGCTGCCTGAGCAAGTCTTTTACTCTCCCTGGGCTTCATCTTCACATCTTGAAAGTGTAAGTGTCTGAGAATCTAAGACCCTGTCAGCTTTTACAGCCCTTACCTTTCTAGGGACAATTTGGAGCTCACCTAATTTTCTGAGTAACTGCTGTTACTGGTATGATTCTCTGAATTTCGTGGGGCTTGAATCCCAGAAAATCTAAGCGCACATACTTTTAAGAAATGAGGCCAGTACCCAGGATACATTGAAAAAGATAGAATCCTTTTATGTAGGCGATCAGTCCCACCCAGCGGGGAAGTAGTTGTTAAGTCCTTTTACTCTGTGTTGCATAATGTGTCTTAGAGAAAAGTGGATCTGTTTAGTCTTAGTGAAAAGACAGGGCATGCTTTTGAGCTTTTATCATCCTGTGTCGATGAGCTTGATAACTGAGTTATGCATCCAGATTTTTCAGTCTGAGTTAAAAACTAATTACGTTTTACTGGGTGGTTTTCTGTATCTGAATGGAAACAAAGTTAATGTAACTGGAAACATTCTGGATTTGAATTTGAGTTTTGTATTTGACTGGTTAGAAGACTTTTATGGTCTGAATACTTGGGTCCCTCTACATTAATATGTTGAAGCCCCAACCTGCAATGTGATTGTGTTTGGAGACAGGGCTGGTGAGGAGGTGATGAAGGTTAAACGGGGTCATAAGAGTGGGATCCTAATCCAGTAGGGGTGGTGCCCTTAGAAAAAGATGAAGAGATGGGCTTGGCATGGTGGCTCACGCTTGTAATCCCAGCACTTTGGGAGGCTGAGGCAGGTGGATCACCTGAGGTCAGGAGTTTGAGACCAGCCTGGCCAATGTGGGAATGTGGGGAAACCCCTTCTCTACTAAAAATACAAAAAAAAAATTAGCCAAGGGTGGTGGCAGGTGACTGTAATCCCAGCTATTGGGGAGGGTGAGGCAGGAGAATTCCTTGATCCCAGGAGGCGGAGGTTGCAGTGAGCCGAGATAGCACCATTGCACCCCAGCCTGGGTAGCAAGAGCGAAACTCTCTTTCAAAAAAGAAAAGAGGAAGAGACACTGGAACTGTCCTCAGTATGTGAGGTAGAATGAGAATGTGGCCATCTGGATGCCAGGAAGAGGGCCCTTGCTGGGAAGCAGATCAGCTGGCACCTCTATCTTGGACATTCCAGCCTTCAGAACTGTGAGAAAACAAATTTCTGTTGTTTAAGCCACCCCATCTGGTATTATTACTATTATGGCAGCCTGAGCCGACTAAGAAGACTAATTTGATTCTACTGTATTATGTTTTACAGAAAAATTAATAGCAACTAATTTTTTTGGATGCTCTCAGTAAATTGAGAGGTGTTTCTTAATCGCCACAGAGTTAAAAGTAGAACAGAAAAATCAAGGAGCAGAAACAATGTGCTTTTAGATCCCCGTGATCCTGTTGCCATTGATTGTACAATGAAGTGTCTGTGTGTATTAGCAAATTGAAACCAAATGGATATCCACCATACTGACTCACAGTTACTCTGCTGAAAGGTAAGCGGCAGAAATGTTCCAGCCAATTTGGCGTTTTCAATAAATCCTTTCAGAACACTTAAGTAGAAAACCAGACCCAGTATTGAAACAGCCATTTTCTTGAAGCTTTAAAATGAATGTGAGAAGGAATTGTAATTAAACCCAACACAGCTGTTCTTTTTCCTTTTTCTTTTCCTTTTTTTTTTTTGAGACGGAGTCTCGCTCTGTTGATCAGGCTGGAGTGCAATGGTGCAATCTCGGATCACTGCAACCTCCGCCTCCTGGGTTCAAGCGATTCTGCTGCCTCAGCCTCCTGAGTAGCTGGGATTTACAGGCACCCACCACCACGCCCAACTAATTTTTTGTATTTTTAGTAGAGACAGGGTTTCACCATGTTGGCCAGGCCGGTCTCGAACTTCTGACCTCAGGTGATCCACCCACCTTGGCCTCCCAAAGAGCTGTTCCATTTTACTTGTCAAAATGTGGAAATATATTATATGAGACCAGATTATAAGAGATTATAACAAACCAAATCTAAACTACCTTTGCTTCTTTGGAAATATACTGAAATAAGATGAGATAGTGATGAAAATTATTTGTAGTAGTAATTATTATAATGTCAATGATAGCAGCTCACACTGTTAAGTATATGTCGGGTTCCAGGCTCAGTTTTAGTAATTTCATCTATAAATTCATTTAATCCTCACAGTAACTTTGAGGCTTATCCCTATTTTATAGACAAGGAATCTTCCACAGAAAAGTTAAATAATTTGTCCAATGTTAAACAGCTGGAAAGTGGCAGAGGTGGGATTCAGACCAGCCAGTGATGCTGTTAACCAACACATTATTAATCTCAATACTATTAGTATGGCCATGAGTTTTGTTTGTTTGATTTATTAATTTATTTATTTATTTATTTATGAGATGGAGTTTCACTCTTGTTGCCCAGGCTGGAGTGCAATTGACGCAATCGTGGCTCACCACAACCTCCCCTTCCCTGGTTCAAGCAATTCTCCTGCCTCAGCCTCCCGAGTAGCTGGGATTACAGGCATGAACCACCACACCTGGCTAATTTTGCATTTTTAATAGAGATAGGGTTTCTCCATGTTGGTCAGGCTGGTCTCCAACTCCCGACCTCAGGTGATCCACCCGCCTCGGCCTCCCAAAGTGCTGGGATTACAGGAGTGAGCCACCGCGCCTGGCCTGAGTTTTATTTTTAATAATAAAGTCTAATTTGTTTTTTTGTTTGTTTGTTTTCTGTTTGTTTGTTTTTTTGAGACATTTTCACTCTGTCGTCCAGGCCGGAGTGCACTGACTCCACCATAGATCACTGCAGCCTTGAATTCCTGGACTCAAGAAATCCTCCTGTCTCAGCGTCCCATGTACCTGGTATCACAGATGTGTGTCAGCATGCCCAGCTGATTTTTATATATTTTTGTAGAGATGGGGGGGTCTCACTTTGTTGCCCAGGCTGGTCTTGAACTCCTGGGCTTAAGTGATCCTCCCACCTAGGCCTCCCACAGTA